>NC_000014.9:68702622-69005652 GCF_000001405.40 Homo sapiens
AGGCAGAGACAGGGGTTCAAGCCCCAGCTCCCCTTCACTGTGTGAGTTATTTAATTTCCTGAGCTTTAGGCTCCTCCTCTCTCCTAAGAGGATAGCGCCACCTCCCTTAAGGGGTACCTGTGGCTGTATGGAGCAATGGGAGAGCAAAGAGGAAACCCTGGTGCATCCAGCCTTCCTTCAGAGACGGAAGCCACAGGCCCAGCCAGGAGATCTACCCAGGGTGGACCAGCACATTTCTGGGAGTCCAAGTCAATGCAGACAGAGGGCTCTCTAGGGAACAAAGAACTGAGAAGAGGAAAACCACCTCTGGCTCTTGGTGAGCCTGCCAACCTCCTGCAGCCCCTCATAGCCCAGGACCCCTGGAGGTGAGCCTGACTCTCAGCCCTGGCACTGGAGAAACTCACTCTTCCTTGCCCTATTGGTCCCCATTTCCTTTTTCCTTGGGCCCCTCTTCTTCTAGCCTGGGCAGAGCTGAGGAGGACAGTGGGGGTTCAGGCCGCCGCCAGGCTGGGGAGCTCCCTGCAGGGCTGGGAGAATAGGATGGACAGCGTTTTGCCAGAGCCTCATGGGAAGCTTCCTTTCAGGCAGCTGAACCCATTTCAGGGGTAGGGAGCACTGATCAGGGGTTGGGACATTGCCCCGGGAGGAGGATGAGGATGTTTCCAGGCCTCGGCTGACTCATGGTAGTGAGTATTAGTCACTCCCTCACAAGAATCAGCCCACATCCTCTAGTAGCCTCTTGTCTCCCAGAGGCCCCTGCCCCATGTTTACCTGCCTGAAGCTCCTCTCCCGGCCGCCCCCACCCACATCCGCACAGTTTGGGCAGACACAAGAGCCCCGCATCACTTTTCACTCGAGGCTCCTCTGAGACATCAGCTTCCTGCAGGAGAAATCTTCAGGGGGTTTCTCTTACAGATTTGGGGGTCAAAGACTGGGTTCCAATCGCAGCACTGCTGCCTTGTATCTCTGCTTCCTGGGCAAATTATGTCACCAATCCGGACTGTTGGGGATATTTTCCCCGAAGAGTAATAATAATATTATCTAGTAGGATTGTTGTGACAATGAAATCATATAAAGTGTGAAAGTTCCTGGCACAAAATAAGTGATCGATGCATGGTAATGAACACTATTATTATACATCAATAAAAGAAAAAAGGTCCCTTATATATAGCATTTTAAAAATAAGGTAACAAAACCCTTGGCCCCTTGGCCCTGTGAAACTGTGGGCTGACATGGAACAAAATAAAAGCAAGTAGAGGGCCAGGTGTGCTGCCTCACACCTGTAATCCCAGCATTTTGGGAGGCTGAGGTGGGAGGATCATTGGAGTTGAGGAGTTGGAGACCAGCCCAGGCAACATAGCAAGACTCTGTCTCTGCAAACAATTAAAAACTGAGCTTGGTGTGGTGGTGCACACCTGCGTCTGTGGTCCCAGCTGCTCGGGGCTCTGAGGTAGGAGGATCACTTGAGCCCAGGAGTTCGAGGCTACGGTAAGCCCTGATCGCGCCATTGCACTCCAGCTTGGGTGACAGAGCAAAACTCCATCTCTATTTATAAAAAAATTAGGAGATGGGGGGAGCAGGTAAAAGATTTCCTCTATTTTCATCCAATATCCCCTGGCTGTAGAAACTGCCCCGCAGCCCCCACTGGGGAGGTCAGGACAGCAGTGAGCAGTGAGACCCCGGACACTCCAGGGAACTGTGGCTCCGCAGGAGGAGCCCGGAAGGGGCGGAGAGGCCACAGATGTGGCTTGAGGATAACCATCCACTCAGGTGAGGGAAGCCCACTTGAGCCCACCTCTCAAACATAAGGCCCCCATCCCTGCTGGCCCCATCCCTTCTCACCGAAGCACGGTTTCTCTGCCTCAGCACTGCTGACACTTTGGACAAGTTATTTTTTGTTAAGGGGCTGTCCTGGCCATTGTAGGATGGCGAGCAGCGTCCTCAGCCTCTACACACTAGATATCTGTAGCACTCCTTCCCCCTGCCAGTTGTGACAACCAAAGATTTCTCTGGACCTTGCCAAATGTCTCGCCCTACACCCCCACCATGAAGAACCACTGCTGTGGACGGTAGGCTGGTCCCTTGGTCTCCCCACCTTCATCCCCCACCTCTCCTGGGCCTTCTCCCCACCTCACCCGAGCCTCAGGCCTGGCTGAGGTGTCTCCCCCAACACACACTAGAGGAGGCAGTGCCAACCAGCCACTGCATCTCAGGAAGGCCGCCTGGCCCAGTTGCTGGGAATCAGAACGGAGAGGCTGGCTCTGCAAGCCAGGACAGTGCTGAGTCAGGGAGCGATCAGTGGAGGAGTCTGGAGGGTGAAGGAGGAATCAGTGCCTCAGAGAGGAGCCAGGAAAGGCGGAGTAAGGCTGAGACAAGGCCACAGGTGGTGGTGTGTGAATCCTGACCTGGGCACTTTCTGCTTGGTCAGACAGTGACCTGGGGATGCCACCGGGAGCTGAAAGGTTGCTCAGAGCCCTAGTGGCATGGCGCTGCCTCCCAGCAACCCTGAAAAGTTCAGGCCCAGGCTCAGCCCCAAGAATTCAGGAGCCCCAGGCTGGATCAGGAAGGTGACAGGGACTGAGTTCAGAGTCTCGTGTGGATCTGGGGCCTCGGGCATCAAGCTCTCAGTGCAGTGGGTTACATAAGTGCTCTCTCTCCAGCAAAGAAAGAGAAGAGAGCCCTGAGAAGGAGGCATCAAAGGAGGAAACTGGCAAGCTTCACAGGGGAGGAGGCTTTGGAGCCAGTTTTGTCAGATGACAAGGAGTTCACCAGACAGAGAGGCAGGTGGAGGAAGGGCATTCCTGGGAAAGGGCGCTCACAGTCCACGTACAGGCAAAAGGTGCCCAAAGAACAAGGAAAGGTCAGCAGGTCCACTTGGCTGCTTCAGAAACCCTGGTTCAGCCCTTGAGTGACGGGGAGTGAGGGTGAAGTGGGTCTGTTTCCCATGGGAAAGTGGCTGGCTGGCAGCGTGAGAATAAATGGCCAGTTCACGTAATGTCTCCCTTCCCCATTCTCCCCATCAATGAAGTTCAGGTCACCTTGATGCAAGGTCAGCGTGTGCCGGGGTGAGCTAGCTAGCCATAGTTCCTGCAGGAAACCTAAGCCCAAGTATGCCTTGGCCTTGGTCAGTTTCTCAGGGAAGACACCGAAGCTCCCCTGCCTGCACAGTGTCACTTGGTAGCAGTCGCTTGGCCCAAGACCTGCGGTCAGGAGGCCTGCAGTCATGTGTTTGAAATAGGGTCTGACTGCACTTGCTCGCCCTGAGTACCCATCATCCTGCCGGGGGGTTAACATTCTCCCTTCCCACAATGCACTGGTCCACTGGGCCCACACCTTTCCTCCAGGTCACCCTGGAAAGTCACCATTGCTGTAAGCCCAGCCCTAATTAACCCTAGGGCAGGGAGAAGATCAGATCAAGCAAGAGTACCCAGAGCCAGGCCCTGGCTGGAGGAGACTCCGCCCCCCTGCCCTGCCCCTGTGGGTCTGTCCCGTCCCACCCAGTCCCAGGAAAGGGCTGGGACTGTTTCCATTTCCAACCTGTCTGGGCCGCTCCTTTCTTGCCCAGGTGGCTCTGCTGGGAAAGCCTATAACAGCTGAGCGGGCTTTTCAGGATTGGCTTGATGCCAGGGCCAGGGCGAGGGATGACCTGGCCACATAGCAGTCATCGCCTGTGCTGCTGAAGTGCTTTTCTTCAGAGGATCTCAAAACGTTTTACCAGAAACAGGAGTTGTCCCAGCTATGAAAGGACACAGAAAAGAAGGGTCACTCACTAAGCTGCTAACAGCTTTGGCAGTAGAAGTCTTCAAAAGACTGGCTCCAAGGGAAGTAAACAACAGAATCCAAGGCTAAAATTGTATCCTTAATAAATACTATCTGAAGTTAAAACAGGAGTTCACTATTTATGGAAATCTACATAAACCTAATAAGCACAGAGTGGTGAATGTGCGTGCGTGTGTGCGTGTGTGCGTGTGTGTGTGCATTCAGGGAGGGAGTGGAATAGAACAAGATGTGGCACTCACTCTCTTCCTCCCTGTCCCTTCCTGTGGTCACACTTCTCAGGGTGCACCTCACATGAGAGTATTGCCTCTGGGATTCTGTACCCATTGTTGCCTTCTCCTCCTCTAGGCCCAGCAGGGCCCAGGTCTCCCACTTGTGAGGAGACAGCCACTGTAAGCCATCTGTCCTCTTGCAAGATGAGACCATTCCTTTGGAATGTCCTTCTGGTCACCTTCCTCTCCCACTGCCACAGACCCTCACCACCTCATGCTCAGTTCCTCACACCTACTCATTCGTGCACTCTTCCTGCCAGTCTTACGTGCCATCACCAGATTCATCTTCCCAAAATCCTGCCAAAATTAGCCCCTCATCCTTGTCCAAAGGACATTGTCCAGATTCCTGAGCAGAACCTTCAAGACTCTTCCCCAGACTGATCTTCCACCTCCGGTCCTCCCCAGCATGAAGTCTCCTCAAGATATTTCATTGTCTGCTTGCTAGTCCCACATGTGCCTGGAGTCTTCCGCCCTTTCTGCCCTTCCAGATCCTTCCCACCATCCTTAGGAACCAGCCCTGCCAGGAAGCCTTCCTATCACAAGGCCCCTTCCAAAGACTGTTACTCAGGAGATCGTGTTACCTCCTTGGGTTCAAATCCAGAACTTCTCCTTCTCGAAAGGCCTCATTATCTTACTTCTTATGGACACACTGCCTGGGTTATGAGCTGTCTTCCCAGATAAATTAGGTTGCCAGATTTAGCAAATAGAAACACCAGACTTCCAGTTAAACTTGAATTTCAAATAAAGAACAACAAAAAAATAGTGTTAGTATATGCCATGTAATATTTGGAACCTACTTATATTAAGAATTGTTTATCTGAAACTTGAATTTAACTGGGGATCCTATATACTCTCTGGCAACCTTACAAAGAAAGCATAAGCATGGAGCTTTCCATCTCCCTCAGGCTCTGACACTCAGAGGAGTTCTCAGGACCTGTATCGTTGATTAATTATTTTTTTGATTTAGCAAAGACTCCTTGGCTTTCATCTGCTCTTGGTTCCAAGACCCAGAGCCTACTTAAATCCCTTTGGTCCACTTGAATCATCTGCAACAAACCCATAACAGGCCATCTAAGAGAATATCTTCCTTTAGTACTTCATGTTCTCCTTAAACATTCATCCTCGAGACACGCTAGCAGCAGATGGGTTTCAGGCAATAAAACCTCGAGTGTTTCTTGCTAACCAAAGGAGGAAGGAGTTCTGGAGCCAGGATGCTTGATTTCAAATCCCAAGTCAACCACATGTGGTCCTGAGGCCTCAAGCAAGAGATTTACATCTCTAGGTCTCAATTTCCCCATCTATAAACCGGCAATCATAGCAGGACCTACCTGACAGATTGCTGTGATAATTAAATGAGATAGTACTTGGAAATTGGTGAATACATGACTCTTACATGGAAAGCACTCAATAAATGGCACCTGACATTGTCAGTGATTTCCTAAGACTGCCAGTGGCTGCTGGCATGGGCACAGTCTCCTTTTGGGATCTCTTTCGCTAGCTGCTCACCAAAATAGTGGTCATGTGTGAATCTCCATAAGCAACAGAGTTATGGCAGAGTCACAGAGGAGGGTCCCCTGGTGAAGGTTCTCCGTGGGGAACCCCCATCTCTAGGTGAGGTAAAGCAAGACATACAGGGACTTCCTCAAGAGTATGGTCTGTCCCTAATTCTCCAATTAAACTACAAATCATTGTCCTCCCTTTTCAAGTTCACATCTTTAAAAGACTGGTAAGAGCTGCTCTCCTTGATGAAGCGGGTGGCCGGTTTCAGACCCAACTGGATGTGGACAGAGGAAAAGCTACCACTGGCCTTCTTGGGACTCTCTGGGTGAACCTCGGGGATTCAGTGGAGAGAGATCCCTTGCCCAGATCCTCCTGCATCCTACCAACCGATCCTCAGCCTCTGAGGCCACCAGGCGGCTCCTGAACCTCAGCATGGGTGGGGTGCCTTGGGCTTTTCAAGGAGACTCTTGGTCAATTCAACAAAAGTTCAATTGCCAAAGGACCAATTTGCTAAATGGCAATTCTTTGAGTTCATGAAATTCACAAATTTCATAAGAATTATTTGAATATTCTCCATAAATATCTGTTTCTTAACAGCAATTTAAAGAATATTCAATTTGTCAAAAGCTCAGAGGCCTAGAATGGTTTAGTTACCTTATAAATATGTTCTTTTTGAATATATTTTAATGTGTCATTTTAATGAAAATATTTTCTTTTTCTTATGAATATATTTGTAAGAAATATATTCATGAAAATATATTTAATCAAATAAGAATACATTCCTAATGCATAGTTACTAACACATTCAGGCAGAACACAATCAGATGTTCATGGAGAACATAGTCATTGAATATGTTTCAAAAAATCATTGTTTCAAAACAAGGTTTTGACCTATTGGCAAATTCAAAGAACTGGTGAAATGACTCCTAAGTAAGTTGACTTTCAGAGAATTGGCTGCTTCTCATGAGGGAAAATCAATTTCTGCTTCTTGTTGTCATCTGTTTACAATTTGATTCTGAGAACTTCTAGAACAGTGGTTCTCAAACATGAACGTGCATTAAAATCACTGCAAAGCTTGGCTGAACTGCCAATTCTTGGATGATGCCCCAAAGGATTCTGGTTCTAGGTGGGGCAGAGCCCAGGAATCAGCTTGTTGAGTACAATTCCAAGGTCACTCAGACACCACCAGTTCCCACACCTCACTTTGGGAGCAAGTTGAGCGTAATGAAGAAAATGGTTAATCATGAGATGTTGCTATAATATTCTAAGGTAGGATTTTTTTCCTTCTCTTAGTGTGCTTGAAAATTACATCCAGCCTTAACACTAATATTGTAAGATAATCAAATTACCTACATCTCACCATTCTTTTTGTGTGTTTGAGACAGGACCTGTCTGTATCACCCAGGCTCTGTATCACAAGTATAGCTCACTGCAGCCTCAAACTCCTGGACTCAAGTGATCCTCCCACCTCAGCCTCCAGAGTAGCTACGACTACAAGCTCACACCACCAATCCCACCTATTTTTTGTAGAGACAGATCTTGCTATATGGCCCAGGCCAGTCTCGAGCTTCTGGCCTCAAGTGATCCTCTTGCCTTGGCTTCCCAATGTGCTAGATTATAGGTGTGAGCCACCGTGCTTGGCACCTATACCTCATTATCCTAACATAATTATCTTTTGCAAACAGCCTTCAACATGCATGCCAACTGATTGCCAAAGGTACATACTGATTTATATTCTACCTTTTCTGTTTACTATGATATAAGAGACATCTTCCACTATGTGGCAAAGGCATTGTCATTATCATTTCTAATGTTTAAATAATATACCACACACAGATTTCCTATAACTTGCACAATTAGTCCTCTAATATTTTATATCTTCTATGTGCTGTATCATTTCCAATTTTTAAGCACAGTGAACATCTTCAAACATGTAGGTTTTTTTTGCTTCTGTTGAATAATTTTTATAGAATTCATTTCCAGAACTGGAATTAGTGGTGTGGTAGGAATCTACAGTGGTTCCCTACAGTGAGAACGCAGTAGAATAAGGACCAAAGACCATTCCTGGGATGACATGAAACATGAATATTGTAATCCCCTATTAAGCCACTTTCTTGAAGCTCTAGGATAAAGGTCACAGTTGGTTTTACAGATCAATTTAAGGTCAGATCATTGAAGAAGTTAGACAAGCAGGGGTTATGAGCTTCTTATAGAATCATGATTTTAATGTAGCATGTGGGGAAGACCTGAGACACTACAGGTACTTAATGTGTTCCAGTATTTGATGCATAATAAAGATACTGCACTTAGCTCATTAACAGCCTGGCATAATTGAATTGCATCATTAAATCATTAACACTCCTTGCCACACCACCCAACATGTCTGGGAACTATCCAGAGGCGTCCCATTGAGTCCTAAGACCTTGGGAAGAGTAGAGCCAACTCCCCCAATTCTCATCCTGCCCTTCCCCAGCTGCTCCACCAGTAGAAGAGGGAAGTGGAGGTCTGGATGTAAGGAAGACCATTAGCCAAGTCTCACCTCCTACCTAGGGCTGCAGTTGTGACAGTGTGCCGAGGAACCACGGAAAACCGGGAGGAAAAAAACTGGTTGCTCTCCAGATGTGTAATGTGAGGAAGTTATTCTGATCTCGCTTCCTCGAAGATGGGATCTTTGTCTTATTGACACCTCAGTAGGTGTTCCACAAATGGTTGTCCACAGAGTGAATGAATGGATGGCCTTTGCCTAGGCTCATACTGATACCCCAGGCTGCCTCTCCCTGATGTATTCTGTAGGGGGCACTCTCACTTCTGCCTTCGCCGCAGCCACCACTGGAGAAGTAGGCACCTGTGTCTCCATCCTGGGCAGCGCTGGTCTTGGCTTTACTTATCTCCTGGATCTGGTGTTTTGAACCTGACAAAAGGCAGGCATGTGGGTACATTAAAGCACAAACAATGTGCAGTACGTTTATTTGCTGGATGACCATTCCAGCCATTCCAAAGTCCCACTTGAGTGGGGCATTACAGGAACATCCTCCGTCTAGAAATCTGAGCCCTGGTTCTTCTTCTTCAACTGTCTTCTCTATCTCATTCCACCCTGCTTGAGTTCTCCCGCCTGACTGTGCAAGCAGCCTCTCCCTTCAGACCTCTACCTCCTCTTCTGAGATCCAACTACCGCAGCTAGGAAGTCCATTGTAAACCCAGAACCAAGGATGTTTTCCTTTTCCCTGTTTCCTGCTTTTCAACAATGCACAAAACCTCTTTGAGCCTCAGACTGGACTGCCCAAGACCCACCTCCTACAGCACCTAAATCTTCAGCTCTTATTCTCCAGCAATAAGAAATCAGTTCCATACACGTTAAGAGCTTTGGTCCCGGGCCTCAGACCAGATCATTGGTCCCATCAACCTCAGACCATATGTTCACGTGAGGACAGCAGGTGGGAGGCCACCTGCCTTCCCCCATCTGCTTGCCCTGCCTGGGATACTGAAACACAGGTAAAAAGTGGAGAGGCATCTTCCTGTCCCAGCCCAGCTGCTGAGAGGTGAACTAGAGAGGGCGGCCTCGATCCAGTCGGCCCAGATTGAGGCCCAGACTCAGACACCTCCGGGTTCCCACGCTCAGGCAGCAGGCCTGAAGCAGAACTGGTTTCATAATCTCACCTCTGCCCAGTGCTTTTTGCAAAATGATCTGCCATTTGGTTCCCACATCACAATCATACTATTTATCTATGCAAAACAGCACCTCATTAAAAAAGGATGAAACACATCACCATTGGCCCAACCCCTCATTAAGGTATAACGCACAGGCCCTAGGCACACCCAGGGTGGAACCAGCACCCAGACTGGCCAGGGTGTTAGGCCCATGTCACTAGCTCTGTCCCCACCCTCACCCCATTCCTCCTAAGTGAGCTGTGCTGCTCCTCAAATCTGTGTGGTGAGAGATGACAGAGAAGGAGTCCTTTGGAACTGAGAGATGGGTTCACGGGGGGAGCCCCTCCTCCAAGAGGCCTTCTCCCCTGAACTATTATCTCTACTTAAACCTCTTCCTCTTGCCTTCAGCCCAGCTTCTACAATGATATTTGCTGACTACTGACATATTTTTACCTTTGTTTCTCACTAGAACGGAAGGGCCCTGAGCAGATGAACCGTATTATGTTTTTCAGGGCCTAAACCAGTGTTTGGCACACCGTAGGTGTTCAGGAAATACTTGCAAAATGCTCAATTTAATTTTTGACTTCATGATAAGGAATTCCATGATTGTTTTTCTGCCAGATGGTTCCCCTCCCATTCTCACTGGAGATACACCACCCCTTTGGTTGTGTTAAGCAATGCTTTCTACCCTTGACACCCAGGGTCTCAGGAATAAAAGTTGAAATGCTTGCATTTTGAAGAATAATCTCATGCTTTTTGTATTATCTCAATGACTTTAATTTACTGTGCAACATTTAGGACATACAGAAAAGAAATAAGAAAAATATCACAGCCATGTACTCACCACCCAACTTGAAAACACCCAAAGCATGATCACTACAACAGAAGATCCCAGGCAATTCTGATGCCAGGCACCTATCCCCCTTTCTCTCCTTCAGAGGAACCTATATCTCAAACGTGATGACCATCTGAATTTTTTACAGTTAATTTTTTAATGTAATAGATATGAGGTTTGCCATCGGTGTGTCCTTCAGGCTGAAGTCAGACTGTGTTCTCAACCCGGCCCGGCCCGCACACCGCACCTGCTCTGTGCCCCAGTTTCTCTATCTGTAAAGTGGTGATAATAATACCCGTCTCTTCCCCACTTCTCTGAGTGTGCAGATGAGTGAGATAAATGTAAAGTGCTTGGAGCGTCAGGAGAGAGAGGCTTTAGACAACCCCAAGCAGGTAAGTAGTGCAGGAAGCGCCAGCAGGCCTCCACCATGGGTTTCTCATGGCCGAGAAGGGTGTGCTGATCTGCTCACCTGCCTGCGCCCCGACCCCGGACACCAGCTCATTCACACCAGCCAGCCAGCTCCACCTTCCCTCTATGGGTAGCCCTTCTTTGGTGCTTCTGGGATCCTGGAGCTGAGACAGCCAGCAGCCCCCTCTGACCGTAGAGGACCCATTTCAGCCACAGAATTGGCAACCTCTCACTGTGCTGCCTTACGGTCCTTCCTCTCTCCTTTCCTGTCATTCTGTGTGCCAGAGTTGTGCTGTCTACACAGCAAGCTCCTAAGCAATGGTGGTGATCAGGCTATGTATACTCCCGAAGAAATGGGGAAGAAAGGGTCAGCAGCCATGTCTGAGGCTGGTGTGAACGTGCTGAGTAAACAGGCCAGCGAGATCTACAAAGTTTAAGACTCCCTGCTCCCAGGACCAAAAGAGACAAACAAGGTTGAAAAGCACAAACTCAACATTTTTAAAAACCATAAAATGAGACAATTCCCACCTAAGGCCATCTCTCATATATTCACACCAGAGGGCTTCAAGTGTGGGAATTGTGTCGGGAGAAGCAGAGCAAAAGCTGGCTAGCCGGTCCACAAGGCTCGAGATGGGGGATACGAAGGTAGGATGGTCAATGGACAGAGGCCAGAGGCAGAGGCTCATCCAAGACATCACTTGACTAAACCAGTAGAGACCTCTGAAGCAGTACAACAGTGTGGTCAAAGAAAATGGCAAGCTTGGTAGGTAAAAGAGTTTGCTGACACAGATGTTATCTACAGTGGAGAAGTCACTGTCATTAGAAAATATTCCCCCATTTGCTAAATGCTTTCAGCACTCCAGCCGGAGAGGCGATTCAGAACGCTGATGTTGCAGATAAGTGCAAGGATGGGAGGAGCTGCGGCTCCCGTCCTTCAATCTCAAGAATCCTGCCAATTCCAAGCACCCACGCTGTGTCTACGGTTCAGGACAGCCCTGGAGGAAGATGGTGCTCCCAGAAAAATCCCAAAGAGGTGGTCCAGAAAGCTGGCCACCAACAAGGGGCACTGACAGGAGAACTGGAGGCTTGGATCTCTGACCTAGGATGTCAGGAGCTGCCACAGATAAGAACTGAGAGAGTCAGGGCTGGAAAGCAGGGCCATTACTGGGAAACTTCCAGTGGAAGAGAAAGAATCTTGAGAGATGGCTGAGGGAATTGAGTTCTAGACCTAGATCTGTGTGACCTTGAGTCAGTCATTTCATCTCTCTGGGCCTCAGTTTCCTCATTTGTAACATCGGGGGTTGGGTTGGATTACGTCTAAGGTTCTATCACATTAACATCCTATGGACAGCATCAGAGAACAGGGAGGGGACCAACACTGGAATGTCCCTAAATGTAATGCATTGGGCCACCAAAGCAGAACGGAGTGTAGAGTTAAAACTCATATTTGGAGCCCGGTGCAGTGGCTCACACCTGTAATCCCTGTCCCTTGGGAGGTCAAGGCAGGAGGATCACTTGAGGCCAGGAGTTCAAGACCAGCCTGGGCAACATAGTGAGACCCTACCTCTAGAAAAATAAAAAAATTATCCGGGTGTGGTGGTGCACACCTGTAATCCTAGCTACCCAGGGAGCTGAGGAGGGAGGATCACTTGAGCCCAGGAGTTTGAGTCTGCAGTGAGCTATGATTTCATCACTGCACTTTCAGCCGGGCAACAGAGCAAGACCTTACCTCAAAAATATATTTTAAAAATAATAATAACTTATAAAGGAACTTGTATTTGTCAAGCATCAGAACAAGCTGTAAAGCTTTCCTAACCCTGCTTCCCACAGCCACACACAGCATCCTGACCTCCTTGTCCCATGATCAGAGTATGAGCCAGTGGGCTCCAAGTTGGTCAACCCAATTCTCAGTCCACTACTTGTGCTAGCTGTGTGACTTCAGGCAAGGCAGTTATCTTTTTGCCTTGCCTGTTTCCTCATCTCTAAGAATCTTCGCCTCCTCCCTGCCCCACGAGGAGGGTGAGAGAATTCACTGAGTAATGTCCACTTAGCACTTAGCTTGCAAGGGGGGAAGAGTCCCACATAAATAGAAGATGACGAGGGTTGTTGTGACAGCTGTTTGATTCCCTGAGCTCTTCCCCAGCCCTTCCTTTGCTGCTGATGGAAACTAACCTGTTGTGAGTCACTATTGTCTTGTTCTCAAAGTTCAGTTCAGAGAATTCCCCTTGAGCCTGAGGTTCCTATCTAGCCTCACTGCCAAATGAGGAGACATCAGAGAACAAGGCTAAGAAAATATGATGCCACCACTTCCCTAACACTTGATTCCACTTTGCTTTTTAGCCACTATACTGTACGCTTCCTAAGGGCGGGGACATCTGGGCAACCATGTTGCACAACTGCAGGGGGCACCCTCTGCCAGCATTTAGTTGACACCCAATAAGCATTTGTTGAATGAATGACATAAACTGCCTAGCTAATATTTGGGTGGGAGGAAGAAAACTAATATTTTTGAATATCCACCATATGCCAAAAGCATTTTCTATTTTATTCATTCCTCTTAGCAGTCTTATGGAATCAAAACTATTCTCCCAATTTATGGTTGGGTAAACTGAGACTCAAGAATTAAGTGATCACCAAGGTCTCATGCAATGTAAGCGGTAGACAAAGACTTTGAACTCATGCCTGTTTCACTGGATTCCAGTCACAGTCCCATGAATGTGGGTAGGGGAAGGAGGCAAATACCTTAAACCAAGATAAGCTGAGACACTGTTTTCAACAAGGGTTTTTGCTGGACCAACAGGGTAATAGTGCCGGAAGGGTATGGCCTGTTAGTAACAGAAAGGCCCCCTCAAACCAGGCCTTTAAATGGTAAGTGCTGGCTGAGAAAAAGCCCAAGTTTCAATAGGTTCTCAAACCCTTCAGGAGAGCCAAGAGAATCTGGGCTGTCCCTTCTCCCTTCCTTTATGCCTATTCTTACCTCCACTACCTCACCATCGTCACACACATGCACACACAATCCCTGCTACAAGGTCTCCCAACAAATATAAAAACAGAGACACACAATGTCTATTCCCCTCTCCCTGCAAAACCCCTCTGTTCCTAGAAGACTGGTGAGAGCTGACAAGCAGGAACGCGGACAACACGAATCACAGAAAGAACAAGAAAAGACCGGGCACAGTGGCTCATGCCTGTAATCCCAACACTTTGGGAGGCCAAGGTGAGTGGATCACTTGAGGTGAGGAGTTCAAGACCAGCCTGGCCAACATGGTGAAACCTTGTCTTTACTAAAAATACAAAAATTAGCCAGGCATGGTGGTGCATGCCTGTAATCCTAGCTACTCGGGAGGCTGAGGCGGGAGAATCTCTTGAACCCGGGAGGCAGAGGTTGCAGTGAGCTGAGATCACGCCACTGCACTCCAGCCTTGCGACAGAGTGAGCCTCCATCTAAAAAAAAAAACAAAAACCAAAAACCAAAAACAAAAACAAACAACCCCCCCAAAAAAAAACCCACAAAAACAAAGAACAAGAGGACTTCTTTGCCTCAACACTGCTAAAATTCAAGAGTATAGGAAGTAGCCCTTGTCCTCCAGTCTCTGCCTGGGACATTTTCCTAGCATGAACAGTATGGGCAAGGCTCCCCCAGCACCACAGATGAACCCAGGTTCAACTCCTCCATTCCTGAGCTTTGTTGACCTTCATGAGTTCTTTGATATGGGAACAATCATCTCTGGTCTAATATCAGAAGGAACTGTGCTTTCAAACACCACAATGGGCCTTGTTTAAGGAGCAGTCCCTAGGAGAGCCCGCAGGGAGCAGTACATATTTACTCAGGCCTATGGCACTTGTAAAGGAATTATTGGCAGTTGAGAGGCGCTTCCAGCTGAATGTATATCCCAAGGCATGCTAGCTCCCCTCACCTGGGGCCTGATAAATGCCGGGTACTCTGTCAATTGGCTGACATCTCATGGCTTCCCCAGCTGCTGCCCAGAGTAAAGCAATGGGATTGAGCGAGTTCATGGTATCCCTCTTATTCTTTCCATAGATCCACCTTGCTCAGCTCTTTTTTGTTTTTATTTTTTAATAAAATAGAGACAGGGACCTTGCTATTTTTCCCAGGCTGGTCTTGAACTCCTGGCCTCAAGAGATCCTCCTGCCTTGATCTCCCAAAGTGCTGGAATTAAAGGTGTCACCCCCCGCATGCCCGGCCCTTACTCGGCTCTTTCAACCCCCAAAGATGAGAGTGTCTAACAGGAAAGTGACCACAGCTTCACTTGCTAGAAGATAACATCACTAAACAGGGAACCCAGGACTGAAGGCTGATTGTTGCACCTGTGAGCCTAAATCCCAGCTCTGCCAATACCTGCTGTATTTGTGTACTAGGGCTACCGTAACAAAATCCCACAGATGGGGTGGCTTAAACAATGTATCTGTTTCAGAAACTTATTATCTACCTCAGAAACATATTTTCTCACAGTTCTGGAGGCCTGAGGTCCAAGACCCGTGTATTATGAATGTCAAGGACAGAGTAGCAAGTAGTAAAGAAGAACCACAGGCCATTCTTGGAAAGCTAGCTGCATTGACAGGAGATGCTTGGGCAGTGCACAGCTGGAGACCTTCCTGTCTTTGCAGTTCTCTCTGCTTACTTCCAAACAAGTTGTATATATAGATTTTGATTTAGACACTTTCAGGTGCACACAGGCCTCTGTCAGTAAAATAAAGAAAACAGGGCCGGGCCTGGTGGGTCACGCCTGTAATCCCAGCACTTTGGGAGGCCGAGGCGGGTGGATCACCTGAGGCCAGGAGACCAGCCTGACCAATATGGTGAAACCCTGTCTCTACTAAAAATACAAAAATTAGCTGGGCGTGATGGTGGGCACCCGTAGTCTCAGCTACCCGGGAGGCTGAGACAGGAGAATTACTTGAACCTGGGAGGTAGAGGTTGCAGTGAGCCGAGATTGCGTCACTGCACTCCAGCCTGGGCCACAGAGCGAGACTCCGTCTCAAAAAAAAAAAAAGAAAAGAAAAAAACCAGATTCCTGTCTCCATAAAATATCTGATGCTGCTATTTTTTTATTCATTTTTTTCTGGGCCTCAGGGGTAAAGAATTGAGTTAATCATCCTATTTGATTCATGGCAGCATCACACTCACTGCATTCCCCTCGCTCCAGTAGTTGCTATACTCATGTGTTTCAAGGGATCCTTTGATAATGATATATTCTTGTGAGATACATGGTATTATTCTGTAGGAGGATTGTATTTTTAATTCATAAATGGTATGCTGTAAATAGCATTTGGTTTCCTGCTCTTTTTTCCAGTTCTAAGGTATCACCATGTGACAGTATGTGCATATCATTCCCTGCTTCTAAGATCCATGGGTATTCCATAGTGTGTGCCTACCAGTTAACCTATCCACACACGTGGTGATGCACAACTCAGCTGCCACATACAAGGCAGCTGCAAGTGCCCTGGTGGCTGGCACAAGAACTGCTCTGAGAAACCCAAAAGGGTTTCTGTGCCCCAGGTGGACACATCCTCACTGCACTGAACCCTTCCAGACTGCTTTGTGACCAAGCAGATCTATGTAATAAGGTGCTTGGTATAGTGCTTTTTACCTTATCAGCTATTAACCAAAGAATCCTACACTGGGGCATCAGGGTTTAATCCAGTTCTGCCACGGGGTGGCTGTGGGATGTTACATAAGTCACATCATGTGTCTGGGTCTCAGGATCCTCTTCCACCAAGTGAGTATGCCGGACAAGGTCAACCCAAGGCCAACCCTAACCCCACTGGGAGTGCATCTGAGGGGCAGCACAAGACAATGAAGCAGAGACACCTTCAGACCCCAAGTCCTGGCTTTGGCGGCCTTTGAGAATTGCGGAAGGAGCCCACTGGGAATATATGTGTTATAGGAGTCCTTTGACAATTAAATGAAATAATGGACATAAAGTACCTGGCACTTTGAGAAGCTGTTCAAACTGATATCTACTCTCTTTATTCCCAACCCATGCCCTTTCCCTGTTTTGTCATTTTCCATTGAAGAATTCTGAAATTTTTCGGATTCTAAATTCTGACAATTTACCGTTCATTCTCTGTCTTCTTAATGAGGTGTAAATACATACAGTAAGGTCTAATAATCTTCTTTTAATAACAGCTTTATTGAAGTATTCACATACCATAAAATTCACCCTTTAAAAGTATACAATTCACAGGTTTTTATAATACTATATTCACAGAGAAATCTCATCACTACTTAATTTAAGAACATTTTCCTCGCCCCCCACCAAAAAAAAAAAAAAAAAAAAACCCTCACTCTCCATTTCACCCTCTCCAGCCCCTGGCAACCATTAATCTACTTTCTGTCACTATTCTGAGCATCTCATACAAATGGAATCATTTACCATATGGCCTTTTGTGACTGGCTTCTTTCACTTAGCGTAACATGTTCAAGGTTCATTGTCAAATAATATTCCACTCTATGGACACAGCACATTTTGTGTATTCATTTGTCAGTTGATGAACACTTGGGTTGCTACCACTTTTTGGCTATTATGAATAAAGCTTCTATGAACATTCATGTACAGATTTTCGTGTGGTCATGTTTTCAATTTTCTTGGGTATATACCTAGGAATGGAATTGCCAACTATATGGCATCTTAATGCTTAACTTTTAAGGAGGTACCAAAATGTTTTCTGAAACACTGCTTTTCAGTCCCACAGCCATATACGAGGGCTCCAATTTCTCTACATTCTCATCAGCTCTTATTATTGTCTTGTCTCTTTTGTTTTAGCCACGCTAGTGGGTGTGAAATGATATCACTTTGTGGTTTTGAAGTGCACTAATCTTACATTAGCAGCTTGGTTTTTGCAAATGTGTGCACCTAAGATACATATACACAGATTTAAATATAGAACATTTCCCTCCTCCTGCCTCTGAGTCACTAACTTCCTACCCAAGGTAACCACTGTTCTGCAGCAACATTGCCTGATTTTCGTGCTCTTTAACTTTATGTAAATAACAACATAAAATATATACTCTTATGTCTAGCTTTTTTTCACTCAAAAAATGTTGTGGTATCAGTGGTTTCAGGTGCTTGTTCTTTTTACTTCTATGTAGTATTTCATTATATGAGTATACTGCAATCTGTTTATTCATTCTTTTATGAGTGGACATTTGTGTTGGTTCCAACTTGGGGTTATTATGAATAAAATTGCAAAACACTCTTGTACCTTTCTTTTGGAAGAAATATGAACTCATTTCTCTTAGGTCTGTACGTAGGAATGGAATTGCTGGATCACAGAGTAGCTTTAACTTTAGCAGAGGTTACCAAACAGTTTTCCAGAGTGGTTGTACCAATTTACATGCCCATCAGTAGTGTATGAGCATTTCAAGTTGTTCTATATCTTCTTTGGCACTTGAATAAATCAGTCTTTTTGTTTTTGTTTTTTAATTGAGACACGATCTCATTCTGTCATCCAGGCTGGAGTGCTGTGGCACGAACATGGCTCACTATAGCCTCAACCTCCCTGGGCTCAAGTGACCCTACCATCTCAGTCTCCAGAGTAGCTGGGATTACAGGCGTGCACCACAATGCCTGGCTAATTTTTTAATTTTTTAGAAATGGGGTCTCACTATCTTGCCCAGGTTAGTGTCAAACTCCTATCCTCAAACGATCCTCCCACCTCAGCCTCCCAAAATGCTGGGATTACAGATATGAGCTACCATGCTCAGCCTAAGTTTTTAACGTTTTTCAAGTAAGTTTTAGTTTTGGTGTATAATGGTATCGCACTACGGTTTTAATTTGTGTTTCTCTAGCAACGAATCATGTTGAGCACCTTTGTTCATTGCCTTCAGTCTGAAACTTAGCTGAAAGGATCTGACAAATAATGCTCAACTCTCCCTGGTGGTTACCAGAAGAGCTAAGGATTGAGGTGCTCCAGGGGGCCCCATCAAGGGTGAGGTCTTTTATCCCAGATCCTTGATCACACTCTACTAATTGAACACTAATAAAAATCCATTGCTAGGAGCATATTTATTCATTTTTGAATTAACAGTATTTTACTTTCAACTCCTAGAACTCTCCTTGCAACATATCCTTAACCCAATAAAGAAAGAGATGGAGAATTAGCAAAGTAAGTGTAAAAAAAAAATTTACCAGTCAATCTTCAAGGCAAAGAATTGACTATACTAAACATAATAACTTTTCATTTAAAAGTTAAAGTCAGGTGAAGTTATAGTCTAGTGTATAAGGGATGTTTAAATTCATGTTTCTCTTTTTGTTTGTTTGTTTTTTGAGACAGAGTCTCTCTCTGTAACCAAGGCTGGAATGCAGATCTCAGCTCACTGCAACCTCCACCTCCCAGGTTCAAGAGAATCTCCTGCCTCAGCCTCCTGAGTAGCTAGGACTACAGGTGCATGCCACTAAGCCTGGCTAATTTTTGTATTTGTTGTAGAGACAAGGTTTCACCATGTTGGCCAGGCTGGTCTCGAACTTCTGGCCTCAAGTAATCCGCCTGCCTTGGCATCCCAAAGTGCTGGGAGTACAGGAGTGAGCCACCACACACACTTTCTCTTTGTTTTTTTTTTAATAGAAAGTTTATATTCTTTATGATAGCTTAATGGAAGGAGCATTCGAAAGAGGGTCAGTTACCTTCAAAGAAAGTGTACTCTGTCCTCAAGTTGGGAGAGATCATGTGTGAGGTAAGTGTTTCAGAAGGTTCCTTAGGGTAATCACATTATACAGGGCTCTGTGCGGTGGACACAGAATTGTAGGGGATTGGGAGGATGCTATGAGAACTACCAAGGTGATTGGTGAAATGTCGGTCAGGCTCCAGACACCTCTGCTGCACCCACTAGGCAGGACTGGGGTAAAATGCCCAGGTCCTTTGGGCAGAGGAATTTCAGAAACAATGTGAGGAAAGATTTGGAGTTCCCAACACCTCCATGCCAGTCCCCATGTAAGCAAGCAGGACTTTCCCACCCAACAATAAACGCCTCTCTCCCCTGCCCAATAAATATCACTGATGTGTTTGTGTCTTGTTACGCCACTGGGGCAGAGTAGTAAGCCCCCTGTTAAAGTCAACAAAAGCAAAAATCATCCCACAGCTTTTATCAAATACTAAAACAATTTTCACTGTGGAAAATTTCTTCTTAATAGGGAAATGGAAAATTACAGATATAGAATCATCCAATCTTAGAGCTGGAAGGAACCTTGGAGGTCATCAGCTGAACCTCAAGCCCACTGCTGGAATTCTTATTACAACATCCCTGCTGTCCTCTGCTTGAACGGTCCTAAGCCCGGGCCCTTTCTCAGCACCTCTAAGGAAGTTTTCCACCCATTGTTGGGTGGTTGTTAGACAGTCATTCTTATGTTGAACCAAAATAGTCCTTCTGGAAACTTCACCCTTCAGGCAGAGTTTGAATAAGTCTATTTCCTCTCCTCTGTGAGAGCTCTTTGAGTATTTTAAGGCTGTAAGCCTCATCCCCTCTGAGTCTTTTGTCCCCAGACCAAGCATTCCCACTGCCTCCAAATATATAATGATCCATTCTAAAACCTGGCGAAGGACAGGCATCAAGTCACTGGTGTGTGGTCTTCCTAATCCTTCTTTCCCTCGTCTTGAAAACCAGATCCACAGCAGAGATTGGAGCAGCCTACCCGCTCTCAGGGATTGCCCCAAGGTACAGATGATGCTTCTGTGAAACCTTTGCAAGTTCAGCGGTTGAGGGATGCAAGCCGTAAACTAACGGATGAGAGGTTTGTTTTTTTTTTAAGTTTTTAACAAGCTTGGGTATTTTTAGGAAATAAAAGTGACACTGTTGACCCCAATCTGGAATGAGCCCAAGCAGTTTTCCCAGGAGATGGGTGGGTTCTTGCTAATCCTGTTGCAAACTCTTAAGTATTTTCTAGGCACCCATAAGTATAGTACAGTATTATGTTCAGAAAACTGCTAGAGCTTCCTTAGTCCTGGTTTTATCCACCTGGGCAAAGTGGCCCAACCAGGGCAGTGAGGATGAGTGCATGGATACTCATACATGTACAATTCATGTTCAAGCCTTACCTGCTATGCTGGTGAACTAGCTGCTTCACCGTCCCACTCCCCACAGCCCAGAACGCAGTGGGTAGTAGTCTACTTGTGAGCAGGTGCACACACATGTATAGACACACATACAACCTTCCCAAGCACACGCACATCCTTGAGGGCCTTCCTATCAATACCCCCACTTGTATTCAGCTATCTATCAGGGGCAAAAAAAATAAACCAGGTCTCTCCCTGGAGGCGCAATGATTTTATGGTAGAGGTGCTTTTGAGCGGCCAGCAAAACAAGACAAAGGTCTTATTTGGTTTATCAAGCCTAGGTTAACCCATTGTTCAGTGGGCCAGGCAGTGTTAATCAGTACCCAAGCCTTTGAATAAAATCTTTGCCAAATAGATCTGTGCAGATATTCTTGCTACATAATGATAAAAGCAATACTTCTGGTAGGGAGGCAAAACCACTAAGATTTTAGGCAATAATTTTTCCTTGCTTACAAAACAGGGAGTAATGCCTACCCCAAAGATGTAAACAGTTTTTAATTCTTTGAAGGAGAATCTGTCACTTATGCTAAAACCAATTGCCAAAATAATGCTAAATGGAGCTTTCTGGAAAGAAGGTATTGTAAGTAAAAGTCCCAGAAGAAACCCTTCTCTCCAATTTCTTCTTACGTTCCTGTGCAAACCCACGAAGGAGGGAATTGCATGATTTTAAGACCAAAGTCCTCTGTTTTTAAAAATCATATATCAAAACTTGAGAATGCAAAAGAGTTCTAATTACAACACCCAGGGGAATGGTTATGAAATACCAATAATGGTTGATAAATGCTCAACCTATTCAATGAAACACATACACAAACCTTTGACCAGAAGCACGGACTTAGAAGGTCACCATCAGCATGATGAAAGCCTTGGAACACGCCTCTGACAAGCAAGAAGGGCATTAGAGACCCAGGTGTTTCCCCTTTGATTAATGCACTCTCTGAGAAGCCCAGATTGAGAGGGAGCTATACATGATCAACCTTTGTTTTGGAAACGGCTTTCCTTGATCTTCTTGGGTTATTGTGCAGCCCATTCTACAAGCCTCCTCCCATCCTCCCTCCTGGTTGTCAAAACAAGTCTGTGGGAGAGGCATTCTCAGGAATGTATGATGCTCTGTTTAATATGGAAAAATGATCCTTCCAAGGCAGGGGAAGAAATAAAGAAGCAGATTTCCTCCTCAGCCTTCACAATACAAACCCTCAAGGACACTGAGAGAAGGGTGGTTTAACAGGTGCATGAGGAAGATTTGAAAGTTGTGGCTCCTTCAGAAATTTGCTTCCCAGTTTAATTGTAGGCATCTAAAGGGTTAGGTCAACTCTAAGGATGATTCAAGTATTCCCTCTCATTTTCTTTTCTTTTTTTTTTTTTTGACGGAATTTCACTCTTGTTGCCCAGGCTGGTGTGCAATGGCATGATCTCGGGTCACTGCAACCTCCGCCTCCTGGGTTCAAGTGATTCTCCTGCCTCAGCCTCCCAAGTAGCTGGGATTACAGGCATGGGCCACCACGCCTGGCTAATTTTGTATTTTTAGTAGAGACAGGGTTTCTCCATCTTGGTCAGGCTGGCCTTGAACTCCCAACCTCAAGAGATCCGCCCACCTCAGCCTCCCAAAGTGCTGGGATTACAGGCTTGAGCCACCAGGCCCGGCCTAATTTTCTCCTTTTAAGTTTCTTAGAAAGAAAGGTGAGAGGCCGGGCGCGGTGGCTCATGCCTGTAATTCCAGCACTTTGGGAGGCTGAGGCAGGTAGATAGCTTGAGGCCAAGAGTTCAAGACCAAGCTGGACAACATGGTGAAACGCTGTCTCTAAAAAAAACAAAGCAAAACAAAATACAAAAAATAGCCAGGCACAGGTGGCATGTACCTGTGGTCCCAGCTACTCAGGAGGTTGAGGTGAGAGGAACACTTGAGCCCAGGGGGCGGAGATTGCAGTGGGCCGTGATGGTGCCACTGCACTCCAGCCTGGGCACAGAGCTTGTGACCATGACCCTGTCTCAAAACAAACACACACAAAAAAGTGAGAACTGTTTACCCCCTGCTTAGAGAAGGAAGGTTACTACTCTCAATGGGGATGGTTGAATTTTTCAAAGATTAGCATATGATAAAACAAGTTGTACCTAGTTAGGATTTTCTGAATCTCAGCCTGTAAACTTACTATGTGATCTTAATATTGCTGAATCTCCATTTCCTCATCTATAAAATGGGGCTGAAATCTTCCTCAGAACTGTTGCAAGGATCAAATTAGGTAAATGAAGTTCAAATTTAATTCTGATACCTGGCCCACGGCATCCAGGAAACAGTAGCTATTATTATGTAATTGACTGTTCTTTGCTTATTCATTCATAGACTACAGGGATTTTGTGCACAAGAATCAATATTATGAAAATAATTATTATGTAGATAGGCAATGCTAGATATCCAAGCATAAACAACTTAGTAATAAAGTGCTGAAATCCATGTGACTCTTGAACAGATAACACTTTCATGAAATCCGACTGGTAGATGTCTGCTGTGATATAATGGGAAGGGCCTGGGTTTCAAGTCTGACATATCTGACTTCCGGTTCCAGCAATGCTACCATATAGCACAGAACCGGGGAATCATGGGAAAGTTACTCAGAAAATAGCCTATAAAATTTATAAAGCATTTACATGCTTTTATTATTTTACAATGCAATATTTTCTTTTTGTAGTCAGTTTTAATTGTGAGGCCTTGTATTTTTTTAAATGAAAATTTAAGCACTCTTTCAAATTCTTTATCTTTAGAGAACTATATTATATAAAGTTTGGAAAACAGGAAAGAGAGAATAAAAGTCATAATTCCGCCCTCCTAACACAACCACCATCTTCATTGTGTATTCTCTTGCACTGAAAGCATCCAGAAGACCACACTGTGATCCTTCTTACCTGCTGTATTAGTCCACTTTCATGCAGCTGATAAAGACACACCCGAAACTCGGAACAAAAAGAAGCTTAATTGGACCTACACTTCCACATAGCTGGGGTGGCCTCAGAATCATGGTGGGAGATGAAAGGCACTTCTTATACGGCAGTGGCAAGAGAAAAATGAGGAAGATGCAAAGGTGGAAACCTCTGATAAAACCATCAGATCCCATGAGACTTATTCACTACCATGAGGACAGTATGGGGGAAACCGCTCCCATGATTCAAATTATCTCCCACTGGGTCCCTTCCCACAACATGTGAGAATTATATCAAGATGAGATTTGGGTGGGGACACAGAGCCAAACCATATTACCTGCCTTCCCTCCACCATCCTCTCAATTGTTTTACTGGATTTTTATCTGGCTAACAAAAACAAACAGGCAAAAAACAAAAACCACAACACATACACACACACACACACACACACACACACACATACACACACACACATACATCACATCACATGAAACAGAAAAAGGCAAGATTTAGACTCCATATAGCAAATGGATTTATGCTACGGCGTGGCTTTTATCCATTGTGAATGTGCTTCCTAAACACTTGGTTCTTGACTAATGTGAGCGTTATCAGGACAGGACCTGGAAAACCCTCAGTGAGTTTTCCCCCACCCATATTGAATCCCCTTGGGCCATCACATCTGGATTGGTGGTCTGTTGGATGCTATTCAGTCATGAGTTCCTAACAAGAGACCTGAAAAAAGGCAACCATAAAGAAGGGATGGAGGGATGAGTTGGCCAAGAAAAAATTGTCTGATGTGTCCAGCATATTTCTCTTTGGGAAGCCCAAGGCTGAGCATGGACCTCCATAGCATTAAGGAGAAAACAACCCAGCAGAAATACATCGTTTTCTGAAATATGTGGGAAGGGGACACTTAAGAGAAGTGAAGACAAAGCATGACACTGCTTCACAAAGAGAATAATAAAACTTGAAGCTCTTTGCCCCAAGAGGTACTTCATATGGACAGAAAATAAAAACAAATTCAAAGAGCTTTGGGTGTTGAGGGTTGGGGAGGTAGGAGTGCCAGATAAAATATAGGACATCTGGTTAACTTTTCATTTCAGATGAATAATAAGTAATTTCTTTTTTTTAGTTTAAGTATGTCCTATCTATTCTTTGTATACCATATCCTGTATTTTTTAAATGTGTGAGGTTTAAGGTATCTATTTTTAAAAATATCTTTATTGAGATACAACTCACAAATTTAAAAACGTACTCATTTAAAGTGTGATTGTGCCACTGCACTTCAGCCTGAGTTGATCTATTCCCTTCAAAAGCCTGTCCCCAGCATTCCTTTGTCATCTTCATTTTCCTTACAATGGAAACTCCATAGCTCTCTGGGTGTGGTAGCTCACACTTGTAGTCCCAGCTACTTGGGAGGCTGAAGTGGGAGGATCACTTGAGCTCAGGAATTTGAGGCCAGCCTGGGCAATATAGTGAGACCCCATCTCTAAAAAAAAAAAAAAATTCTTAGTTTCCCTTTTCTCCTCTCTCTGCCCTCTTCCCCTTCCCCCTACACTTTGACCTGCATGACTTACTGATGAATGATGAATGGAGAGGGATGGAAATTTTGTTTATCAGCTCTCCCAACACTGCATGCTCTTCCAGGGCAAATGACCGTGCTCACTTGTCTTTAAGTGCTTTTTACCTCCCTGTACATATTCTGGCAACTTCTGTCACTTTGGGGGTGAGGATTTCCCCATGGAAGTTCTGTGTGAGAAATCATGTTTAATGTGTGATTCTGTACAGATGGGTGTGTAGGAAATATGACCGGCATACGCACTGACGTTGACCCATACAAGTCTAGGCATCTGTTAAGTGTTTGGCCCTGTCCAGGAAGTAGCCGGGCCATAAAATCTGATATGGGGAGGAAGCTTGACCATGGGAGGGGCCCCTTCACAATAGATTCTGCAGGGACAGTGGGGGGAGACAGGAATGCTAGCTAGGCTGAGTGTCTGAGCAAATGTGGACAGCCAAAGGGAGCCTTGGCCAAAACTCTTCTCTCCTCTGTCTCCAGGAATTGGAAGTGTCCCACTGAGGTGTCACCGTGAGTCCATCCAAACCTTACTGAATTACTACCTCCATTTTAAGGTGTAAGGTGTTCAGAGAATGTTTGTGACTCAATAGTTCTTAACATTTTAGTTCTTCAATTTTAAGTGTGCCAGCTTATGAAATAAAACACATCTGTTAGCACATTGATTTTGGAAAATTTCCACTGATAGTTGTGAGGGCAGACACAGACGGTGAGATTATAAGATTCTTTTTATTCACAGGGACTTCTTAAAAATCTAGCTTGTTTTCCGTTCTCCTTGATGCCTTGTTCATGACAGGTGCTTGGCAAATATTAGTTGAATGGCTGAATAAATATATGTATGAGTGAAAGGCAGACATCAAAGTCTTCCTGGATGAGGTCAAGAGCAGCCTGGGTAGTGTAGCAAGACCCTGTCTATACCAAAAACTTTAAAAGGCATATCTGTGGTCCTAGCTAGCCTGTGGAGGCTGAGGCTGGAGATTGCTGAAGCCTGGGAGGTTGAGAGGCTACAGTGAGCTGTGATTGCGCCAACGGACGGCAGCCTGGGCAACAGAGTGAGACCCTATCTCAACAAACAAACAAACAAACAAACAAATCAAAAAAATGTTCCCAGATATTTGAGAATGGAATTTGAGATCAGGAAACAGGCCATCGTGTGAAAAGCCCCAGAGCAGTCATAGCTTTGCCACATAGAGTCTTGTGATTGGAACATGTCACTTAAACTCCATGACCTTCAGCTTCTGTGGCTGTAAATGGGAATCACCTCCTGCCATAAGTGGTTTTGAGAATCAAGTGAAATTTCAGATCTGAAAATGCTTTTCTGACTATAGGCTGCTGTATAGATCGAGGATAATCTGATAGCGTTCAAAACCCAGTGCTCACCACCTCCAACCTCGTGATCTTGCTCGAGTTAGTTAATCTACACAAGCCTCGGTTTTTTCATCTACAGAATGAGAATAATAATCACACCAACCTCACTGAATTGTCTTGAAACTTACATGAATTTATATGCACTCGAGAGCACAGAGGTGAGCTCACGTGACTTTCTCTTCCCTGGGTTGCCATCCTCTGCGTATTTTCTTTTTTTTTTTTTTGAGACAGAGTCTCAGTCTGTCGCCCATGCTGCAGTGCAGTGGCACAATCTCAGCTCACTGCAACCTCCGCCTCCCAGGTTCAAGTGATTCTCCTGCCTTCGCCTCCTGAGTAGCTGGGATTACAGGCGTGCACCACCACACCCGGCTAATTTTTCTTTTTTTTTTTTTTTTTGTATTTTTAGTAGAGACAGCGTTTCACTATGTTGGTCACGCTGATCTCGAACTCCTGACCTTGTGATCCGCCTGCCTTAGCCTCCCAAAGTGCTGGGATTACAGGCGTGAGCCACTGCACCCAGCCTCTCTGCATATTTTCTAAGTAGCTTGTTATTCTGCATTGCCCAGACTTGTTTCTCTGCCAACCCACCAGTCAGTAAGTAAATTAATTAGGTGATAAGTGATTCCTTGATCTTTTTATTATTACTATTTGGTTATGATGATTAAAGCAGATGGTCATCTGATTGGGCATAGGTCATGCATGCAAAGCAGCTGCAGTGGTATCTCAGGATTGTTTCCTTATCAGAGACCTGCCATCCAGGTGTTTCCTCATCTTAGGAGCCGCCCTCTAGGTTTCCTCAAATTGTGTCTTTCAGATGAGACCCACCCATCGGAGCCAGGCTTTGAAGGAACTGACCGCAGTGTGCATGAGGAAGTACTTCACGGTGATGACCCTCGCCACCCTCTCAGGAAAACACAGTGACCTCTCCCCCAACATCCCCTTCCCACTCCCAGGTCCCCCGGCAAAGGCAGAAGAACCAAGCAAGCCTTTCCACCAAAGCAGCCATGAACCCCATTCTCATCCTTTCCAAGAACTCTCTGCTATACCAGATAGGGGTTTGGGGTTCTGTTTTCCATTTTTTAAAAAAATCATTTCAAGACTCTTGAACAGTGTGTCGGTTTACACTATTCTATCTTCTTAAGCCACCATATCAACATATTCACTCTGCTTCCTTTCTTTTCATTTGGCAGATGCCACACTTTTAATGGCAGCAATAAAAGGTGTTTCTATCAATGCCAGGTGGGCAGCCCTGACCATCTAAAGCCTCGGAGAGGGTTATACCAAGTCTCCTGTACACCTCCGTGCTAGTGACAACATGTGGGGACCTCTCATCCCAAAGTTTTGGGACAAAGTCTCCCGTCCCTTATCATTTGTTTTCACTGAGGCTAAATGTATCTGTTCAGTACATGGATAGATTTTTAAGCTCCTCTCACAAAGTCTTGTGCTTGAGACAAAATCAGCCCAGGTTCTGCACTTTGTCTATATTTCAGCAGCTCTCCTGCTTGATATTAAAAATAGCCTTGTCTAGTCCATCGAGATCAGACCCAGGAGACAGGCGCCTGCTATTCTAATCTCTGCTTCACAAATAGCTCTCTATGGGCTCAAGCATCTATCAACACTTCCAGGGGTCTCCAGTTATAAAACAGGGCCAGGCCTAGTCACCTATAAAGGTAGGCTCTGCTTAACTCCCCTGAGCTGTCCATGAGGTTAGCATGAGGCCTACAACAATCACATTTCTACCATGGACCAGAGACTTCCAATGGTGACTCAAAACTGAGAAGCAGTTAAGAGCATCCCCCACACTCAGGGTATCCTGCATTTCCCAGGCCAGAACCTACAAAAGGTTCCCTTGAGACTCAAACTCAAGCAGCACTGGTAAACAGGCTGCCCCTCCCCGCTTCTTCCCTCCTCCTGCAAACCACCCCCCATCCCTCACTTTCACCTCCCTTCCTCCCCAAGCCCATCTTGTACTCTGTGAAAAACTGTAGTCCCCTCAGTTGCCAAGGGAACCAAGCCTTTTATTCCATCCGTGACTAGCTGGTTGGGCTGAGGAGTGGGGCAACAACTGGTACCCAGGCCTTTGGAAGCCCAAGCCCTCCCTTTTTCCCAAAGGGGGAGGGGTGGGCTGCACCCCCCGTTGCCTTTTCACCCAAACCCAGCTGGGTGGGACCGAGCCCTTGGGCTCTCAGGAGCTCCCTGGCTGTGGGCTGGGGAGATCAGTGCTCCCCAGGCCCTCCTCTGGCCCTGGCCCTTTCCAGAGGACAATAGCCTTCATGCAAGGGAAAATTCCATCGCCCAGGGTTCAAGTCTCCAAGGAGTTGCTGGGGCCTCTATTTAGCCTGGAGTGGGCTCTGAGGAGCCGCTGCAGCTGCCCGGCTTGTTTTCCCCCTCGCTGTGTTTTATTTTTAACCCCTGAGCTGCCAAGGATTGTTTTTCCCCAACCAGTGCCTGGGAACTAAGGGAGGGAAGAAATAAGGCTTTGTTCCCTTTGGGGAACTAATTGGGAAAGACAGGCAGTGTGGCCAGCTTGGCTCTATTAGGGTGTGGGGCTCCCACCCCTCACTGCACAACATCTTCACCCCAATCCATACCCAGGAGGCTGGGAGTGCAGAAGTGCCCCCCAGGATGCAACCAGAGGCCCGGGGGCTGGTGGGAACGCAAGTGCAGCTTCAAGACTGCAAAGGCAGCTCAGAGCCACTTTCTTGGGCTCCGAAGATATTCAGGAAATAAGATGTTGGGAGCTGGAAATGTCTATTTTTCCCATTTCAACCCCCCCCAAACTAACCCCTGCTTTTCTCCTGCTGGTGGTGGTGGTTGTTGTTTTCCAGACCTGCATAATGAACTCTAGAAGAAAAGTGAGGGAACTCAAAAAAGTAAGAAACCAGAAAATAAAGACATTATACTTTTAAACACTAGGCTAATCAATGGGAAACACCCAGCAACCCCACTTATAAGTTTACTCCGTAAAAAATATTCCTTATACTCAGAAATTTAATTTCATTGCAAATCAGCTAGGAATTAATGAAAAATTTCTTCCACGGCCATTTTATTTTAAGATCAAATGGATTCCAGATAGGGACCCATTAAGAATCTAAGGACCATTTTGATCCCGTCTAGGAACAGAGCAAATTTCTAAGGAATCACCCACTTGCAGCAAGCCAGCACATTCAAGTTAGGGCTGTGGCATATGACACCCAGTGCGTTCAAGTAAAGACTGCTCGTCTATTTACCAAGAATATTTGAGAAAAGAAAATGCCCCTGCCTGGTGGACAATAGCACAAAGCATTTCTCTGTACCTGGGCACATTTGTTCCACTCGATAAAAGAGGACCCCTGACCCAGGTACACAGGCAGTTGGAGAAGAGGACAACGATGAACTGATACAAAGGTAAGAGGTTCCCGGTAGCATTGGAAGAACACAGATTGGTGCATAATGCATGGCATGTGCAATAAAAGTAAGTTGCATTAAAACTTCAGCCTTGTTAATGACTACAAAAAAAATTGTTAGAAAGAATGAATAAGATCTTGGCCAGGCACAGTGGCTCACGCCTGTAATCCCAGCATTTTGGGGGGCCGAGGCAGGCGGATCACCTGAGGTCAGGAGTTTGAGACCAGCCTGGCCAACATGGTGAAACCCCATCTCTACTAAATATACAAAAAAATTAGCCAGGCATGATGGTGCACGCCTGTAATTCCAGCTACTTGGGAGGCTGAGGCAGGAGAATCTCCTGAACCCGGGAGGCGGAGGTTGCAGTGAGCCAAGATCAAACCACTGCACTCCAGCCTGGGAGACAAGAGCGAAAAGAATGAATAAGATCTGATATTTGATAGCACAACAAGGTGACTATAGTCAATAATGATTGAATTGTACATTTAAAAATAACGAAAAGAGTATAATTGGATTGTCTGTAACACAAAGGATAAAAGCTTTAAGTGATGGATACCCCATTTACCCTGATGCAATTACTACACATTGTATGCGTGTATCAAAATATCTCTCATGCCCCATAAATACACACACCTACTATGTCCCGACAAAAATTTAAAATTTTTTTTAATTTTTAAAAATTTGTTGAAAAACCATCAGCCCTGTTAAGTTGCTCACACGTGCTGTTGCAGCCCCAGCTCACCCGGTAGTAAATCCTGCTGACACAGGGTCCCCCACAGCTATGGGTCTATCCTTCCTCTGGTGTGGCAAGACTACATTTTCAGGAAGCTGCTGGGCAGAATGAAGCAACTCAAAGCTCAGGAGAAGTGTCTACGTGCCTTTTAGGGTTGGGGTTTAACCCAGCACTCAGGGATTTCCCAGCATGCAGACAAAGGCACTGACAGTTACAGCAGAAGCTGGAAGGGTGAGTCAAGCCAGGACTCAGCACGCTTGAACCCATCCACAGCTCCCACTCACATCATCCCACACTCCCTTTTCACATTTACTCCAAGCATCTGGAGCCCCAAGCTCCTGTGCCTCAACCCATGCCCTCAGTAACAGTATCCATTGCCAAGCCAGAATTGACTCCGGGCCCACCTTGCCACTCACTCAGAGTCTGTGAGGAGTGGGCACCGCACGCAGCCGTGAAACAGGCCAACTCACAGGTGGGCTCCCCACTGCACGTCTTGTCCGAAAAGACACCCCTCAGCCCCATCAGTGTTGACTTTGCATTGCGCCATTAGATTATTTCTTTCAGCTCTTCTTAAGACAAATGGCTGGCTGTTGGGAGGCTGGCCAGGGTTAAGGTGGAGCCTCAATGTGGCCATTTTCACAGCCCCGGCAAAGCCTGTGGTTGATGCCAAACCCCCATTGAACTGAATAGAATGGAGGAAAGCTAACCAACCCACCAGAATAATAATCACTAATGCTATGGAGTGATCACACAGCAAGACTGTTCTAAGTGTTTTATGTGTATTCATTTATTTTTACCTCATCATAAGTACTATTATTTTTCTATTTTATAGATGAGAAAACTGAAACAAGGTCACAAACCAGATGATCTAAAGGGTAGCCACTACTGCCTCCTAAAGAACCCCAATCAGGAATCCCAGATTAATTTGCCCAGCATCCTGTTTGGAAACCACATGTCCACCCTGCAACTGTACCTGGCTTGTGTCCCACAAGGAGGAAGATGCAGGGGACTCCGGAAGCTAAGGAGGTAGACATGGGGTTTACTTGGGTTAATGTGGCCGGGGAGTCAGGAGACCTTGATTCCCATTCTGGCTCTGCCCCTATCCGCATGAGGATGGCCAACTGTTCCAACCATGGGTTCCACTCTCCTCATTGCTCAGCCACCAGGTTTCCAGGTCCCTCAGGCCCCTGCACATCCTCAGATATCTGAAGAACAGTGATCGGTGTGACGACAGGGCCCCTTCACAGAACGAACTTGACAAAGAACCACTCACCGCACACACGAGCCTTAGAATGCACGTGTCAGTGTTTTGGGAAATATGTGCTGTTTTGAAATGTGTCTGGGCCATGAGCAAGTTTGGGGGGAGACAGGATAGGAGCTTTTCTTCCAGTTAATGAAGTGAGGCTTCATGGAGGAAGAAGATTTTCTTAGTCACATTTCCTGTTTCACACTGACCTTTTAAAAGGAAACCCACAAGTGAACCTGTGCTAGGGCCTGCTTGCAAAATCTACCCACAGGTATAATAAAGATGATCTAAATAAAGCCCACAGTAGGCCAAGCTTAACCTGAATCAGTGGAAATAATAAGATCACTAAGAAGGGCTGATGGCCTGAGATAAGAGACATGGTGGTGCTCCGTATACTGTAAATAGAAGTGACACGTGAGAGATTTAATGATTATTAAACAGGAATCTAAGCAGAGAGGCAGAGATAAACCATGCAATCTTTTCATCAGTCTCTAGGTACTCAGGGCTTAGCCACTCATTATAAAATGGAGACTCTAAAAAATTAGGAGAGATGGATGCAGTGATTTCAAAAGAAGTTGTGTTGATTGGGTTATAAAATTAATTATGGGAATTAAGATTACTTATCTGCAGAGGAAAAGACCAAGAGATAACTGAAGAACTTAAAGTTGGTAAGGGGCCGGGCTCGGTGGCTCATGCCTATAATCCCAACACCTCAGGAGCCTGAGACGAGAGGACTGCTTGAGCCCAGTTGTTCAAGGCTAGCCTGGGCAACACAGTGACACCCCGCATTTACAAAAATATTTTTTTTGTCCTCAGATTTGGTAGTGTGTGTTTCTAGTCCCAGCTACTAGGGTGGCTAAGACAGGAGGACCGCTTGAGCCTGGGAGGTTGAGGCTGCAATGTGCTGTGATCACACCACTGCACTCCAGTCTGGGTGACGGAGCAAAAGTCCATCTCAGAAAAAAACCAAAAAGTTGGTAAGGAATCAATTATTGGATGACACATTGCCATATCTACTGAGCACAGAATGACAGGCCCAAACAACAGCAGACAGATATGGGATGCTCAAGGATGTCCCAGAGATGGCCAGGTATGGTGGCTCACGCCTGTAATCCCAGCACTTTGGGAGGCCAAGGCAGGCAGATCACTTGAGGTCAGGAGTTCGAGATCAGCCTGGCCAACATGGTGAAATCCTGTCTCTACTAAAAATACAAAAACTAGCTGGGTATGGTGGCGCATGCCTGTAGTCCTAGCTACTCTGGAGGCTGAAGCAGGAGAATCACTTGAACCCGGGAGGCAGAGGTTCCAGTGAGCTGAGATCACACCACTGCACTCCATCCTGGGCAACTGAGCGAGACTCCAACTCAAAAAAAAAAAGAAAAAAAAAAGAATGTCCCAGAGATACCTGCAGAACGGTTGCTAAGGCCACCCAAGTCCAGGGGAGCTTCACCATCAGGCAGCACCCATCGCCATGGCTGTTTACATTAACTCAGGGAAGACGCCACAGAAATGTTAAGTTTTGAAAGCTTTGTTTTGTTTTGTTTTATTACTTTTTCATTTTAAAAAATATGGAATGCTTCACAAATTTGCGTGTCATCCTTGCTCAGGGGCCATGCTAATCTTCTCTGTACTGTTCCAATTTTAGTACATGCACTGCCAAAGCGAGCACTGTTTTGTTTTGTTTTAAACAAGGAGGCCTGGAATTGGGCTGAAGTTAAAAAAAAAATCATACAAAGGAAACGGTAATTATGTTAACAAAAATAGAGTGGGGAATAGGGTTAGGCCATGACAGGCAATGATCCTAAGAGCTAGAGATCTCTCCCACCCCAACAGAGAGAGACAGAGAGACAGACAGAGAGAGAGAGAGGGAGACAGAGACAGAGAGAGAGACACACACAGAGAGAGAGAGACACACACGCACACACACAGAGAGAGAGAGACACACACACACACACACACAGAGAGACACAGAGAGAGAGAGAGACAGAGACAGAGACAGAGAGAGAGAACCCTAAGGTATTAATATTCCTGACTTGAATACCTCAGGCTTTTCCCAGCCAACTTCCACGTTGCTCTCCTATCCGTCTCCACACCTAATTCTTCTACCAAACCCTTCTGTCCACCCCAGGAGATTGTGAACTCAGGCACCAAATCCAACAAGCTCCCCGAGGAACTTACAACAGTCTGTTTTACAGAGAAGTAAATGTTGCTGAGAGAGAAAATTGTCAGGCCTCGGTGTTCCAGAGCAAGAGGCATTCCTTCATTCCCAGAGAGGCCCTGGGCCTCAGCAAGCAAGCCCGACAAGCCCTCCGCAGCCAGAATCCAAGCTTCAGGCTGCACCTCCCTCACCGCTGGGCCCTGGACAGTGAGGCTGCTGCTCAGAACCCCTCTCCTCAGAGGGAAATTCCTCAGGGCTGCCCCACCCGACCCGTTCTATCAGTCACTCAAGCCCTCTATCCTCTGTCACAGCCTGGCTCTGTCCCTTCCCATGCCCCAACCCCCAACCTCCCAGGACCCAGTATCTCAGGATTTCTGCCCTCCTCCAGCCCCGAGCAGCCTGGAAGCCAAGTGGCAAGGATGTAGTCAGCCGGGTGGGCCCTGAGAGCCGGTGGAATGGTGTCCATGTTGCAGGAAACAAGGGAAGGTGAGGGGTACAGGGGTGCCTGTGCCAGGCCACCACTCCACAGCTCATTCTTCTCTGAGGTTATTCCCCGACCCATACCCCTCTGGAGCCCACCCCAGCTGCTTCCTCTTCCTAGGGGTCTCCACCTGATGTTCTGTGACTCCCCTGAAAATAAACTTTTGAAAGGCAGACTGTGTGGTTATTGTGAACATGGGTGTAAGGTCAAGAGGCAACCCCATAGCCAGATTTCATCCTCCTCCAGGCCTCCATCCAGGGCTGCAGAAATAGCTAGCAATTGGCTGGCTAAGCAGGCAGTGGCTTATATGGAAAGAGGGGCCCCTCTGCAGCTGTCACCTGTGCTTGTGAATTTGTTTTTCCAGCGTCAGGAAGGAAAGGTGATTTGGGAGACACCAAGCAAAGAGCAGGAGGACCTTTTCTGTCCCCTGAAATTTAGGAGGGAGATTACCAGACAGAGGCTGAGCCTTCCAGCTCCACTGGGGCCTGATGCCCTCTCTCACCTCTGACTGCCACCCTGGGAGGCTCTTTAAGCCTCTGTGCACGGCTCCCCTGCCCAGAGGGGAGGGCGCATGCGTGTCATGAACACCCAGGTGCTGGAGTCCACAGGACAGGTAGAAGAGAAACGACTGTGGCCACTCAGCAACCGCTTATGCCAGATACCCTTTTAATAAAATCACCTTCATCCAATCCTCACAGTCATCTCCTGAAATAGGTACTATTCCCATTTTGTAGACAAGGAAACTGAGACTCCAAGAGGTGAAAGTGCTTATGCAGATCATACTTATTAGGGACGGAGGCAGGACACAGTCCCACAAACACAGGGGGCAGCTGCCAAGGGGCCTCTTTTTCCATATAAGCCACCGCCTTCTTACCCAGCCAATCTCTAGCTATTTCTGCAGCCCCAGGATTGAGGTCTGAAGAAGGATTGAGTCTACTATGGTGTCACTTTCTGGCAAACTCTGAGAGGGACTGAGAAGGCCAAGTGGGGGCCTGCACCAGGCACCCCCAGCACCCAGGGCGCCCCTCCTCCCACTGAGCCACTCAGAGGCCGGGTCCTGGCAGGGTCCTCTCGCTTCACAGACCCTGCACTCCAGGCCAGACCCTGCATAAAAAGAGGTGTCCACAGTGCTCATATCCCACCAGGCTCAGACGTGGTAGCCCCAGGAAGTCACATCCATCTGGGATCTTCCCACCCCAGCCTTTTCAGGAATTTATTGTTATGGGGACATACAACAATATTAACCATGAGCACTGCTAGGGTCACTGTTCACAAGCAGGCAGGAGGACCCCCAGTGCAAGGTCTTTCTGTGGGGCCACCTGGCATGCTGCATGCCCAGCACTGTAGGTGGACTGGATGGTGGGGAAGGCCCCGTTGGAACCTCAACAGAATGAACTTCTGGGAAACTCAGCCACTCTGGTCCTGGTGTTCTTGGGTTGTATGTTTCAAAGCTGTCTTGACTTAACTAGTTCTGTCTCATTTTAGGATCTTCCAAAAGAATTCATGAACCAAGGTGCTAAAGAGCCAGATCCATTCGGCTCCTGAGCTCTGGAGGGATAGGATGCAGGGTAAATGGACCGAGGGTCCCAGCACCTTTTACCAGCTTTCCTAGCCTGGCCCTTGAGACCCTGTTTGACAGGTTCCTGTCCACTGACCAGCCCATCTCAAGTCACCCTGCTTCTCCCTCTGTGCCCCACCTTCAGTGCCTCCAATCCCTCTGTACCCTACCTTCAGCGCCTCCAATCCCTCTGTGCCCTACCTTCAGTGCTTCCAATCCCTCTGTGCCCTGCCTTCAGCGCCTCCAATCCCTCTGTGCCCTACCTTCAGTGCCTCCAAGCTCCATCTCAACCACCCTGTGCCCTCTTGCCTGGGGATCAACCCCTCCTTTCTCCAGAGAACCCCTACTTCACCTAGCACGTTTCCATGTGAATTTCAAAGGCTAAGTGCAAGGATTAGGTTCCTCTGAACTGGTTGAGATCTTTCAGGCTTCCTGTCCATCCCCCAGTGTCATGCCTATTTATCTCAATTTATGACACCCACACTTTCCCAATAATCCTGTTGCCTTTCTTGGTGCTTTTGTTGCTCCCTATAAATTGTCATTAAAGAGGTTGGATAGGAATGAGCCTGCAGCCCACTACTAGAGACTTCTCTCCTGGTCAACATCTACATGCTAATGACAGAAGGATTAGGTGGTTTTCTAATTATTGATTACTATGGAACAAATGACTTCAAACATGCTGATGAAAAACTGCCAACCATTTTCTTCTGCTCACAGATTCCTGAGTCAGGAATCTGGACAGAGCACAGCTGGGATGCCTCTTCTCTGGTCCATGTTTAGGACTTCTGCTGGGAAAAGCAGACACCAGGGGTGGGGGAATGAACTGAATGGGTAGGGGCTGGAATTATCTAGAGGCTTCTTCATTCCATGTCTGGCATCTACACTGGAAGGACTCAAAGACTGAGCTGAGTGGGGACTGTCACGTGTCGAATGACATGTGTCCTCTCCATATGGCTTGGGTTTCTCATAACATGGCAGCTGGGTCACAAGAGTGAGTGTTCCAGGAGAACCAGACAGAAGCCGTGGGGTCTTTTATGGCCAAGCCTCAGAAGTCAAAAAACATTACTTTCTCCATACCCTACTGATCAAAGCAGTCACAAGACTGTCCTGATTCAAGAGGAGGAGCATAGGTCCCACCACTGGATCGAAGGAATGTCTAACAATTCTATAACAGCCACAGCAGCACTGGAAGCCTACACCCAGATGCCGAATGACTTGGGAGTCCCTTTGATTCAGGGTATAGGCCCCACCTGACAGGCTACTCAATGGCGATAAGTCATCAAGAATAAGCAGTGCTGCGAGGCTTCTGACATTCCTGTAGAGAGGCTGTGGTATAGGCCAGGCTACCATGATAAGGATTGTCTAACAGAATGAAGGCTCAAAGTGGATACTAGGTCTCCTAAAAAAGGCAGAACCCCTATTATCACAACTGGAGCATGCAGGATGTCAGACCAGCAATGTGTGACATGACGCCATCACACAGGTTAGCTGAGCGCCTTCAATCCCTCCTCCTGCGATCACATGAGAGCTTGTCAAATGCCCATGCTGATATTAAGAAATACTGTATCTATAGCATATTCCTGATCCAACAATTCAGTCACTGCCTTTCTAATATGCGTCTTTTTTTTTTTTTTTTCTGAGTTTCGCTCTTGTTGCCCAGGCTGGAGTGCAATGGCGCGATCTTGGCTCACAGCAACCTCTGCCTCCCATGTTCAAGTGATTCTCCTGCCTCAGCCTCCCAAGTAGCTGGGATTACAGGCATGCACCACCATGCCCAGCTAATTTTGTATTTTTAGTAGAGAAGAGGTTTCTCTATGCTGGTCAGGCTGGTCTCGAACTCCTGACCTCAGGTGATTCGCCCACCTCAGCCTCCCAAAGTGGGATTACAGGCGTGAGCCACCACGCCTGGCCTCAAATGTGCATCTTTAATCGTCTCGACAGAAATATTTCCAGTGATCAATGTGGATCTCACCAAACTGGGAAAGAAGTAGGAAGTATACACATCGAGAGGAAAACAGGAGAAAGCAAGTGGAGGTAGACGTTAGAATTATTCCTGAGTTCCTCTAGAGATGGTAGAAGGGAGGTGGGATTCCAGGGCTAAGTGGTTCCAGGTGGTCCCAGCCTACCAGCTTTCAGCTTTTCATTAGTGTCCCCTTCAAGGCAAGCCCCATCTCTTTCAGAGAGCAAACATTTACATTGATCTAGGGTCGCTGGAGGCCATTTTACCTTGGAAGTATCTGGGAGTTGGGAGCTGATTAAGGGCAATACAGAACAAATAGCTCAGAGATGGTCTGGGAAAGAATGAAGAAAGTAAAATTGATATTTGGGGTGAGGGGTGCAGCTTTTCCTGTGGAAGCAGTGTGCAGTAATCCAGGGCACTATCACTGCTGTGAGTCATCAACTTCTGGGTCTCTGGCTCAGACAATCTTAGAAAGCCAGAGCTGGGGGGTAGGGGTGCCTGTTCCAAGGTCATCTAGTCCAACCCTCGCATTCGAGAGATGTGGAAACTGTTGCAGAGTCCATTTGTGCCCACTGAATATCCATGTGCTTCCCTGAATTTCCCAGCCTTCCTTGCAGTTAGGTGATTAATTCTAGCCAATGATACATGTCACTTCCGGGCCCAAACACTGAAGACAGTATGTGCCTCCCCCATCCCTCTTATCCCCTGCCACTGTGACCAGACAGTCCATGTACCCTAGATGGCATACCTACAAGATGGAAGAGGATCTGTCCATCCTCATCAAAGCAGGAAATACAAAGCTTCACTGTGTGAAGACACTGAAAACTGGGGTCTTATTTGTCACTGCAGCATGGCCTGGCTTAGCCTGACTACTATGGAAATTGAGGCCTAGAGAGGGGAAGTATGGATATGAGTAGCCCTGATAATGTATGTCAGATCCCCGCTCATTCAGGAAAGCAGATCAAAGCAAGTAACATGGTAGGAATTTCTGCTATAGGGTGATGATCATGCAGCATTGACCCTCTTGCTGTCATGCTTTATAATTAACAAAATCTATTCATGACCAGAGTCATATAGTGAGGGAATAAGGGAGTCAAAAAGTAAAATCCAGGACTTCCCCCACACACTGCCTGATTGCCTATGCTTTTAGAATACTGATATCTTTTTAAAAGGTTATAACTCTCTTTTATCCTCCCCTTTCCAAAAAAAAAAAAAAAAAACTGATTGGCATAGGCTTATTTTTTCCCACAGGTTTATTTTCATAGAATATTTATTTCAATATTTAAATTTTGTCTAGAGAAGGTTCCAATAGCCTGGAGATCATTGGAGGTACCCGAGGAGTCATGGGTACCGGGGCTGGGAAACTCCGCCCTTGGGGGGATCCCTGGCTGAGAGAATCCCCTTGGTCGGTCCCCACAGAGGTACAGCACCCACTGTCCCACTCAGACCAGCAAATGAAGAAGTTGGATTAGACCACATCAAAGCAAGATTTCTTCAAAAAAATCCAAATCAGATCCAGGTTCCTCTTCTTGAGACCACAGAGAGTGGGTGAAGGGTGCCTTCTGTGACTGCTTCCTCTTTCAACAAAAAGGGGAATGGCTGTAGGCCTGAGGGTGGCTGTTTATGTCTGGGAGAAGGTGACAAGTTAAAGACCAGGGTTGGGGACTCATGCTCTCTGGGGCTCTGTGATGTCCAAATTGCAGCCTCTACCACAGGGAGCCCCAGCTCTGCTGAGAGGCCCAAGCCCTCTGTAGCCCCAACCCTGGCTGCCCAGCCAGGCCCACCTGATCTGGGATGTCGCCTCTCACCTTCGCCTGCCCTCCCCTCCCTGTCAACACCCAGATGGGGAACCCACCCCTCAGGTCCCATTTCCCCTCTAGCTCCTTCCTCCTGGGAACTCCATGGTCTGACTTCCATCTTTACCTTGATTCTAAAACTATTCCAACCAAGGATGTCACTGAGATGCTATTGCCAAACAGAAAGACCTTAAGTTCAACCAGGCCCCATCACTTGCAAGTTTGTAGCCTTCGTTCGGCAAGTTATTTTCCTTCTCTGGTCTCAGTTTCCTCACCTGTAAAATGAGAATGATAATAATAGGACCTGCCTCATAGGGTTATTGTAAGGACTAAATGAGGTAATGGGAGTAAAGCACTTGTCAAAATGCCTCCTTCACATAGTCTATCATGCGATGAGTATAAGTTAACAATCCTTCATCCAAAAGCCCAGTATTTTTTCTTCTTTTAGGAGGTAATATGGTGCATAGGCTGTCTTTAGTATATGTCCCCCAGTGGGTGCCAAGTCAGGGCCTCACAATCAGACACATTCATGATGCTGCAGTGACCATGTCAACTTTTACTTGGAGGGACTTCAGACTGCAAATAGCCTCTCCAGTTCAGATCAGATTTTGCTGCTAAATGAGATTTGGCACCAAATTGACAAAATGAAGAAACAAACAACAACAACAGCAAAAACAAACAAACAAACAACCCTTTTCGTCCCTGGGATCTTTGGGTTTCAGGCTTGCAGATAGGGAATTATGAGTTTGTGTTAGTATTATTCCTATTTACACAACTAGATTTTCCTGTCACCTAGAACACAGAATGGACTCAATGACTCCTTCCTAGGAAGTCCTGACTCCAGAGGTCTTCCAGACTCTCCTCCACCCTAACTCTCTCCCTTTGGCTCCTACAGCCCTGGAGCCAAGGTAATGCAACCGAAGATAGTTTTATACCAATATCTGCTGCAGAGCCCCATGTACCTTAGTTAATCCTATGAGGGCAAGAATAGCATTTTCTACTTCTCTGATCTTCTTAGTGACAAGTAAAGAGCTGAGTACACAGTCAGTGCTTAATACATGCATCCTACATGAATACTGCTGACCTCTCTATGCCTCTGTTCTAATCTTGGCTCACTTGGTGCTGGAAGAGGTAGCGCAGTGTACAGAAACCATGTAGCTTCTGGGTTCGGCCAAGCCTGAATTTTAGCCTACTCAGGCACCTCACTGCTTGTATGTTTCTGTCTGTCTAGAAGGCTCCACTTCACATCCATAAAATGAACATAGTAACCCACTGTGCAGGGTTTTCCCCAAAAGAAGCCGTCTGTGTAATACACCTTGCACAGGGCCTGGTGCTCACTGGGAAAATGATAGAACTTGAGTCACAGGGTCGTTGTGAGGATTACACGAATGAAAGTTTATGTGGGTCTTAAACGCATGTTCTGCACGGTCAATTTTTTTTTTTTTTTGCTATATTTGAGAGTTATAATTTTGCCCCTTTTTTGTGATAAATATATATAACATAAAATGTGGCCAGGTGTGGTGGCTCACACCTGTAATCCCAGCACTTTGGGAGGCCGAGGCGGGCAGATCATGGGGTCATGAGTTCGAGACCAGCCTGGCCAACGTGGTGAAACTCCATCTCTACTAAAAATACAAAAATCAGCCGGGCGTCGTGGTGGGCACCTGTAATCCCAGCTACTTGGGAGGCTGAGGCAGGAGAATCGCTTGAACCCAGAAGGTGGAGGTTACAGTGAGCCGAGACTGCGCCACCGCACTCCAGCCTGGGCGACAGAGCGAGACTTCACCCCCCGCCCTCCAAGAAAAGTATCATTTACCCATTTTAAGTGCAAGTTCAAAGGCATTAAGGACATTCACACTGTGTGCAACCATCACCACTTTCTATTTTCAGAACTTTTCCATCTTCCCCAACTGAAGTTCCACATCCATTAACCAACAATTCCCTGTTCCTTCCTACCTCCTTCCCCCAGTTACGTCTAATCTACTTTCCGTGTCTATGAATTTTTCTGCTCTAGGTACCTCGTATAAGTGGAATCATACAATATTTGTTCTTTTGTGACTGGCTTATTTCACTTTAACATAATGTTTTCTAGGTTCATCCATGTTGTAGTATGTATCAATGTTCTTCCTTTTTAAGGCTGAAACATTTAATTTGCTTATCCATTCATCCACAGGTGGAAACTGGAGTTTCTTCCACCTTTTGCCTATTGTGAATAGTGCTGCTAGGAACATGGCTGTACAAATACCAGTTCAAGTCCCTGTGTCAATTATTTTGGGTAAGTACCTAGGAGATCATCTAGTAATTCCATGTTTAATTGTTTGAGGAACTGCAACACTATTTTGCACGGCAGCCTCAGCGACACTTGTTATTTCTTCACCCATCCGTTCATTCAACAAATAATTAATAAGTGTCAACTATACGCAGGCACCACACTAGGTTCTGGGGATACAGGGAAGTCCAGTGTGGCAGCACACAGTAGGCCCGCAGGGACCAGCAACAGCTACGGATGCACCCCTTGGGCTTCTCCCCTGCTTTGCTGCCCGGTTAATTTCAGCACGGTCTTCCCCATTTAATTCACCTTACCTGGTAACTCCTCCGTGTCTTTCTTGGGGCTGTCCACCGATCTGAGGCTTCCTTCTCAGCATCTTTCCCATTTCACAGTTGTCTCTCCCACCACACTTCTAAAACTTCCGCCTGCGCCTGCACGCTGAGAAAAAGCCCTTCTCAGACTCCACTTGCTCATGCCTTTCTACCTCTTAAGGTTTCTTTGAACAAAATCACCCTTCCGAAGCTTGCAGAAGCTCTTGGCTATTACTGAGCTCTTCCTTGCTAATCCCGGGTTTTACCCTCTCTCCCATGTCATGGATCTTCATTACTGTCTAGTCCCCTAAGCAGGTTCCCCAGCATCCTCACATACCCCTCGCTTTTCATTTGTCCCTTTGTCATACGTCTCCCCAGCTGCCCTGGAATCCCTGCCAGACCCAGCCTTCCTTCAAAGTGCAACAAAAGCTGGATTTTTTATCCAAACATATGAAACCCAAAGTCATGTTGTTTCATGAAGCCTTTTGCGATGAATCCCCCAGAGCTTCAGGTACCCCCTGTTTCACAAAATCAATTTGATTTTAACAGATTTCTGTTTGCAAATCCTCACCTGATTCACCTGATGTGAATCCTACCTCTGATTACCATGATAAATTGGAAAAAGGGTTTGATAAAAAATGAGCTCCTGGAAGGTCTCTCAGCATCCTGCTGGGGTAGCTGTTCGACAGTGTTCCATGGGGTACCATGGCCTTTCGCTGTTGCCCAGTGCAGCCCTCTTTCTGCAAGGGTCTGCAGTCTCAGCCTTCCAGAGGTGAGGAGCTGAGCCCCTGCCAGCAAAACGCTTCCTCCTTCTCTACTCTGTGGTGGAGAAATGTTCCTGATGCTTGCTGCTTTCAGCCCTTGTTAGGCCTACCTGCCTCTGGTGTCCCCTGAAGGCCTCCAACTCACATCAGATCTCATCTTTCCTAAATCCCAGCCTTCTCCAGCTACAACTATGGGGAACTTTTGTCTTCCCTTCTCATCACCCCCTTGGTTCTCACAGCTTCCTCGCAGGTCCTCAACCCATAACTGTTTGGGAATTCACGCTTGGACAACCCGAAACATTAGCATACCTAAAACTCACATTTACATTTTATTACTTTATAGGAAAACAATTTACAATACAGCCTACAATACGCTGGGGGAAAAGAGAAATTGACAGACAGAATTTCTCTTTGGTGGGGAGAGTAGGGGATACATACCTACGTATTATTTTTTTACACTTTCTTTTCTTGAGAAAGTGGTTGATGAAGTAAACCAGGCCTGTGGGATGCTAGCTGTCTTATACCTCTGGTGTGTCTGCCTCATTTACCCAAATCCTTTTTTTTAACCGGAGGAATTTTTCCCCAATGGGAAATCCCTGATTTTGCATTCGGAGCTCTCCCAGTTTCATTCCTCCCCTCTTTTTGTTTGTGCATTTATCTGTGAAACACAGCTAGGCTGAAGAGGTGCACCTTGGAGAGCCAGGGTGGAATAGGTGCCAACTTCAGGCTGTGCATTTCTTAGATTCAAACCTTGAAAAAGTATAAATTACCCCCAAAGCCCTAACTGGCCAATTTTGTGCATCAGAAATTTTGTGAGGAGCCTGGGCAATACCACAAGACCCCCGTCTCTACAAAAAATATTTTAAATGATCTGGGTGTGGTGGTGGTCCCAGCTACACAGGAGGCTGAGGCAGGAGGATTGCTTGAGTCCAGTACTTCGAGGCTGCAGTGAGATATGATCACGCCACTGCACTCCAGCCTGGGCCACAGGGCGAGAACCTGTCTCTAAAAAAGAAAAAGAAGGCCCGGCATGGTGGCTCACGTCTGTAATCCCAGCACTTTGGGAGGCAGAGGTGGGTGGATCACGAGGTCAGGTGTTCAAGACCAGCCTGGCGAACATAGCGAAACCCCATCTCTACTAAAAATACAAAAAATTAGCCAGTTGTGGTGGCAGGTGCCTGTAATCCCAGCAACTCGGGAGGCTGAGGCAGGAGAATCACTTGAACCTGGGAGGCAGAGGTTGCAGTGAGCCGAGATCGCGCCACTGCACTCCAGCCCAGGCTACAGTGCGAGACTCCATCTCAAAAAAAAAAAAAAAAAAAGGAGAAAGAAATTCCGTGAGGTAACTTTACATAAACTTGCTGGAATGGGGTTCATAGCCATTTTGTGTGTCAAGTGGGTGGATACTATGTCTGTCACATGACAGCAGGAATGTGTCCTCAAATCCCCAGGGCTCCTGAAGAGCAAGTGCCAAACAGGCCTTTGAGAAAACGACCCTCAGTGGATGCAGGTCTCTCCTCACACTCAGCTCACAGCTTCACCAGGAACACAGCCAAGGCTGAACCCCACCATCAGCGCCCCTCCTCTCAGCCTGCACCAATCAGCAAAGGCTGGTGACACCCGGAGGGACAGAATGCCCAGGAATGCCCTCCAGCCCTTGCAGCGTCCAGAGAAGAAGGTTGCCTCCCTCTCTTTGTGGCTCTGCTAAGATCTCAGAGAAGACAAGGGGAAAATCAAACTAGCAGGCTCTGGAGGAGATGCTGGTCAGGGACCTGCCACTGAAAGCCTGTATACAACCATGCCCGTGTCCAGGTGGCTGCATATAACCATGCCCATCTGCTGTCAGCCAATCTGCTATGCCCCTGCGGCCACGCACCTGTCTAAGGCCACCCTCACTCAACCTTGGATTCCAGCCCCTGGTGTAGCCCAAGGCCCTCACTCTGTGCTGGGTGCTCTCTCTGCCTGATTGGCTTCTCCTCTGCTGAGGCATTCCTCCCAGTGCACAAACATGTTTTACTACCTCCCTCTTAAAAAAGAAATCCCTTGGAACTAGATCGCCCTTCGGCTATCACCCTACTTAGCTTCTTTCTTTTAGAGTCAAATTCCACAAAAGAATTATTATCACAGTCACTACCTCCTCTCCTCCTATCTTTTCTTGAACACTTGAAAACTGGGCTTTGCACTCCATGACCCCCGCTAAAATGGCTCTTGTCAAGCGTCACAATGATACCACCAGTCAATCCTCAGTCAGTCCTCATCCTCCCCCATTGGTCCGAAGCATTTGGCCAAGTGCTTGCTCCCTCCTTCTAGAAATACTTTCTTCTCTTGACTCTCTACCCCTCTAATGCCTGTTTTCAGTCTCCTGGACTCGGTCCCCCTTAGCACAGGAGGTCGCCCGGGCTGCAGCCTAGGGCCTCTTCTTTGCTCTGCCTGCACTCATGCAAGGGTGATCCCTTCCCCTCCCTGCTTTAAATACTGTCCATAGGCTGATGTGTTTGGATCCTGGCTAAGACTGTGCCTAGCAGGGTGATTGTGGATGGGTCATTTCACCCCTCAAATGTAAAATGAGGTTTCTAATAGTACTCCATCATAGAGTTATTAGGAGGGTTAAATGAGTTAGTATTTGTAAAGCATTAAAACAGTGGCTGCTGGGTTTATTAAATAAGTGCTCTTCCACACTTCTTTCCCTAGCCAACTTCAGCTCCCCCTGTAGACCTCGGTGTGCGTGTTTCTTCTAGATATCTGCAGCACCTCCTCCATGGTTACGCTGAGAGGACTGTGGTCAATGCATTATTACCTCTGTGACTGCTGACTTTCTCTCTCCACTGTGCATACATTCCTGGAGAGCAAGGACGAGGTCTCCCGTCATTCCTGCTCTGTCCCCTGCACCCAGGGTGATGCGGTCAGGGTAGCACCTCCATGAATAGTCACTGGACGAATGAACGACCAAATACCTGAATGGATGGGCTTTGCAGCGACTGCTGCATGCTGGGGACTTAACGAAGGGCATGGGCCTCTCCCAAGGAAGAAGCTGCAGAAGGGTCTTGGGAAGGACATGCAGGAGAGCCTGGGCCATGGAGGAGGCTGAGAAACATGTCACCCATGACCACAGCAGAGGCTGCTTTGTCCCTCTGTCCCTCCATGCCTGCTCCTGTGCCCTGGATGACGTGACTTTATCCCACAGGAATGACTGGCGTTCCTGAGACACCTGACACTTGGTGGCTGAGCAGAGCCCCAAGCTAGCCTTCAAGGGGCAGGACCAGGGGTTACTGTTTATACTCAGATCTGGAACTCAGTAATGAGCTGGTGTTCCTTTCTGAAATGACCGACTCCAGGAAGCTTATGCCATGGAGGCGGTGAGAGCAAGGTGTGCCATCAGGCCAGCCTGGGTCTGAATCATGACCCCACTGCTTGTCACCCGTAACCTCAGGAAGAAATGGTTTTAACTCTCTGATTCTTGAGTCGCAAAATAATATTCCCAGTGCCGTTGGGAAGGCAAAATGAGGCACTGTGCTTAGTATATTGTAGAAATGCAAATGTTTACTTCCTTACCTCTAACATGGACTGGAATTCTTCCATAGGTAATGAAAATGGCAGATATTAAGAAGCTCTAGAAAGGAGTGAAGCTTTTACCTTTTGTCCGGTCATAAATTACACGTTTGACCTTGGATAGGATGAATACAAGCATGATTCAATTCACTTCAACTCAACTCAAGGAAAAACTAGTTATATATATGTATGTATAGTTATACATATTTACATTTACTGCAGGCACAGATATGTGCTACAGCCCAAGAAGAAGATGGTGAAATTCCAATTTCATACCTCTCTCTTCTTCTTTCTCTAGAACTTTGTATATAAAGCAACAAAGCACTTCTTAAGGTCTTTAGCGTCCTGCTCTGCTAATCCTATGATTCAGATGGGACGAGCCTGCAGTGGGTAGGAAATTAATCTTGTTGAGCACCAACACTGCCGGCGCCTTCACTTGCTTTCTGATGAAATCTCCACCCCCACCCTGTAATGCAGGTCTTCTGAACACGGAAACAAAGCCCCATCTCTAGAATCCCAGCAGACAGGGCCTCCATGAAGGACTGGAAAATTCCAGCGCCTCAGAGAACACTTAACCTGTCATGAGTGTGGGTGGAGGAGGCGGGAGGGGATACTGGCAGATCTTTAGAAGTCCTCAGCTCTAAAGATATGGCATTGTCTGCAATGTGATTCAAGAGAAAAACATAACAGACTCATAAAATGCAAAACTTACATGTATGCTGAAGTTAAAATGGCTTCTTCTGGATATTTCTGAACACAAAATTCTGGATAATTTTATCAAAGGTGCATTTTCTCATAGCTCTGGAACCTCTGCTTTGCTGCTGCCCTAATGAGGCCCTTGGTCTGCCCACTGGACTAGGCAGCAGCCAGCCTCTGCTGTGTTCCATGAGATTGAGGGGTAAGCGAGCTTAGGCAAGGCCAGCTACTTCCACCGTCTCCCCGCTCCCCACCACTGGATAAGGAGTTGATTTTCTCTAAACATTTCATACAGGCACCCCATATAAGCACTATTTACAGGGCACTCAGAGAATCAGAAAAACTGATGAGGCCCAGGACATAGATAGATAGATAGATAGATAGATAGATAGATAGATAGATAGATAACTAGAGAACTGTTTCAAGGGCACCAAGTGTGATTACATGTTCAAACCTGTCTTTGTTTATTTTTCCCCCTCTCACATGAAAAGAAAGACAGATGTGTACCTTCTCTATGAGTTGGTGCAACGTCTGGGTTCAGGTAGAAAATCCTAGGCCCCCTTGAATACACTCCCAGAGCTCAGTGGGTTCCTTGGAAAATCTGTTGACAATTTCCTGTGATCTTGGATCCAAATGCTATTTTCCAAAAGGCCTTATGATCATGATTTTAAGCATCTCTGGAAACATATTGAAAGAACACACTCAAAATAATATTCAGCCTCGACACCTTAACAATTTCAGGACACAATGGCATAGTGCTCATTCTTGGCAAGGATGTGAGGAAATAGGAATTGTCATAAACTTTTGGAGGGAGTGTAGATTGATAGCTTTCTTTTTTAGAGCAACTTCTAAAATCTATCAACATTTTAAATATACAAATATCACCTTAGGTTATTTCATGCCTAGAAATGTATCCTACAGAGATCCATTCACACAAGGGCTCAAAGATACGTGAGCAGAGATATTCATTTGTAATCATGTTTATCACATTTTTAAAAACTGGAAATAACCAAAATGTCCACTAATGAGTTAAATAGTATATGGTGTATCTATTATGTGGTATACTACGCAACAGTTTAAAAAAGTAACATGAAAATCTGTGTACATGAACTGACGTGAAAAGAAGCCCACAGTCATTCATTAAGTTAGAAACACAAGTTTTCAAACAGTATGAACTAAATCATGAGTGTGTTGGTTTTTTAAGTATTTATATATATGTTTGTCTAAGCATAGGAACATCCAGAAGAGATCATTCACTGCGGGGAGGGGATTTTGGTGGTGGAAAAGAGGTAGAGGGTTTGAGAATGGGAACTTTTACTTTTTATTCTTCTATATCAAATTTATAAATTTTCATATATGAAGCATATGTCAATTTCAAAATAAAGGTGGGGTTTTTTGTTTTTTTGTTTGTTTGTTTGTTTGTTTGAGTTGGAGTCTCACTCTGTAGCCCAGGCTGGAGTGCAGTGGCACAATCTCAGTTCACTGCAACCTCTGCCTCCCGGGTTCAAGCAATTCTCCTGCCTCAGCCTCCCAAGTAGCTGGGACCACAGGCATGTGCCACCACGCCCAGCTAATTTTTGTATTTTTAATGGAGATGGGGTTTCATCATGTGGCCCAGGCTGGTCTCAAACTCCTGACCTCAGGTGATCAGCCCACCTCAGCCTCCCAGAGTGCTGGGATTACAGGCATGAGCCACCGTGCCTGACCATTTTTTTTTTAAGAATGTATGGAGGCCCTTGGCAATGGACCTTCTGAAGGTTTTCTATCACCACCACATATGCCACAACTACTAGGTTGGTGCAAAAGTAATTGCGGTTTTTACCATCACTTACTGCAATTACTTTTGCACCAACCTAATAGTCATTGCCACCATTTCAAGTTCCAGACTCCTCCAAGTATAACTGAACCTGCCGCCTTCAGAAACAGCATCATGATCGGCTGCTGCAGGTGAGCGAGGATGTTCAGAGCTCTGTCGGCTTGCTGGGGACAGAAAGAGCTTGGCAATTTACCGAGCGTCCTCACAATCTTGCCTTGCAGCAGACTTCAGGACTGGCAGGACAGTCTCGCAGGGAATTCTTCTTCCCATTTCTCCAGGGGAGGCTTGCACACGTTACGGACCTTGGTCCCAGTCATGACTGGAAAGTCAGAGAGCCACAAGTGGATCTGGATAGACGCAAGTTAAGCTGATGAGTTTGTCTCTACCACAGGGGTACCTGCCTTTCCCCAGGATCAGCCCGATGGCAATTCTGGGCCCAAGCTCTCCCTCCTTGATCAGGTCCCAGTGGAAACAGCCCACATTGCCTCTCACTTTTACTTTTCAAGCTATCTGACAGTTAAATCAGACGTGTCAGGAACCCATTCCAACTCTTTAAGAGTCTGCACAGCTCTGTGTCCTACTGTCGGTCACTTAGCAATGCATCGTTATAGGGTGACTGGAATCACCCAAAAAAGTCATATGTTGAAGCCCTAAGCCCTAGTATCTCAGAATATGACCTTCCTTGGAGATGGGGTATTTAAAGAGGTACTTAAGTTAAAATGAGGTCATTGGGGTGGCCCTACTGCAGTATGACTGCTGTCTTTATAAGAAGAGGAAATTTGGATGCAAATACATACAGAAGGAAGCCCAGGGGAAGACACAGGGCGAAGACAGCCATCTGCAAGCTAAGGAGGGAGGCTTGGAGCAGATCCTACTTCACAGCCCTCAGAAGGAACCAACCCTGCCAACACCTTGATCTCAGGCTTCTATCCTCCAGAACTGTAAGACAATGAATTTCTGCTTTTTAAGCCACGCAGGCTTGGAATTTTGTTATGATGGACCTACCAATTATACATGCAGCTCTCAGCAGACAACTTTGTTTTCCTTATTTCCAACATCTTGACACAGGGCCTCACTGTCCTGTACAAACTGTAATATCTAAAAAAAAAATCCTCAAGAGAATGACATTAAGATAGTTCAGCTCCGCAAAATAAAATGCTATCCCAGGCTAAGTATTCTTTTTATCTTAACAACCACTAACAGGGCTGAATGCACCTTCACTAACTCCGGAAGCTTATCAAAGGTCTGTAGGTAAAGCTGAGTGTGAAGGCACTTCCAAAAGGGGTTTGGCCCATCTGAAGTTGAAGAGACCAGCCTCACTCTGCTTCAGGGTCCTTCAGTCTCTTCAAAGAGAAAATGGAACTTTTCAGCATATAAATCCCAGGAAAGAGGGTGAACAAGCTAAAGCCCTTGAATTTGTTCCAAGGAGGATACTGTCTGTCTTAAAATTATAAGCCTATGTGTGTTTTGTTTGTTTGTTTGTTTTTGTTTTTGAGACAGGGTGTCACTCTGTCACCCGGGCTGGAGTACAGTGACATAATCTCAGCTCACTGCAACCTCCGCCTTCCGCCTCAGCCTCCCTAGTGGCTGGGACTACAGGCATGAGCCACCATGCCCAGCTAATTTTTGCATTTTCTGTTAGAGACGGGGTTTTACCATGTTGCCCAGGCTGGTCTCGAATTCCGGGGTTCAAGTGATCCACACATCTCGGCCTCCTGAAGTGCTAGGATTACAGGCATATGAGTTTTTATGATAAAAATAATGCTTGCTTTTAGAAATTTTGGAAAATGTAGAAAATGCAGAAAAAAGAAGAAAATCGCCATAACTCTACCATGCTGAGACCACCTGTGTTTATATTTTTGTATATTTTTGCTTTGTTCTATATAGTTGTATTTCATAATTGGATGCAGTTATATACACAATTTTCATACTTTTTTAGTTATAAAGAATTCCTCCATGTTATTATAATCTCTCTTCAAACATCATTTTAAATGACTGTAAAATATCCCATCAAGTTGATCAGTTTTCTCAAATGCGAACTGCAGAACATCTGCATCAAAATTATATGTGGTATGTTAAAAATGCAGACTTTTGGATCTCACCCCAGATCCATTAAATCAAAATCTCTAGGGGAGGAGGCTGGGAGTCTTCATCTTAGTAAGTTTCTCAAGCAACTCATGAACTTACGAAAGGTTGAAAACCACTAAAATTAGTGCAACCGTGGTTGTACATAACCTTATATGAAATGCTGGACATTTCGGTTGTTTCCAGTGTATTCTTTTATAAATAACTGTGTGTACAACATCTGTGTGCATAAAGCATCTTGCAAATTTTATAGCATTTCTTTAGGGTGGTTTCCCAGAAGTGATATTATGATGTCAAAGGTGTGAACCTGTTAAAGATGCTTGATAAACACACAACACACCTGCACACACGTTTAACCACATGGTCTGCTCAGGTTCCAGGGAGAAGTGTGTTGCCAATTACTTATCTGTATAGCTCTTATTTTCCAGCTCTTTTCAACAGTGTTCTATCTTTATTGCTGAAAATAATGAGTCGGGTCACAATAAAGTAGGTAAGGAATGAGCAGACAGTCAATAAAATGTCCTTTAGTGATACAAGAAGACTCTGGCCTAACCCCATGCAAAACCAGAGCAGCAGATAGCCACAGGGACTCCAAGGACTCCAGACATCAAACAGAACTCCAAAGGACACAGTAGCACTCCATTGTACCCCTGTCCTACGTGCCACCGGGACAGTGCTCTCCTCAGTTCAAGGTCATCACCAACATTTGGAGGCAGCTGCACAGCAAGGATTCATGTGTAGGTAGGGGCTGGTCTCACCCTGCCCGACATAGAGGGATCTTTTTTTTTTTTTTTTTTTGAGACAGTCTCGCTCTGTTACCCAGGTTGGAGTGCAGTGGCAATCTCGGCTCACTGCAACCTCCGCCTCCCGGGTTCAAGTGATTCTCCTGCCACAGCCTCCCAAGTAGCTGCGATTACGGGAGCCCACCACCACGCCCGGCTAATTTTTGTGGTTTTAGTAGAGACAGGGTTTCGCCATGTTGACCTCGGATAACAAAGATCACAGCAGCAGACAGAATGTGGGGGCCCCAAAGAGGAAAATGGGCTCACAGAACCCTAATGTGCTCAGGGGAGGGCAGCTTCTAGATAGGGGGAGAGCTACAAAATGGAATGTTAAGTGCATAGCAAACACACTGTTCTTACTGTGTGTTGAAATGGCTTAGAGGAGAGGTAATCATATAGAGACATGGGCAACCAGTCTCCTTAGGGCAACCAGAACTCATTCATTTGTTTAACCAGTATTTATACAGCATTTATTATGCACTAGGCAGTGGTCTAAACGCTTTACAAATGTTAACTTATTCCATCCCCCCAACCAACATATAAAGTATCATCACTCCCATTCTACAGATGAGGAAACTGAGACATGGAGAGTTTAAGTAACTTGCCCAAAGTTGCACAGCTAGGCCAGGTGCTGTGGCTCACGCCTGTAATTTCAGCACTTTGGGAGGCCGAGACAGGTGGATCACTTGGGGCCAGGATTTCCAGACCAGCCTGGGCAGCATGGCAAAACCCCATCTCTACAAAAAAAATGCAAAAAATAGCTGGATGTGGGGGCATGCACCTGTAGTCCCAGCTACTCTGGAGGCTGAGGCATGAGAATTGCTTGAACCCAGGAGGCAGAGGTTTCAGTGAGCCAAGATCGCACCATTGCACTCCAGCCTGTGTGACAGAGTGAGACTCTATCTCAAAACAAAACAAAAAAACAACCAAAGTTGCACAGCTAGTAAGTGGTGGAGCCAATATTTAAATCCAAGTAGCCTAGCTCCAGAGTCCATGATTTTAGCCTTGGAAGGAAGGACTGAGAAGCATGAGAAACCAATATACAGCAAGAAAGGTCAGTGGGTGACCCCTGGACAGACGTCATCAGCCATGTCATTGAGTCTATCCTTGGGGGACTTTCACCTCACGCTATTTTCAATTCATGCATCCCAAGATTAGGACAGTTCATGAAACCAAAGTGGGCAAAGCTGAAGCCACAGAGTGTATTCAAGTGTCATTTACAGCAGAGACTCTACCTGCTAACCCTTACGCACCAGCACATATTAGAAAAATGAAGTTGTTCATTACAAACCATCCTTTCAACACTGGTCTCCACCTACCCCCCCCCCCCCACTCCAGCTGAGTGGGCACTACATTATGCAGCTGGTGCATGCAGTGGGTTGGCTGAGCATCTGGTATCTTCTGGAGCAGCACGGTAGATCTGCCTGTGAGAAAGCCCCAGACACCTGCACGCTCCAGGAATACATGCATACATGCATGGCCTGTGTGCAGCACTCCCCACGCCTCCCCAACCATCTGGGACAGCAGGGGCCACCCCCTTGGTCACCCTGCCTGCTGGCTTCAGGCTGTGTTGCCTAAGCCCCTGGGGCGCCTTCTCCCTAGTACAACAACTCCTCCCTTAGAGAACACCTCTGCCCCCCAAGGACTGCAAAATCCATCATCAGAATCCATCATCCCTCGCCTCCAAGGCCTTCCACCACTGCAACTAATTATCTGTGTTGTAAACTCCCATGTGGAAACAATCTACAGGATTTTTCATCAGACCTGGCCGGCAGGCTAGCAGCTCACACGCCTGCCTGTAGACTGGAGCAAGCCAGCCTCCCCCTTTTAAACAAACACATTAAGTTAATAATAACACGGACCAAGTTTGACAGCCACATTTACTAATTAATTCTCATTTGCTCCTTCTGTTAGGAAGGCGGGTAGGACTTGCCTGGTTTACAGATGAATTAAGGCTGCAAACAGATTTCTCTTAAGGTGGCACCAAAAAATTTAACCTGGAGCCTTCCTCCCAGTCAGCCTTCTCCTCTTCCCTACCCCTTGGGTGATTCACTTTACCTAAGCTCCCCAAGGCAGTGTTCAGGATGGAGAAGATCCTAGTGGTGACCAGTCCCTGCCCCTTGACAGAGGTGTAGATGGCTCTTCACAGCACCCCCTTTCATTCACCTGGCCATGCAGATGCACGCGGGGACCTCAGCCATCGCATCATTCCATTCTCACCACCCTCCTCCAGGAGAGTTGGTTATGATCCCCATCTCCCACAGGGGTAACCACAGCTGAGAGGTCAAATGACACATCAAGATCAGTGGGCTCAGAAGCAGAAGGCCAAAAGCCCATTGTCTGCGGCCTTCCCCTTTACCTGGGGATGACTGGTTAGGAAATTTGTCCCAGGTGACGAAACAGCCAGCTTCAGGAAAACAGAATTCTCCATGCCTAGCCTTGGGCTCTGACCACAAAACCCACTCTGGCTCCTCACACCTATCTATAAAGGCCTCTGAGCTCTGGGCCTGAAGGAGCTCACCTCACCTGCTTGTGGGCTTCGGTGGAAGGACGGTGGATCCTTCTAGGAAGCTGCTTCTACTCTGCAACTTCTATTCCCTTAATCCAAATAAGAATGCTGTTGCCCAGGCTGGACAGCCCTGGACTAATGTCATCAGCCATGCCATTGAGTCTGTGCTTGGGGGACCTGCAGCCCACGCTATTTTCAGTTCATGCATTTCAAGATTAGGACAGCTTGTTGGGATGTTCTCTGTCCACATGTCTTAAACTCACATCCTAGCTTCTCTCCCTTCTATTTCACTTACTGAGCATTTTCTACGCACCAAATGTTCTACTAGGACCATCCATTAACATTTTAGATTATGTTTTCTTCTTGTAACAACCCTACAAGGCACGTATTATTCTTTTACAGTGCTGGTTTTACAGATGGGGAAACAAAGGCATAGAGAGCTTTCATTCCTCCTAAGGATTACGTGGCTGGCATGCAGCAGAAGTGCAATCCGCCTTCAGACTCTGAGTTTAAGGCTCTAGTCTCCAGCTGATAGGAGGCACCTTTCCTAAGCTCTGTAGCTCTTACCCTCCCACTGCAGAGGGTGCTGAACTCTTGGGGCTAATGGCCCCCACAGTCACATTTTTTCAACGGGTAATGGCCTGTACAGCTGGTGACAGCATGCGTCATTTCCCAAGAATACTCAGGGGCCTAGATGCAGAAACTGACACCCCCACCTCTACCCTGGCTACTGGGCAAGGGGCATCAGCTGACTCTGAGGGCTCAGAGCACCAGGCTTCTTGAGATTGTTCTAAAAAAAGAAAAAAAAAAAAAGGAAGTTCATTTGGCTTCCTGCTCAGTCTAGGACTGGCTAACCACGTCCCGCCTGGGATCAGCATGGTGGCCAGGACTTCATGAGTAATAAATAACACCACCAGGCTCTTCTTGAACCTAGATCCCCATAACCAACAACAGCAGCTGGTGTTTTCTGAGGGCCTCCCTAAAGACCCACAGCTCTGTGATAGACAAGACCTCATGTATCCCCATATGTCCTCATGAGCCAGGGGAAGAGGGGTGGCCAAAGGGACTCTCCTCCTTATTTTAAAGATGGAGACACTGGATCACAGAGGGGAGACAGGGCTTGCCAGAAGTGAGTGGCAAGACTGAAACAGGTTGCATTATCTGCCAGGATACCACAAGACCTCTCCACCCCTCTCCCGGGTCCATGAAAGAAAGAATACATTCCTAGGTCTCCCAAAGCAGCTGGACTGGAGCTGGCTCCACAGTAATTGTTTAAAGAAAAAGCAGTGGCCCTGATGGGAAGGAGTCTGATGAACGGGGTGAACACAGTTTGGCCATTATCTGCAGGCCCGCCTCCCTGTGAGCTGCCCTGCACCAAGATAACACAGCAGGCTGCGCTGGACACAACTGGCTGCTGTGGACTCCACCTTTCCTCCATGCTGGGTTCCAAACACAAGATAGCAAAGACACTGTTTGCCTAGAGAGCCTAGTTTTAACCCCAGGCTAGCTATGGCAAGGCCCAGCTGGGGGATTTCTATCCTTCCCTGCCTCAGGTGGGGAAGGTCCACTGAGCAGAGAGCTTGCCAGGTGAGGCTGCCAGGTAAGAAGGCTCATCTCCCTGAGCAGAGGGGTGTAGCTGACTCCAGCCTCCTCAGAGGGTCTCCCCAGGCAGGACCTTGGGCTCGGGCTCTAGGAACCTCTTTGGAGATAGCCCAGATAGATGGGCAAGGTCCTGACAGGTTAGCCAGGGATCTCGATTCCCTCTTCCCTAATCCCAACTCCTAACTTCCAGTCCCTCCCCCTGACCCTTCCCCTCCACTGGCTTCTATCACCCCCAGCTCACCCACAAGGTCTCCTCGTTCAGACCCATGCAGGCCGGCCCTAGGCCTCACTTTCCAACAGTTTCTTCTAGCCCAGGCCTGGTGACTGGCTTCTGCAGAGAATGTTAGGGCTGAAAGGACCCTAAAGAGCCACCCCTCTGCATTTTACACATGAAGAAACCATGACCCAGAGAGACCGCCACAGATCCAGGGCTACCATTTGGTAATGGCAGAGACAGACTGGTTTCCAGGAATTCCGGAAATGTTTGCTCCACCAACCTGCACACAGAAAGTCAAATGAAGGTAAGTTCATCCATTTACAGATGAGCAAACTGATGCCCAGAGAGGTAAAGGGGCCTTCCCAAGGCTCACATTCACACTGTTTGTTAGTGTGATCTCTTAGATACAGACTAAATGGAGAGGCCCCTAATCCTATGGGTGACAGCTGATGCGCAGACAGCGTGATTTTGCAACCTCACTTAGTCGCCTGTTAACAAGTAGCTCTGAAAATCCTTCCGTAGGGCTGCCCTAAGTCCCTCCCATCTACAGGATGCTGCTACTCCTCGGAGGGGCACTGCCCCCAGGAGAGCTTCTCTGCATGGAGATTAATGCCCAAGTCAGAAAAGAAGCCGATGAATCTGGAAAAGAAAGAGGGCCAGACAGTCTTTCTATTTTAACATTTTTTTCAGATGGAGGAAATTCTAAATTATTCTAGTACCCAAACCACTAGTTGCCTGGAAGATGCCTGCTGATCCTTCAGTTGCAGGTACCTTGCTACTAGAAGGCCAGGTTTGCATTCCAGCTCAGCAGCTACATGCATGTGGTCAAATTTCTTCACCCCTTTGAACCTGCATTTCCTCATTTGTCAAATAGGAATATTACCTCCCTTTCCCTGCCTCTTGGTGAGGTTGAAATTAGAAAATGGATGTAAAAGAATGCTCTGATTTGAAAATGTTCTGAAGACATATGCGATTACTCATTATGAATACAATATTCTCCTTTCTGTATTTGAGAAAGGCCCTTTGTTGGCCGGGGGTGGCGGAGGACTTAGGTAACTCAGCCAGGTTGCTCCCACCAGCCTGATTTAATGGACTCCTCTCTTAATCACCACAGCTTCTCTCTCCTTGTGCCTGACTCTTTCTGAGCTTTCTGAGCTTTGCAATCCCCAGCTCACCCCCCCAACACGCCCCCACAGTCCTTCTTCCCAACAGTTGCCAGCCCACCCTGGCCATAAACGGGTAGAACCCACAAGGGCTCTCAGGAAACAGCTTCGCCCTTGCCTTCTCCCACTCCCAGGTCCTCTCTGACCCAGAAGAAGCTCACATGTCCCCTTCTTTCCCCACAGTTGTGTCAGCAAAGTAAACTGGAGGCTGGTTGACCCCCAGTCTCTAAAGTAGGCCAGAGCCCCAGTGCTCTCAGGTGAATTCCAGGGCTTAGTATGGGAAGGTGGGAGGTGGGCTGGGGCCAGCCTGGTGGTACCAACCCCTGGGTACTTACAATCCTCTGAACCCCACACTGAATCAGAGAGAGAGGCTGGGAGCTGGCATTTATTAATCCTCTATTCTATGCTGGGCACTTTGCCCACATTAGAGCTACTTCTCATAACCCATGGAGAGGGTTAGTATCCTCGTTTAACAGGTGAGGAGAAACAGGTTCCAAGATACTAAGAAACATACCCATAGTCACACAAGACTTCAGGGATGAACAGGAATCCAAATCCAGGGTTCTCACCTCTAGGCTTGGGCATGGGTGTAGATCCCACACCCACAGTCACTTATTGAGTCTATATATATAGCAGGTTTACTGGAGTAGATCAAAAGAAAAGAAAACATACAAATTCCCTAGACTTCTGGATTTTTTTAATCATGATCTCAAAATAAGTAGTGGAAGTGAATATTAAAACTAAAAATAGTTGCTGTTAAGGTAGATATCTTTAATATTATTGTGTTACTTTCTCAAAAAAAAGATTCCTTCCTAACCATTTCCTTTTCCCAAAGTGAACAGCTGCTGTACATAAACAGTAGCCATTAGTATTCATTGACCACTCACTACGCACAAAGCCTTCTATGGGAATGCTCTCATGTAATCTGCCAACAGTCTATGCAGTAGGTTCTACTGTTATCTATTTTATAGATAAGGAAACTGAGATGCAAAAATATGGAGAGATTTGCCCCAGGTCACTGAGTTACAGACTTCGAACCCTGATGTTAGAGCCTGTACCCTGACCCATTAAACTTAATATTCCCAGCTCTGGGATTTCCTGGACCAAGGTATGGAGCCTAACCCAATGAAGGTGTGTGTGCTAGTGCCAGAGAGTCAATACGCCTCAGTAACTATTGAGTGGAATGGAGTAAAGACAAGAATGAGTAGGGGGAAATGGATGACTTGCTGGGGGTCTTGGGAGTGACTCGAGCACTTGGAAGTGGGGCGGGCAGTAGGGGGAGGGTTGGCCTTAAGCAAGGAGTTCTGAATCCTTCTCACTGCCACCTAGGAGGGCACAATGGAGATGGGGGGCAGTTGCAGACAGCTTCAAGGGAGTCAGGCCCTCCCTGGACAAGCTGCAGCTCAGCCTCAACCCTCATCCCACCTGTCCTACCTGGGAGATGCTGACCTCCCAGGACAACACCTCCAGGGTGTCATCTCCACCCAACCAAGGTGGGGCTGGGAAACCAGATGTGCCTGCCACAGGTGGGGCTGAGGCCAAGAGGACACCCATGGGAGGGAGCCCCAAACCCACAAGCGTTTGCTGAGCTTTGACACAGAAGGCAGCCAGGTGAGGCTGACAAGCTCTGCTCCAGGAGTCACCATCTAGGAATACCTCAGAAAGGACCATGGCTCCCACTTTCCTGCAGAGGAAAGCTTCCTGGAGTCCTCCAGTCTGCCCATTCTTCTCCTCTCTCCAAGTCCCCTTTCTGCCTTCCACTCCTACCCCCAACCATAATCTAGCCTCTGCCTACCTCTGCTCTGCCCCCTTCCTCCTCAGGGTCCCACAAAACACCGCCCCTTTCTTTTCCCCCCAAACACCCCGTCTCTTTTGCTTCTAAAATGCTTTTCCCTGCAGTGTTTTCTCTGCGTGGGATGCTCTTTCTCTATGTGTCTCTTGCGACTCTACTCAATCCTGCTTGTCTGTCAATCCTCTATTTTTATTTATTTATTATTTTTTGCCAGGAGAGGGGATGGAGTTTTGCTCTTGTCACCCAAGCTGGGGTGCAATGGCATGATCTCAGCTCACTGCAACCTCCACCTCCGGGGTTCAAGTGATTCTCCTGCCTCAGCCTCCCAGGTAGCTGGGATTACAGGCACACACCACCACGCCTGGCTAATTTTTGTATTTCTAGTAGAGACGGGGTTTCACCACGTTGGCCAGGTTGGTCTCAAACTTCTGACCTCAAGTGATCCACCTGCCTCGGCCTTCGAAAATGCTGGAATTACAAGCGTGAGCCACCGCACCCAGCCCAATCCTCTATTTAGATGCCATCCCTCCAAAAAGTCTTTCCCGACCACCTGAGAGATTAGATCCCCTGCCATGTTTCCAGAGCATATGCTGCCTTGGCCATGATTCGTAGACTCACTTACTTGCTTTTAATGTCCACCAGGGCATAGACTGTGTCTTTTTGGTTCATGACCCGACCCCTATTCCCTAGCACAGGACCTGGCACATGGCACTTGCTCTTCCACAGCTTCCAGGGCCTCAGACACAGCACAAGTCTGACCCAATTTGTTTCAGGGAGGCTGAGGAATAGAGTGCAGGGGATTCTTGAATTCGCTTGAATATAGGACTACAAGGCTCTGTTGGAAATAGAAATCTTTTGTCAGATGCCCAGAGCCCCAGAGGCCAAGTGAGAGACAGAGTTGCCATGTCCACTGCTTTTCAGGTAAAATGCCCCCCAACTCCACGTGTGGAAAGCCTTGCATTTCAGCTCAAGCGTCCACTCAGCCAGCTTCTTGCAGGAAATCTGGGGGTGGGGGTGGGGTGGGAGGTACAGGGAAAATCTCTAAGCCAAGCAGGCCTTGGCCAGCTGAAACCCAGCCTTGGTCCAGAAACCCATACTGCCCTCCACCCACATAGCTACTCCACTCCCACCCCCACCCCCAGGGACCAGCCGGCAAGAACCTAAGCTTGTATAAACAAGGCCACAGGAAAGCAAGACCCTTATCTGTTATCAGTTCTCTTTCTCCAGCTCAGCCACTTGGCTGGAACAGCAGCCGGGAGGTGGGAGCTGGCCAGACTCCTCCCCCTTCTCCTTTATCTTTCCTCCCTAGCCAGCTTCTCCTCCCCCGGAGGTGGCTCAGGCTCCCTGGGTCACTGCTTCCCGCCAGCTGGAGAAGGGAGGCAGCAGCTATCTTAACAACCTAAGTCAAGGCCGAGTCTCTGATTGTCTGTGCCGGGGAGGCTCCCTCCTCCATCCTTCCCTCCCTCCCTCCCTGGCTCCCTAGGGATGGGGTCACGGATGTGTTTATCTTGTTGGAGGAGGTAGGGAGGGATGGTGGGCCCCAGTCTGTAAGTCAGTTGAAGGGTACAGAGTGACCACTAGGGTCCTAGGCTTTAGCTTTGACATCTAGGACAGGAGGGTTGCATTTTGGTCTTCATGATGTTCAGCTGTTTAGTTGGAACAAGACAGATGAGAGTTCATTAGGTGCAAGGTCTCCTCCTGCCCAAAAATTCTGTGACGACCAGATAGAAAGCTGCGGGGGAAGGTTATTGGCTGGGTGAGTCTGACTGTCTGACTCGTCTCCACTTTGGACTTCTAATTACATAAGCCTGGTACTGACCCAGAAAGAGGGGGCGGCTGGCTAATACTCCCCAGAATGTTATGTTACACCAGAAGCATTCCAGCCTGAAGGAAACCTGTGAGTCTAAGACTTCAGTTTTAATAAAATGAAAATATCTGAGCCACATCCCTAAAAAGATAGATTTCTGTACCTCCCAGATCAACTGAAATGAAGATGGAGGAAAAGCCAAGTCTTCCTCCCTCACCCAGCCACATGCGCTTCCCTTCTCCCACCATATTCTAGGAGGTCCTTGGAGAAGGTCAAACAGGGAGAGTGGACTCCACTGTCACTGTCCCAAAGCAAGACAAATGAGGGTACCGAGGGGGTGGAGTACCTGGAATTTACAACAATATAGCAAGATTCAAAACCTGGCTGAGACCTGGCGCTGTGGCTCATGCCTATAATCCCAGCACTTTAGGAGGCCAAGGCGGGTGAATTGCCTGAGGTCAGGAGTTCAAGACCAGCCTGGCCAACATGGTGAAACCCTGCCTCTGCTAAAAATACAAAAATTAGCCAGGCTTGGTGATGCATGCCTGTAATCCCAGTTAGTCTTCTCAAGACTCTTCCCTTGTGAAGCTTATATTGTATTTTGGGTTTTTTTGTTTTGTTTTGCTTTTTTTGTTTGTTTGTTTGTTTGTTTGGAGAGACAGGGTCTTGTTCTGTCACCCAGGCTGGAGTGCAGTGCTACGATCATAGTTCACTGCAGCCTCCCTTCCTGGGCTCAAGCAATCCTCCCACCTCAGCCTCCTGAGTAGCTAGGACTATAGGCATGCACCACCGTGCCTAGCTAATTTTTTAAAAATTGTTTTGTAGAGACAGGGTCTCATTATGTTTTCCAGGGTGGTCTCAAACTCCTCGGCTCAAGCAGTCTTCCCACCTCAGCTTCCCAAAGTGTTGAGATTACAGGCGTGAGCCACCATGCCTAGCCATTATATTTTATTCTTACATTTGTTTATAACTCCATCTCAAGACAGTTGTTCACCAACTGGATTTTGAGGTCTCTGTATCTTCCAAGAATTTAGGTCCCCCTAGCCTAAAACAGTGCTGACTTAAGGACCCTTTGTGTGGTAGACCTTACTATTGGATGAACATTATACTTCCCTGCCCCAGGAGAGTTGAGGTTTGGCCATATGACTTGCTTTGGCCAGTGAAATGTGAGCAGCAGTGACAGGCGTCACTTCTAGACAGAAGTTTTAAGAATTAGTGAGTGATTCCGTATGTCAATCTTTTTTCCCTCTGCTGTGAAACCATGAGTTCCCCAGATCCAGGAGTCCCAGTGTCACGCCATCAGCCCAGGAGTGAAATCAACAGAGCAGTCCGTGGCCAACTCGCAATGAACATGTATTACAAATGAAAAATAACCTTTCTTATTGTAAGCCACCAAGATTTTGTGATTGTTATCACAGCATAACCACACCCACCTTGATGTTGTTTTTGTACACTAGTTGTGTCCAATAAAGGTGATTAGACAGGTTGTTTTCTATCTCCCTACTGACTTTTTTTTTTTTTTTTTTTTTGAGACAGGGCCTCACTCTGTGGCCCAAGCTAGAGAGCAGTGGCGCGACCCCAGCTCACTGCAGCCTCAACCTCCTGGGCTCAAGCGATCCTCCCACCTCAGCCTTTCAAGTAGCTGGGACCACAGGTGCATGCCACCACACCCGACTAATTTATTATATTTTTTGTAAAGATGAGGTTTCACCATGTTGCCCAGGTTGGTCTCGAATTCCTGAGCTCAGGCGATCTGCCTGTTTCGACCCCACAAAGTACTGAGATTACAGGCGTGAGCCACCGCGCCTGGCCTCCCTACTGACTTTTCACTGGGAAATGATTGACTGATGCCGGTAGATGACACTAAACCCTCCATAGACTATGTGTAGCTTCATTTGTTATATTCATGGCTCTCCCACACTGTTCTTCCTGCCACTCCTAAAGGACAAGGCTTTATCAATCTGGGTTGTAATGTCCCATTTTTTTTAATTGGTGGGACCATCTAATTCATACTTTTATGTATCCTAGCCTGAACATTCGAGGTGAGTCAACTGGTTGTATCAAGGATACCCACATCCTCATCCTCTTCCCCCACTCTGAGTTCAGAGCATTCTGCATTGGCCCTGTTTGTCCCATGGCCCCATGGCAGCACCCTCCCCTGCGGCCAGCCATCCTTGCCCTTTACTGTGTCTCCCTGCTTCCTTGCCAAAAGCATTTGCCTTTGGGGCTGCTGTGCACCTTTCCTCTTTCTGTTACTTCCTGGCCAGCCCAAGACAGGCTGCAGATGTTGGAGTTTCTGAAGTTTGGAAAGATGGTATGCTCATACAGAAATATTGAGTGTTGGCTGGACACGGTGGCTCACACCTGTAATCCCAGCACTTTGGGAGGCTGAGGCAGGTAAGATCAAGAGTTCGAGACCAGTCTGGCCAACATGGCAAAACCCTGTCTCTACTACAAATACAAAAAAATAGCGGGGCATGGTGGCGTGTGCCTGTAATCACAGCTGCTTGGGAGGCTGAGGAAGGAGAATTGCTAGAATCCTGGGAGCAGAGGTTGCAGTGAGCCGAGATCACGCCACTGCACTCCAGCCTGGGCCACAGAACAAGACTTCATCTCAAAAAAAAAAAAAAAAAAAAGAAAAGAAAAAAAAAGAAATATTGAGGTTTATCCAGGCAGGGATTGAGGCTGCCATCTGTGCCATTTGGTAGAAAGGAGGCTGAGATGTGGGTCAATGTGGGGGAGATTTATTGACCTTTGCCTCACATGACAGACGGAGCCGTGGAGCAAGAGGGAAAGCCAGGGGTGGACCCAGCAGGTAGGACAGGGGAAGAAAGAAACAGGGGTTTTGTGATGCCAACAAAGTATCAGGAGCTCTGGTCCATCCCCCTCCTAGCCCAGAGCTCCTCCCTTCTAGGAGACACAGGAAGGGAAGTTCTATTTTCTTTGCCTTCTTGGAAACCCAGGTAAGCCAGGTATGTGTGTGCATGTCTGAGAAGAAGAGGGGCTCAGGACCACAAGAGAGGAGGGGGCTGCAGGGAGGAGCACCCTTCTGGATCCTTAGCCTCTCCTCTCACCCTGCTCCAAGGCTGCACACAGCAGCAGATCCTGGTACAAGTTCTGAGTCCTGGAAATGGGGAGGAGAGAGACAAAGGGTCAAGGTGAAGGCCTTGGGAGTGTATGTGGGTGGAGGCAACCGAAATTCTTCAGTCCTCTCCCTCTTCATGCGCTAATAAATGTGAAAGCCCTTTGTAAACTGTGAAACATCACTGAAATGTAGAGTAGTGCTGTGGTGGTTGTGATGATGATGATGATGATGATTTACTCTCCCTTTTGCCCCAGGAGTCTGCCCAGGTTCTCACCTGATGTCATTCCAAGAGAGTCTCAGAGTGACTCTGGCACCTAGCATGAGTCAACCCCAGGGCTCGATTTCTCTTAAGGGTACACGTCCTGGCCACGTCCCCCAGCTTGCAGGGAGCTCTGTGTTCTGTGGCATTTTGGGTGCCCTGTCTCCCCTTACCCTCCTGGCCAGGGACTCATCCTCTGGTTCCACCCACCCAAGCCCCCATCTCTCCCAAAACCACATTGCATTCACGCTTCCCCTGCACCCCTTCCCATCCAGCTGGAGATTAGCAGAGGCCTGCCTGGTCTAAACCCCTCACTGATACAAAGACTGGGGCCATCTGGAGGGCTCTAGGGATGGCTCTCAACTCAGCTCTGACGGAAGTCGATTGTCCCCCTTGCCCAGTACCTTCATGCCCCAGCCCTTTCTCCCCAGGCTACTACAGTGCCCTGGCTGCCCCCAGCACGGAACCCCACCACCCTGTCCCTACTGTGGAGCCTGCCTTCCTTGGGCAGCACCCCAAATTCCAGACCTTTCATGGCTTCTTCAGCACCTCCCAGTTTGGTGACCCATCCTACCAAGCTCTGCTTTCCCCCTAGGGGCCGCCACCCAATTACTGTAAGGCCTCAGCAGATGCTTAGGAAGCACCCAGCACTGAGGTAAGTGACATGTGGATATCAAGCGGGATGGGCTCCTCACCTTCAGGGGAGTTAGAGAAATAAAACGAGTACCTGGAAGAAGACACACATTCCAGGCAGCCAAGGCCCTGAGCAGTACTCTGTGTTCTATGGAGTTCAAGGAGTTTGGAGCTCTATGGCGTCCAGAAGTGGGACCCAGTCCTTCATGGAAGACGAGCTTTGTCTGTGTAGAGAGAGCAGGGTAGACCTTGCTGCCCTAAGGCATTCCAGAGAGATGAAGCTCTATTCTGTTTGGAAAAGACCTCCAGGGCTGGAGGCTTTGCTGCAGCCAGAACAATCCAGGCAGGTGGTTTTCCCCTTTGGCCCTTCTCAGACACAGTGTGTGCACTGTGGCATCAACACCTGCTTGTCCCCAGGAGATGGAGAACAGCCGGTCACCGGCCTCAGTGCAACAACCCTGAGTGGTGCAGAAGATGGGTGGTCAGAGAGACCTGCCACTGCTGAGAGCCAAGAAAACCAGCCAAGAGGGGCCTTTTGGGAAAGGGCTGAGCAGACAACCCGCACCCGGCACCCACTACCAGCCCTTAGTCTCTCTGACTTACAGACACATAGTTAGCTACCAGTCCAACAAGGGGTGGATGGGAGATGTTTGGGGCTCTGTGAGAGACAAGAAAATTCCAACTCTTCTGTGTGGTGGGCATCCCCACCACATGAAAACGTGGCCCAGGTTGCGAGAGGAGGTGGCCCCACAATCCCAGAGCCAGGGAGTTTACTCCCAACCGAGGAGGCTGTGAAATGAGTGTGCTTCTGCTGTGTCTGGTGGTTACACATCTGCCCAGTGTGACTGACAGCCCAGCTGATGACGGCAAAGAAGCAGGGAGGGTGTCCCTGAGAGGGTTAGACCATGGGGAAGAGGAACCCACCTGGCCTCAAGGGCTGCTCACTACTCCAGGACTGGGTTTCCTTAGAGAAACACAGAAAGAGCCCAGTGGGCGAAGGAGGTCAACTTCCTTCTGTCCGTTCCCCTTGGCCCTAACTACAGTCAGCCGCAATCATTGGAATGGCCAACATGTAGTGAGCACTTCCCACGTGCTCCTCATAGTGCTGCGCAGTGTGCAGAGGTCTCATTCCATCCTCCCTTAACAGCAATTCTGAAACGTGGGTTGGAAATATGCCCCCCCGCCACTGGACACCTGAGCAGACCTGAGGCTCAGGAGGTTTGGCAATTTTTCCCAGGGCCCCACAGCAAGAAGTGCCCAGATGTCCTCTCCAGGTTTCCCCCGTCACCACATGACATAAGCTCCGAGGATATGCACTTTTATCATTCGTATGTCACAGATGAGAATATTGAGGCTTAAAGAGGTTAAGTGACTTCCCCAAGTTTACACAAGGAGCAGGGGGCAACATCAGGAAAGAACTGCAGGCTTTTTGACTTCAGAGCCCATGCTTGTAATCACCACTTTCTACTGCCTCTCTTCCAATCCCCTACCCATCCCTCACACAAGGAGCAGAGTGGGGTTCAGCCTATTTCTTCCAGAAAGAGTCCCTTTCTCCGAGAGTAATATGATCTATAACATGAAGATGCACACAGGGGAAACACATCCAGCATGAGGACAGGCTCCTCAGAGCCATGGAGGCACAGGTGTGACCGTGATAAGTACAGAAAAGAGGGGGTCGTGCTGGGTAGCACCTCATCCCATACTTTTCAACAGACCTAGCATTTAATCTGCTCTTTCTCTGCCCCTTAATTATTTTATTTTATACTAATAATAATAATATATATATATTTTTTGAGATGGAGTCTCGCTCTGTCTCCCAGGCTGGAGTGCAGTGGCATGATCTCAGCTCACTGCAACCTCTCCCTTCTGGATTCAAGCAATTCTCCTGCCTCAGCCTCCTGAGTAGCTGGGATTATAGGCACACACCACCATACCAAGCTAATTTTTTTATTTTTAGTAGAAACGGGGTTTCACCATGTTGGCCAGACTGGTCTCGAACTCCTGACCTCAGGTGATCTGCCTGCCTCGGCTTCCCAAAGTGCTGGGATTACATGTGTGAGCCACCACACCCGGCTTTTATTTTATTATTTTTGAGACAGGACTCATTCTGTCACCCTGGCTGGAGTGCAGTGGCACCATCACGGCTTATGGCAGCCTTGACCTCCCAGGCTCAGACCATCCTCCCACCTCAGCTTCTTGAGTAGCTGGGACTACAGACGTGTGCCACCATCCCCAGCTAATTCTTTGTATTTTTTTGTAGGAACGGGGTTTCTCCATGTTGCCCAGGCTGATCTCGAACTCCTGGATTCAAGTGATTCCCCCTGCCTCAGTTTCCCAAAGTGCTGGGATTACATTACAAGTGTGAGCCACCGTGCCGGCCTGTGCCCTTAATTTGAAAAACAGTTCCCTTAGTAATATCATGTGAGCATGGAATATCGTTGAATGAGACATCATCACGTCGATGTCTTTTTTATTGCTTATCACGGGTTGATGGTGGGGAGAAAAGGTGCCTCCTACTAAGGCACAATGGCACAACTGCCAAGAGGCCATGTCCCCTAAACACCAGCTTACTGTCCCCCCACCCAGCCTCGGGGCCGTGGCTGACCTCAGCCCCGACAGCAGGCCTTGTGCTGTAGGAGAAACTCCCTTCACCAAGAGAAGGCTCGGGAGATCCAGAACATGCCTGCATCTCGGAGAATGCAAGGCCTAGGGCTGGGGAATATGGGGAGGGCCTCATTTTCTCACCTGCCAGCCTCACACAACCTCCAAACTGTCCTGAAACTGTTTCTTCAAACCAGGAAGATCACCCTGACTCAACTGAGAGGAGCCTCCAGAAGGATGAGATGGACTTGTGACTAAAGGCCAGTTCCTCTCCCACCCTGTCCTCTCTCCTGAAAAGGATTTAATTGAGCATCTATACTCCCTCTCTCTGCATGTCTGCAGCACACCAAATCAGTGTGATTAGGGACACTGTGGCAAGTTAGTGTTCTGGCTTGGCCTCAGGGTCCCGTGGAGACAGGTCCAGCGGTGCTTCAGCCCTGGGCTCAAGCTGTGGCAGGGAGAGAGGCAGTCCAGCGGCAGCAAGGATGGGAAGAGCAGCTGGACACTCAGAGCATCGTCACCACAGCAGAAGGCAAACTCCAGCCCTGCCGCTCCCCTCTCCTCCACTTTGCTAAAACAAGCCAGAGAAGAACTGCAGGCCTTCCCAGAGGACCCTCACCTGCCAGCCTCTCTAGCAAGTCTGAATGGAGGCCCCTCCCTGTCTACTTAGCCCTCTCCAGTGGTCCGGCACTACATTCCTCGCTCTATAATTTCTTCTACCTTGATCTTTAAGCGTTTTCTTGCCTGTGTAATCATTTCACCTTTCATGCCTGTTAGTGCTGTTTCTGAAAGAAAAGGGACTGTGTCATAGTCATAGCTGCACCCCGGGTAATATCCACAGACACATAGTAGATCTCAGGAAATGCTTGTTCTGAGAGTGGCTGGGCAGGGTAAGTTAGAACCCACCCCGGTGCTCCCTGCTCTTTCCCCACGCTGCTACCAAAGCACCAGCCCTCCCACCATCACCTTCTCTGTTTCCCTGCCTCTCTGCACTGAGAGTCCTGGAGTCAGCACTCCTGTCCACTCACATTGGAATCCTCCTTGCCTAGCATGGTGGCTGGCACATAACTGTTATTGGTATTCACTCATTTCACATTTATTCCACGCCTTCCATCATGTATGTCTTAGAATGCTTTCTACACAATGTCTTTGATTTTTCAACAACAACTCCATAAGAGTCCATAAGGTGGGTATTCTCCCGTTTTACAGCTGGAAAAACTAAGGCAAGCAGAAGTTAAATGCCTTGACCAAGGCCAACCAGTGTGGCAAAATGTCTTGACCGAGGCCACCCAGCGTGGCAAGGAGAAGTTCAATGCCTTGACCGAGGCCACCCAGGCAGAGGCAAGATTCAAACCCAGGCCTCTCAGGTACCCAAAGCCTAGTTCTCTCTTGTAGACCGGCTGCTTCTCCAGCCTCAGGGTGAAAGCTCCTCCCATCCAAACATTCAAACTGTGGGTTACAGCGTGTCACTTCAGTGGAAAGTCTGTTTCTCCTCGAACCCAGGGAGAGGTCTCGGGGAGCTGCAGCCTGGAGCTTTCTACCGCTTTCTACCGCCCATGTTGGGAGCATGGGAAGCGGGTGTTTTTCTTGCTTGCGGCCTTGGTGGCCATTTCCTACAGTGTATCCGCACTGGAGAATGACAGGAAGAAGTGGCTTCCGGCTGGTGCAGGGAGGAGCCTGCCTCTGCCTGCCCTACAGAGAAGGGATTTTTTTTTTGCTCCAAAGCAGCAGCCACTCTGCCTTGCCCTTGGACAGGGAACACAGGAGAACTAGGAAATGATGAGTTTGGGGTAGTTATTACATTTGTTTTTAATACAATTGATTAAGCTTATATAATTTCATCTTTAATAATGGCTGTGTTTAACCGCTGATTTCCAAAATGCCTGAAAATCGAGCAATCAGTGCTCATGAACCAATATTATATAGGACCAATTACTTCTCAGGGCTGTTGTAAATCCAAATACCATAATGTCAGTGTTCACCAGCAGGTTGCTGGAACCAGCTGTGTGACCTTGGGCAAGCTTCTTAACCAGCATATGCTTCAGGTCTTGCCCATCTGTAAAATGAGACCATTGTGAAGATAATAGGATATATATATATATGTAAAGAACCTAGCCAGGGTAGACTGGGTGAGGTGGCTCACACCTGTAATCCCAGCACTTTGGGAGGCCAAGGTGGGTGGATCGCTTGAACCCAGAGTTTGAAACCAGCCCTGGCAACATAGGGATACCCTGTCTCTAAAAAAGAAATAATAAAATAAAATAATAAAAAAGAACCTGGCCAGGGTGGGACCAGGGTGACAGCGGCACTCACAAAGGACCAGGCACTCAGTCTCAGGGTCAGCAGCTGAATGCCTCCTTAAATTTTGTACACTAGGCCCCTCGCTTGCCTGACACTTGTCTGAGCCCCACTCTTGGCACATAGTAGGTACGTGCTATTATTTACTACAAGAGCTTCAAGGAGGGTGTAACCTAACAGCAATGTAAAGATGAGGAAAGTTATCTAATAATACATGAGAAAAACACCAGCGTGGCACATTGTCCTGGGACATATGGTAGATACCCAATGAGCTTTTCAGATAATGAGGGTTGTATTTCAGCAATGAAACCCACAGCCTGCTGAGGAGACATCTCTAGAAGATTCAGGGCTGTCTCTGAAAACACCTGCGACAAGCAAAAATTTCTTTGCGTTGTTTTGAAAGATAAAAAATACTAATCTTCAAAATGTACTTCCTGCTGCATAGTAGGTAGATAGGCACCGTAAGATTGCTCTCCCCTAACAGTGCTTCTAGTGAAATTAACAGCAGGGGATGATGGGCCTGTTAACCCTGCAGCTTCCCAAGTTCCCTGACTCAACACTGGGCACCCACCACCCAGAGTCGGTGGTTGGCGGGGAGGAAGATGCTAAGACACTGGCCCTATGTGGGGAGGGGAGGGCTGTATGGGCTGGAGGAGGTAAGCTGTCACTCATTGAGGATGTACAGAAGGGGAATTGGGGTTGATGCCTTGAATAGAATGGCTGGAAAATTCTAAAAGTATACTTTCAAAGGAGACAACCCTCAAATCTCTTCCCTAAATCATTTCCTTTTAATGCAATATTTGGGCAGATTAGGGATTAATAGTGAGGTATTGTGATAAGAGCATTGGATTTGAAATTAAAAAGCTTGGTTTCCACTCCTTACTACTTCCATAACCTTGGGCAAATCATCTGACCTCCAGAAGCTTCACTTCTCTATTTGTAAAGCAGGGACCATTGTGAGGAACAGGTGAAATGAAGTGTTATTACATAAATGTTCACAATGGCTGTGAACTGGTTGGCCATTTGAAGATCCCCAGTCAATGCTGCCAAGAGCCAGGAAGAAAGTTCCTTTGGCCTCCAAGATGCGTCAGGAGCACCGCAGGTGAGGGCCATTCATGCAGATAGATCCAGACCTTGGGAGAACCCTTGGACTTGCTCTTTTCCAAGCCTGATGATGCCGCAGGAACACAGTGGGGTTTTACATGGCAGCAGGTAACTAAGAAAGAGAAGTGAAGTGAATGAGAAAAGGCCAGAGACCTTCGGGAGGCTGGCAGATCCATCTGAACATGAGCTGTGGGGCAGTGGGGAGGTGCATGACCCAAAGGTGGAGGTATATACCCCAGGCAGCCCAAGGAACAGACCATGGCTGGACATCTCTCTCCCTCCCCACATCTCCACCGGAGCTATCACTCCACCCAAGGTAAACAGCAGAACCATATTGTCCAGTTTAAAAGCTCTTTTACTTGGCTTTTTGTAAGTGTATTTCTTCTGTGTTTTATGTGGGGAGGAAAACTAATACCTCCTGATGATGCCACCTGCATTTGAAGTGGCTGCCATTTTCTTACACTCAAAAATAAACTTCCTTTAAGGATTGATAAACCAAGGAAAGCAGTAATGTCCTATGTGATACACACCTGGTTCTTTCCACAAAAATACCTTCTATTAGGAAAAAAAATCTTATTAGATAAGCAAGTACAAACTTTTAGAAAAAAATAAACTGCTAAATTCAAATTACATGACTTTGACTCAACCTAATTCTCAGATTGGCTCTTTTCAGCTCTCCCCACCCACACACAATCCTCAATAAGTAGAGGCATAATGTGTTATCTCGCAGAGGTCATTGCTTTCTTAAAGATGATCAAGGCTGGACACGGTGGCTCATGCCTGTAATCCCAGCACTTTGAGAGTCCAAGGTGGGTGGATCACCTGAGGTCAGGAGTTCGAGACCAGCCTGGCCAACATGGTAAAACGCCGACTCTACTAAAAATACAAAAATTAGCCAGGCGTGGTGGTGGACGCCTGTAATTCCAGCTACTCAGGAGGCTGAGGCAGGAGAACCACTTGAACCTGGAAGGCAGAGGTTGTAGTGAGCTGAGATTGTGCCATTGCACTCCAGCCTGGGCAACAGAGAAAGACTCTATCTCCAAAACAAACAAACAAACAAACAAAGGAAAGGACAACGTTTAACAGAAAGCATAAGTGGAGAAGCTGCTGTAGGACAGAGACTTTCCCACACTCTAGCCAACAGCTTCTGACTCCTACTGTGCCTAAAATAGTAGAATAAACACTGGTTTTGATTGTCCACCAGATCACAAGATGCCTAAGGGCATGAGCATGTGGTAGACTATTTGCAAAAATGACTACAAGCATTCCTCTTCCTGTATCTATCCTCCTAAATATGACTTTGTAGTTTCTCCCACAGAGAGGTGGAGTCTATTCTTGAATCTGAGCTGGCCTTGTGATTTTCTTTGGCCAATGAAATATAATGCAAGTACTGTTGTGCCAATTCCAAATCTAGCCCTCTGGAGCCTTGCCTGCCCACACTCATTCTCTTGGAGTGCTGCTGCCACCATGAGAACAAGCCCCAGCTAGGGCGGTAGGATAAGAGACCACGTGGAGCACCAATAAACTGTCCTAGCCGAGGCCATCTTAGACCACCAGCCCCCAGCCTACCTGCTGGTGATCACAGATACATAAGTAAGCCCAGATGAGGCCAGAAGAACCACCTAGCTAAGCCCAGCTCAAATTTCCCACCCACTAAAATGTGAGCTAAATAAGTGGTTGTCATTTTAAGCATTAATTTTGGGGGTGGTCTATTATGTAGCAAAAGCTAACAGACACAGGGCAGGTATAGTACCTCTGTCAAGCCTCTTGGGCTCCAGTTGTGATGCTCAGCCTCTATGAACAGAAGAGGGGCTGCAGATGCTGTTGTTGGCCCACCACATCCCTTCACCCTCACCATTTCAGCGCATATCTGCCCAATTCCACCTGCCAGTCCCTGTACCTGTGCCTGTGGGCTCTGTCTAGCCACCCTCACAGAAGGTCAGAAGTGTCAAGCAGCTCTCAACCCAGGACTGAGAGAGTTAGTGTATAAATACCCCAGCTCCCTCACCACTTGGATGTGCTGTCTCTGAGGCATGTGTCCTTCACTGGCTCCCCGATCTTCCCAGCGGCATCAAGGCCTAGACACCCAGAGTGATAACTAACTTGATACAAACCCTTTACTGGCTGCCTTCTCTTTCTGACTCACTTTCCCACTCACCTAGTGGTGCTTCTTGAAATTACCTCTCAAACTACTTCCATTCAAATCCTTATCTTGGGGTTTGCTTCTAAGCAACGAAAGCAGATGGGCACCAGAGACAGGGCCACCACTCAAAGCCATTGCTGTCATCAAGCCCCTTATGACTGGGTTTCGCTACTTCTCCCACCTCAGTCAGGAAGTAGCTGCCCACTAACCCACTCCCACTGCCCCTGAGCACAAGCACCCCAGGACAGCCCACCACGTGGTCCGCAGAACTACTTCCTCCACCATCTGTCTTTGTAAACAGTTAATGCTTTGTCCTTCACTTTCCAGTCCCGTGGCTGTCTCATTTCATGCTCTGGAGGATGGAGAAGGAAAAACTTGGAAAAGAGGAAGACCCAGACTTGGAACAAAAAGGTGTGGAGCAAGCTGGGCTATCCCCTACCTGTCCCTTTTACCCTAACCAAATCTGGCAAAAGGCCCAACCTAAGCCCCCATCAGTACCTAAGCCCCTCTGTAGTACTCAGAGGAAAGAGTTCAGCAAATATAGCCCCAGCCTCCCAGGGATCAGGGATTTGTTTGTCTGCCCAGCACGTACATTCAAAGATGCTTACTGAGTGCCTGTTACCTGCCAAGCACTGCTCTGGATGCTGGGAGACAGCAAGGAATGAAACAGACCAAAGCTCTGCTCTCATGTAGCTTATATTCTAGTGGGAGGCACAATACACACATACACACAGACACTACATGTATGTATCAGCCCAGGCCAGGGGCATCTGTCTTACAGACTCATAGCACAGAGGAAGCAAAAGTGGGCATGGATTCTGAGGTCAGGCAGGCCTGCATTCAAATCCTGTCTCCGTCCTTAAGTAGCTGTGTGACCTTGGGCGTGTTGGTTAACCTCTCTGCACCTGTTTCCTCCTCTGGGAGGCAGGGAATAATAGCAGTACCTATCTCACAGCACTGTTGGAAGGATTAATGAGGTAGCACATGGCACATATAAACCCTTAATACACCTCAACTATTAAGGCAATCCTTGAGGTGGTGCCTCTGTTATATAACCTGCCATGTTTCTCTCAAACTCATCTGGCACAGGAGCCCAGTGGGGAAGGACATGAGTGAGGCTGGTGGGCTCCATTCCTTCAACATAGCCACCCTTTTCTTGCATGAAGAAGTAGTCTTTCCGCCGGGCTCGGTGGCTCATACCTGTAATCCCAGCACTTTGGGAAGCCAAGGTGGGCAGATCACCAGGTCAGGAGATCGAGACCATCCTGGCTAATACGGTGAAACCCCGTCTCTACTAAAAATACAAAAAATTAGCCAGGCGTGGTGGCGGGCGCCTGTAGTCCCAGCTACTCGGGAGGCTGAGGCAGGAGAATGGCGTGAACCCGGGAGATGGAGCTTGCAGTGAGCTGAGATGGCGCCACTGAACTCCAGCCTGGGGACAGAGTGAGACTCCGTCTCAAAAAAAAAAAAGAAAAAAAAAGAAATAGTCTTTCCTATTGCCTGTTTTTTTTAAAACACGCAGCCCTTGAGTTTTTATTTTTCATTTTTTGATAGAGATACGGGTACAGAGAAAAATTTCTCTAACATTAGAGGACAGAAAGTTCAGGAGGTCCTGGGGACACATAGGGAGTGGTGGGGACTGGGGCAAACTGGAGAGCACTTTATAAAAAAAAACAAATACAGATACTATTTACATCCACATGGCTGATGCCAAATGGGAATATGAGCCGTCTATGGCCAGATACCCCAGTTTTCCCAGAGACGCCAGAAATTTGAATAATTATTATTATTATTAAATCTTTTGATTTTTAAATGTTGGCTCGAAATATTTAGAAATATTGTATAAAGCACAGTACATTTTAATGGGTCTGTAGGCTGGCTCCACCGCATGGGCAGTGACCTTAAGACTACTCTCCTTTGCTCTTGTCTGCTAGGTCTCTACAGTCTGAGTTCTTCTGATGCAGGGACACCAAGATACACAGCTCCAGGGAGCACCATTTACATTTAACTCCTTGAGTCTCTGTGACTCAGGGAAGTATGCAGGGTTCCTCTGATACTCCCAGAGCCAGGTCAGTGTGGAGCTACAAGAGAACTTCTCTCCAAACCAGATGCTGCCAGGGGCCCAGAGTATCACAAATTGTACTATCCTCTAATTATCTGCTCTCAAGTTAGTCTATTATTGTATCCATATTTGTACAGATTATACAAATTTGTATGGATTGTATTGTATCCATTATTTGTATCCACAGGACAAAATCTGATCTGGTTAATTGATGGTTTCATTAGTTTATGTCTTGCCTCACCAACTAAAATGTAAACTCTATGCATGAGGACCACATTCTATGCTTTTTGGAACCATACAGCACCTTCTACATTGCATTAGTACCCAATACCCATTTACGTGTTGACTGATTCATCACAGAGGTCATTCTGAATTGGTTGCTATTGTGTGTGGCATTTGGGTAACACTTGAGGATACAGAAGAGGAGAGTTCTTCCAGGAGCATATGCAGAAACAGGAAAATGTATTTCCCAACAAAATTTACTTCACAACAAAAAAATTAGCCATCTCTGTGCCTTCCACTTCAACACGCACCCACCATTCAGTGCCATCCTTTGCAAGTGTTGTTTTAATGCTGTTATTAAGAATAGCTTATTTTGCATTTTCTCGCCAGTAAAATGGAAACATCCAGGCTTACTAGCCATCTCCTGGAGAGACCACAGAGAGCAGAAAGAAAGTATAAACTGATCCCATTTATAAAGTATATTTAAAATCAGAGAATAGTGGGTATGTTGTGGCTGAGCACACTATTAGATGGCTAAAACATATCAGGAAAGAAATCCTCAATTGTTCATTTGTGCCAGGGTTGAATGAGCTATATTTAACCTGATGATTATTTAATTAAATAGTTCCCTTGGAGTCTCTCTGCAGTCCTTATAATTTGTTATACAGAATACAATAGTAATTCATTTGCACTTGTATAATATTTACTCTTTGCTTCCCAGGGCTACTTTTTTTTTTTTTTTCAGTTTCGACAGGCCTAGAACCCCTAATAAAAGAGAGTTGAACAAACAGTTTGAGAACAGAGGAGTGAGTACAAACACAGAGTACTTGAATCACAAGATAGTCCAGCTGGAAGGAGCCTTGAAGATAACTGAATTCAACTCTGTCTTTTTACAAATGAAGCAACTGAGACCCAAAAAGGTCGGGTGACTCACCCCAGGACAAACAGCCGGAGAGGGGCCACATGTCCAATTCCTAATACTCATTCCACTACTCATTAACCTCAGGACACCACGGCTCCCTCAAACACCCACAGCCAGCTTTTGAAGGGCTAATCCCTTAGAATCGTGGGCTCTTAGAAGCTATGACACCTGTACCAATAGAAAAATCATCCATTCAGTAGGTAAGTGCCTGCTGAGTGCCAGGCATCAGCGTTGACATGAAATAGAACGGTGAACAGGAGGCTGGGCGCGGTGGCTCATGCCTGTAATCCCAGCACTTTGGGAGGCTGAGACAGATGGATCACTCGAGGTCAGGAGTTCGAGACCAGCCTGGCCAACATGGTCAAACCCTGTCTCTACTAACAATACAAAACTTAGCCAGGCATGGTGGCAGGCGCCTGTAGTCCCAGCTACTCAGGAGACTGAGGCAGAAAAATCACTTGAACCCTAGAGGTGGAGGTTGCAGTGAACCGAGATCGAGCCACTGCACTCCAGCCTGGGTGACAGAGTGAGATTCTGCTTCAAACCAAAACAAAACAAAACAAAAAAATTAACAAGAGCCCAGGCTCCTGCCTCACCAGATTTACCTTCAAGCTGGATGAGATAATGACAGACAAGTCAAGAATTAAATGAACTTGGCACTTTCTGAGAGTAATAAGTACTGAAATATTAAACCAGAATGGTAGATAGAGAGTGAGGAGGAGGGGGCTGCTTTGGATAGGATGTCAGAGAATCACTCTGCAATGTCCCTAACCCAGGAGAGGGAGAGTCGGGTAGGGGGAACACCTAGCTTTTGTTTGAACATTACTAACAACAGGAACTCCACTACCTCCAAAGGCCAGCTCAGTGTCTTAAAAAGGTCTTCCCCGGACTGAGCCAAAATCTGCCTCCCTGTGACTTCAAACTTCAGTAACTCATTCTCTGAGCATCACAAAAACCAGTCAGCTAATAAGTAGCATGTTCAAATGCAAAGCACATCCTAAATTAAGACAGTTGCTGCAATGCTTCAATTTGAAATAGCGTGTTTGGGAAAATACGACATACCAGGAGAATGACTTACATGTTCACATTCAGCCTGCAGTTCATAAAAGTGTTTAAAACCACCACTTCAAAGGATGTTCCGACAGCCAGCTTCTAGAGTCCCAAACCCGTCTGTGTGAGTCACCTGACATCAGTGACAGGACATACCAACTCCCTTCCGTCTGTAACTCTAGTTGGGGTTTTATAGCAACAACACTGCCAGTTCCGTTGCCCTGTCATTCGGCATGGCAAAGGAAATTTGGCTCTGTGCATTTTGCTTTCTAAGATATTCATGGAATCATGAAACAAACTACTCTTTGGCTCCCACCCTCTATCTCACAGAGAAGAAAATGGAAGCCTGGAAATAGAAAGTGACCATCAAGTTTCATCAGCAAGCAATGGCCAGGGTAGGACTTGTTCCCTTCAGCCTCCAAACTGGTGGCAGCTGCAACAATGCGTAAGCCCCAGGTTTGCTTGTATGTGGGGATGGACTTCTAAGCCTCCAGAGATAGTTAGTGCATACTTATGAAGAGAAAACCCAGCTCCCTAACTCCCTTTCATGTGAACCTGCACTCCAGCGATCTCCCCAGAAGGTCCCCAGCACCATACGCTGCTGAAGGGGTTTCCATTCAAGTGTGGGCACATTGTTTGGGTTGCAGGTGTCATCCGTTGTGTGGGAAGATGCAGCTCCTGCTCCAAACCAACCCAAAAGCTACAGGATGCACAGAGAGAAGCAGGGGTTAGGGACAACACCAAAGTTGGCACTATTTCAGCTTTTACCCAAGTCTAATAGTCTGACTGAACCAACTGCCTGGCTGCTCCTAATGCCTCAGAGCCCTCTAGGCTGGCCCAGTAAAATGGTTAGCAACAAAGGAAGAAAAACTGTTTAGGAGACAGGCCTTCCTGAGCCAATGAAGGAAGCCTCAGAGCCCTGCCCTCCTTCCCCCAGCTTGAGGCAGCTGGGGGAGGATCTGAGCGCTGGCTGTGCTGATCTGGCCGTGCCTCCTTCCTCCTCCCTTGCTGGCTTCTGCTGCTGGCTGGAGCTCTGAGAATCTACCATTTTTCCCCCTCTGAGCCCTGCAATCGCAGGAATAAATGACTTCCTTGAATGGAGAGGAACTGCTAGAATGCAGTTTAATCATAATGGACAGTATCTCTCAGAAAACAAGGCACCAAAAGAGGGAACACCGATGCCAGCAACCATGCTGGTGCCTTCTACAGCCAGCCCCAAGGTCACAAGTTTCAAGCAGACTATAAAGCTGCTAACTGATTAGAAAATAATCAGCTTAGCCCTTAGCAGCCTCCCTCCTGATCACACATCATGCAAGACAACACCCCTGTGAGTGATAAAATATGGTTTCCTCCACCCCAACCAGGCAGCAGCACCACTGAGACCAGGCGTGGCTTCAAAGCCACTGCTGCACCCAAAGGTGAGCCCAGCGCAGTTGCCAACACCACGTTGCACCTCAGCATTTCCGTTTGTAAAGGAGGCAGAAAGCGAGCCCAACCTCTGCTCACTACCCCAGGCCCCTGGGCTGCAGAGAGGGTGACCACATGTGATGGAGACATCTCAGGAAAGGACGGGCTGAGAGGAGAAATTCTCCTCCATGACTATGGGTCCCCAGGGGAGGGTGAACATCGGAACCTGGACCTGTTAAGTGGCCCATGCCATTTGACATCTGCCTCCTTTTAAAAGTGGAGGCTGAGAGCCTGGGTGTTGCAGCCCAACAGACCTGGGTCCCGGCTCAGTGGTATACAGCTGTGCAATTGGGAATAGCGAGTTCTCCCTGAGCCTGACCTTCCCCATCTGTAAAATGGGGCTAATGATAGCACTGACTCGCAGGTACTATCAAACGTAACCATGTGACGGAGGCCCAGCCCCCAGTGTGCATGGTAAGTCTTCACAAATGCTGGTTCATGTTATTATTTTTACTATATAAATTCAAGAGAACCACCTATAACGCACACACCATATGTGAGTTTGAGGCAGAAAATCGAGAGAGTGAGCCAAGGTGGCAAAGCACCACGTTTTGATACTCAAACATCTTTAGAGAAGGGCTCTGTCATTCTGAGGACTGCAAGCTGCTCCCACACTCTCAATATGACCTTTGTCTAGGGTCTTATCATTTCCAGAGCTCCTTCCTCTCCATTTCATCTGATCCTCACCACAGCCCTATAATGTGGGCAGGGTGAGTATGCTTCCTGTACCCCATGCGTAGAGGAGAAAAACAAGTCTCAGAGAGGTTAAGCAACTTGCTCAAGATCAAACAGCTTGAAAGTGGCTGAGCAGGATCACAAATCCAGGGCCGCCTGACAGGGCTGGAATGAGAATAAAGCAAGTCAGAAGCCTAGCGTGTGCAACTTCGGGAGACACTCATTCGTAAGACCCTGAGAGTAAGTATCTCTTCAAATTTTGCCCTGCTGTCTGACCCCAAGCCTTGGGCCCTTCCTAGAGCACTGAGGCTGAGCCAATTGTGCAGACACTGCACAGAGGAGGTCAGCCCAGCAAGAACTCACTCCCAGCTCCTTGGGGTGGCTGGATCTACTGGCTGAGCTGAACATCTTCCTGTGGAGCTCCAAGGACCACTTCCCAAAAAAGTAGAATGGAACAGAGGGTGGAAGTGGTGCTGCGACAGCCATGTAAGGCTTCCATGCACCCTTGAGTTTGAGGGCCAGTAAAGAGGGGCTGGGCCAGGCAGCCCTTCCCCAAGGCCCCTCTAAGCCCTTATCAGCCCAGGGGAGGGATAGGCCAGGACAGGCAGGCAAGCAGCCCACAGGGGTGGCTCCCAGGACAGTGGCTTCTGGATGCTGGCCCACCAGACAGTCAAGGCTCTCCACTCTCCGGCCGCTCAGAGCCCAGCTAGCCCCCAACTCGGCCTCCCTTTACCTCCCACAGGGCGTAGGAGGTACTGACTAGCAAGGAGGCTTATTTTAAATCTGCAAAAAGAAAAACTTTTCTAATGCAGATGATTACACTTACTAATTAGTCAACTTCGTTGTGCCTGGGTTACTGCAAATTTAGCTTTCCTGCAGAAACAGCACCTGTTCACTGAGGGACAGTATTAGGTAGTAGGAAACTGTGCAAGCTTGAGAGCCATTGGGGTGGGATTCAAGCCCCACATCCCCTGGGCAAGTCACTCACCTGCTCTGAGACCATTCCCTCCTTCTATAAAAGGGGACTAGAACAGTACCTGCATCATCCAGTTGTTGCTATTACAAAGACCAGCCACAATTTATTAAGTGCCTATAATGGGCCAGGTACTGAATTTCTTTTTCTTTTCCTTACATGTATTAACACTCACGACAACTGTATAGGTTTGTCTTTTTGAAGTATAACTTACAGTGAAGTGCTCAAATCTTCAGTGCACAGGTCAATGAACTTTTACATGTATTCTCTATCCTCTAATCAAATATCAATTATCATAGATCACTGTTGCCTGTTTATGAACTTCATACAAATGGGCTCATGCAATATGTGCTCTGTTGTGGCTGGTTTCTTTCATTCAACTTTGTTTTAGCAATTCTTCCACATTGTTGTGTACCAGTTATTTGTTCTTTTATATAGCTGCATAGTATTCCATGATGTGACAATCCCACAGTTTGTTTGTTTATCCATTGACCTAGGTGTCATTATCATCATCATTATCACCATCATCCTATTTTACAAATGAGGAAACTGGGATCTGAACTTCTTACTAAGTGTTTAGCTTGAAGTCACAGAGTGACCTTGAGGCCAAACAGGGACTTGAACCCAGGTCCCTGTAACTCCAAAACCAGCTCCTTACCACGGACAATAGAGCCTCCCATAGCTCTGGAATACTGGGATTGGCGGAAATGAATGCTGACCTGTGTGGTCATGAGCTCCTTCTCCCTGAGGTACATTTGGAGTCAGGGGGAAGCTACCTGCCTGGCTCCAGGTGCTGAAAAAATTGCCTTAGTTTTGGCGATTGCCCATATTTATTTTCATTGCAACCCAAGCTGATAGCACAGGTACAGTCATCACTCACAGCCCTGTACTTTGAGACCTGGGCTTTGCCAACATTTCAGAACAACTGCAAACAGCTTCAATGTGGAGGAGGCATCCTTGTCCACTGACCAGCAGCTGGCTCTTATGGGCAGCCCCTGCCCTGGCTCCTCAGAGTCTGGTTTTCTATGATGGTAACTCAGCTGTAACCATCTGGGACTCCCACAGAAAGCATTGTAGGCCAGGTTTCTCAACACCAGCCTTACCTATCAAGAGGTGAGACCCCCAGTGCTGACCTTATTCAAGAAAAGGCTGAGATTTTGCCTTGCTTTCCAACCTTCAGAATCTCTGCCTTCTGCCCAGCAGGCAAGTGGCAGGCCTTAGAAGGGCCACCTGCAAGGCAGCAAGGGGGTGACCAGGGGCCTGGCTAACCTCCCCACCTCCTCCCCCTCTGAACTCAGGTAGCCTCCAGTCAGTCCACCCAGACATGATTAAATGGTTGGCTACACACAGGGGTGGAAGACCCCGGGGGAAGAAGGGCATGGAGCCAACTCCCTGAGGCAGCCCTAGGGCACCCTTTGGTCTGTTGATCATTAACAGAAGCCACCTCATGGCAGGCAGAGAAGGGGAAAGTCCAAGGGGATGGCCTACCCCCTCCTCCCAGACTCCGTCCTCCAAATGTGCCAATGCAGGGCCTCATGGGAGGTGAGGTCATGGCACTCAACGGAGGGGGTGTGTGCAGAATCATCTAATCCAACTCGTTGCCTCCTGTGTTCATGCAGAATCTCCACAAAAGGCCAAGGGAGAGGGCAACTAACACTGATTGATTTGCAGTTACTGTGTGCCAGGGACTGCTCCAGTGTCCCAGCCTACAACACTCTAGCATAGTGATGGAGGTCGCCTGCCTGGGTTCAAATCCTGACACCGACTCCCTGTATGACAAATTAGTGAATTTCTCTGCACCCCAATTTCTCCATCTATACAAAAGGAACAGTATAGAGCTTCCTCCGTGGGGTCATTATGATCATTCAATGAGTTAACACACAGGAAATTCTTAGAGGACTACCTGGCACTTACAAAGAGCTGTCATGACTAATGGCTCGCTTGATCTCATAGTAACTCCTTGAGATACAGCTGAAAAATCCAAGGTTGAGTCATTTATCCAAAGCACAAGCTGGTAGAAGGGGAGCTGGGATTTGAACCCTGGTCCAAGGGCTCCATTCAACACCCCTTCTTCCTTCACGCCCTGGATCCTTCCCCTGCCATGACCCCTGCCTCTTCGGTAACCAGTGCTTCGTGATCCAGTTGACTGTAAAACCCATCTTCAGACTAACCCACAATCTCAGTTGGCCCTCAAAGCCCTCCTTTCATGAGTGTCACTGAACCATAGCCTTCCTCCTGAGAATGAGGCCTCCAGGCCAGGAAAGGCATTGCTCGGTGGCCAAAATAGCTCATTTCTTTGAGCTGCTCCAAGAGAAGATCTTCATCCAACAGCCAGAGAGTGGGTTGCAGGGCCAGTAGCCACAGAGGCCCCACCCATCCATGGCAGACCTGGTGCAGGCCCCTAAACCCAGCCTTCAAGACACCCTGGCCTCCAGGGTAAGGGGTGGAGAAGAAGGCTTTGTGCCCCAGGATTGGCCTGGCCTTTCCTGACCCACTTCCCTCGTGAAAGCCTTCCCTTCAACTCCCTCAGCATAGTTCCTATCCTTCCTAGCTGCAGAGGAGCTCAGAGATAGGGGTTTCTTGCCAGTTCTGGGCTCACACTTCCCTGGCCTCCCTGCCAGACTACAGCACAGGGCTGCTGCTGAGGCCCCTTCTTCTAACATCCTGGAGAAATAATGGGCCTGAAATATTCTGCTGTTCCCTTTCCCAAGGGCCATCTCCTCTAACTTTAAGGACTCAATGGGACACAACCAGGCTCTTGTGGCCACCACACATGGGCCTGGGTTACCTAAATCCCAGCCTGAGTGAGTTCCCCAGGGAGACACTTAGGTAGAGGTAAAGGGTTAAGACCCGGGGACATGGAGCTTCCCCACATGATAAGGAGTCTCCCCTGGGCTTTACAGCCAACCCCCACCCTCCAGGGCCTCCAGTAGTCAATGTCTCTATCTTGGTTAGACAAAGTCAAAGGACTGACTCAGTCAAAGGACTGTCTCCTCTAGAGGAAATTCAGGGCTGGCCAGGAGGTACGCCTGGGCCTCTAGGAACCTAACCAGCGTCACCATGAGAGGGGAAGTTAGAAAGGTGTCTGCCACATGCTCAGGTATGCCTGCAGGGAATGAGCTCAAGGTGAATGATTAAATGTCTTTTTTGCTTTTACTCCGAAAGGAAGATCACATGCCACCACCAACCACCACCACCACCACCTCCACACACACACAAAGTTCATTTCCTCCTTAAGGGACAAGAGGCCTAGGTTTACTCCAGTCCTAAGAAGGGCTGCTTTTCCCCTTCCTAAACCACCAGCCCCTGCCCTGGAACAGGTAATAGTCCCTATTTTTCTACCTCACCCCCTGACCCCCAGTAGATATCTGATGACCAGGGAAATGAGTTGAGAGTAGAGGTAGGTCTTCGAGTCTCAGGGACATCCCTGGCCTGCCCAATGTCTGCTGCAGACCTTCGGAAGAGGCCTGGTGGAATCATGGTGACTCAGCTGAACTCCCAAAACTTCCTGGGTGTAAAGGAACCAAAGGCAAGTGAGCTGCAAATAGCAATCTCTGCCTCTCCCCAAATAAATCCTCCCAAGGCTCACACTCAAGATTTGTGAAAGTTCCAACTCCTCCGGCGGGTGAAATGCCACCTCTTAAGTGGTCATCTAGCCTTGGTGGGGGTGCATCTAGCCAAGGAGACCCCACCTTTCCCAAGATGACGACATACCTAATTTTGCATAGCACCTGAGATTGTAACTAAGGTGGTGGGAACCCTTGGTGACTTGCTGTGTTGTGTTGGCCAGTGTTAACACTCACTTCCCCTTAACAGCCCTCCAAACCCAAAAGGCTATGTCAAATCCAGTCCCAGTTCCCAGTTCCTTGTGACTGAGCCCCTCACCCCGCTGGACATTCCTCTCCAAGCAGGCAGTGCTTCCTTATACCCTCCCCACACGGGTAGGTGTTGAGAGGCCAGTACTGAGGTAAATTTCTTTCTTATGGGCAAAATGAGCCCAAGGCACCCCAATAAAAGAACTCACTCAAATCCAAGCCTGCAAGTGTGCCAAGTGCTAGGTCCTCTTTTATCATTTTGGCACCCCAAACACCATCCAAAGGAATGAAGAGCACAGGCTGGACGGGGCGGACTGGAAGGCCCTGAGCCTTGGCTCCCCAGAAGAACCGCAGAGGCCACACAAGTGTCGGCAAGGCTGGGCCCGCTGCTATTCAGCCAACAACTAACACACTGCACAGTCTTTTCAGAAGTAATACAGCAGGAAGTACAGGCTCCTTTGCAGAAAACCTCCACCCCGTCCCCTCTAAGCGCAGCAAACTGCCAGCATCAAGGAAGGGAGCTATAGGCTTAGCTTATAGGGATGAGAGATGCCGCCACCCACAGCCACAGCCCTCTCTCTCCGCCTCCCCCTACCCAGGACTTGCAAGGTATACAAGGGGAGAACCTTACTGGCAAAGTCAAACCAAAACCAAGTAAAACCAGCTCCACCATCAATGTTTCTTGAAAAAACGGGGTTTATTGATTTTTAAACTGCAAATAGTCGTTACAAAAAGTTTTTTTTTCTTTTAAATAAATTCACACAAAGAAAGAGAAATAGAAAGCGACGGTAGTGACCAGCAAGAGGAATAATAATTACATTCATCTTAATGTGTGTGTGCCAGTTCTGTTTACATTAACATTGGAAAACTCCAGACCTGGAATCCAGAACCTCAAATCTGTGAGTGGAATGTCTTGAGATGGGCACGTGGAAGTCAAAGGGTTTCTCTTTTTTTTTTTTTCCCCTTTTAGAAGCTATACATAAAAAGTTGTTTTCCTTCTGTACTGTCACAGAACTTTTACATACATTCTCAGTCCTAGTTGTGAAAGGCCTAAAGAGAAAGAAACTCAATTTGCAGTCCAACACAAAGGGGGGAATTTCTAAAATAAATAATCCAACAGTTTTTTGCATTTTTTTAAATTAATTTTTCATTTTTTTAAAATAAAATAACCAAAAAAGTGTAAAGTTACAAAAAATGTCGTTGAAGAATAATATATTAAAACTGTGGAAAAAAAGGAAAAAGACACGTCACAAAATTTTAAGATTAATATGAAGATCATAATTTAACATAAAAGAATATATTCTATGGATTTGTCATCCCGATAAATATGAACAAAATTAACAAAAAAAAGCATAGTTTGGCAATAAATACGTTTTGATAAGTTAAATAAGCTTTTTTATATTGATGTGCAGTGACAAGCAAAATTTTTGCTCTCCAATTTCTGAAAGTTATATGAAGTTTAAAACCCAGGGAAGAAAGCATGGCGTGAGTGCTCTAAGGATAGACCTACGGTATTCTAGAGCAAAAACCATTAAAGCTACTTCTACAGGAAATCGTTTTACACAGATATTGTATGTGGAATGAATACCATTAACTGCTCACCCCTTACTTTTTTTTTTTTAGCTTTTCTCTCATTTTTTTTTTGTTGTTATTTTTTTTAAAAAGATGTCACATATGAACTGGGGAACTTTAGCACCAAAATCAAGTCTCTCCTAGTCCATCTAGCTTCCCCTTCCTCCCCACTTAAAAAAAAGAAAAAATTAAATCACAAAGTCCCACTTAAGTCAAAATCTTCGTCCGCTTTTTCAGCCTTCCTTCCTGCAGACCTACACAAACCCAGGCAAGATTAGTCAACAGGGGTTCAGATCGGGAAGAAAAAGGTTTTGAATGTCAAGACAGGTTTCCCCCAAAACCCTGGTCTGGCAACAACTCTTCCAAGGGGCAGGGGTGGGGGGGGTGGGGGGGCGGGTACAGGTGGAGAGGTGCCACCGGGAAGAGGGGAGGAGGAATAAGTGTGCGGGAGACTGAAATGAGGGAAGGTGCAGTTGTGTCGCCAGTGGAGGGGGCTGCTGGTTCCGGGTCTCCACCCCGCCATGGGCAGAGGCTCCGGGAGGCCCACGGGTGCCCTCTGGCGCTGAAGAGGTAATGTAGTCACAGTGACAAAGTTAGATTACAAGGCACTAAGTTGCTTCTGTAAACTGTTACTGCTTTTTCTCTTGTGATTTGGCACTTAAGGCTTAAGCCGGAAAAAAAAAGGCATCTACTGACAAAATATGGGACTTGTCTGTTATGCATGGTAAGTGGGCTATAAAATCCAGGGAGGGGGTTTCAAGCCAGAAGAAGCTACTGACAAATTGACTTGTCCTTATGTTAGGTGGGGTTATGAGGGGGAGAGGGAGGGCACATTCTGAGGTGCTGGGGGAAAGGGGTTGAGCTTAACCTTGTTAATGTAGGGCCTGTGGGGAATGGGATGGGTAGGGAGAAGAGGGTATGGGATGTGGGTGCAGGGTAGGGGCTGGAGTAGGCAGGAGGTCCCTCCCTACCCTGGCTTAGTCATCTGAGATGGAAAGTCTGCTGAAGATGGGCAGGCGTCTTGAGTTGTCCAAGGTCGGGGAGTCTGAGCCACTGTGGCTGCTGCTGGAGCTGCTCAGGTAGCCCTCCTGGTCCGAGAGAGAATCCTGAGGGCTGGGGGGAGAGTCAAACATGTGAGGGGACTCGGACATGGGCCGGAAGAGGAAGGTGGTCGGGGAGCCACCCCCGGGCAGCCCCATGCTAGGGGCAAAGAGGCTTGCCAGCTCCTGGCTGGAGAAGGCAAAAGGGTTATTGGTGCCATCGGGCAGGGTAGGTGAGCCCAGGAGGTCATCGGCGCTCAGAATAGGGGGTGGGGTGATGGACGTGGGGCTGTCCAGCAGCCCGGTGGCAGCGGCGGTGGCAGCGGCACTGGGAAACCCAGCAAAGCTAAAGCTATGCTGGAGGCGGGGACGGTCAGCGGAGAGGTCCCGGGCCCCGGCCAGGGCACGGCGCTCTTCAGCGTTGTGGATGAAGTGGCAGCGGGGCCCGTAGGGGCAAAAGCCGATGGTGTGGAAGGTGCGGCACAGCTCCGTCTTGTACTTGGGGTGGCGGGTCAGGCTGCGGAGCTCGTGGATGCCGTGTGCGAACTGGCACTTGTCCCCGTACTTACAGGCACCGTTTTCCTCAAAGGGGCGGCACAGCTCCGTCTTGTAGCGGCTGGAGTTGACCTGGCCGCCCCCGGGCTGCTTCTGGGTGGGCAGCAGCCGCTCGCCCCCTTCCGAGAAGGAGCGGTCTCGGAAGCGGCTGTCTCGCGAGCTCAGAGCGGGGGCTGGCTCACCCTTGAGGCTGCTGAGGAGCTGGTTCTGGTGGAACTTGGAGCTGGGCAGGGTGACTGAGTGCCTCCGAGGGAAGCCCCCACCAGCAGGGGTGCCCACTGCCTTTCTGTCCAGCAGGCAACCCCCTGCACTGGGAGCACTATAGTTGAGCATCTTGTTACCCTGGAGAGAGAAGAGAAAGGATGGTAAGGACAGAGGACATCCACCAGGATGTCCACTATGGGCAGCCCCCTACACAATCACAAACGCCCGCTCTTTCTCAAAGAACTCATCTCTACCTCGGCTCTAGCAAGCTCCCTTCCCTCTCTCCCTCCCATAGGCCATTCACCTGGGTTTATTTTGGCCCCATGCGTAAGAAACCACAAGATCCAAACTGTGTGACAAGCACCCTGCTCCATGCTGACTCCTGCAATGCAACCCCCATGTCCTCTGTCCCCAAAGCTACCACTTTAAAGTTCAACTTTTTTACTAGTCAAATAGATTCTTCAACTCAAAATATCTCACACAACCCAGACCTCTCTAGATTACCGCACCCCGCCCCCGCCACCGCCCGCGACAAAAACAGGTAAACCTCAGAAAGGAGTCTATCATAGGCTACGTTAGGTCCCCTTCCAATCAGTCTCTGCTTAATTGATACCCCCTCCTTCAAGACCTGGCCTAAGACTCTCAACTTCCTCCTTCAGAAGTGTTCCCTTCCTTTGGCAACAGGTTTTCAGACTGCCTTTGCTTTTTCTTGTGGGGAGGAGATTGGGGGCCTGGTCTGAGGTTGGGGGAGACAGGGATGTGATTCCTGAAAATAAAACTCTTTGCCCTAAGTTCCCGGAAGAGATATTTTCTACAATAATCTCTCTCACCATTTCCACTCAGCCCTAGCCCACCCCGCCCCCTTCACTGAGAAGATGCCTTTGCAATTAGTCTTTTGGCTGCAAGAGCAAGCTTGGATAAGAGCTCCAGTGTTTAATCTTTAACGCAAAGCTGCAGATGGAAAGGAAAAGGAAAGCACCAACCCCCCTACCCACCTCCTAGTCAATAGCGGATTGGGGGTGGTGGGGATGGGGGCAGAGCCACCAATGGCAGGTTTCTGTTCCAATAGGACCCTGGTCACCTGCCCAAATTGTACCCAAGATTTGGAAATGGTGCAGGTCAGGGACCTAGGAGTTAGTTCCCAGCCCATGTGGGTGTCATTGTGCAAATTCTAATGTTGGTCCCTTAGGATCAGCAGGGGGGGACCGGGAATCTGTAACTGCAACCACCCCACCGAGAGGATTACAGGAACCCAGTCGAGAGCTGGTTCCCAACAATGAGGTTCATTTAAAAAGTCGTGAGGGGGGAGGGGGGCCAAAGAAAGAAATAGATCAAAGAGCGGGAGAGTCGAGAAAAGAAGGAAGAAATGTTGGGGAGCGCTGGCAGCCGGGCTGGCAAGTGGAGTTTGGGAATGTGCAGGGAGGGAAGGAAGCTGAAAAATTCAAACTTTTTAAATGCTACTCTTCAGCTCCTCGGCGTCCCTGCACCCCAACCCTGCAGCCCTGGGGCGTTGGCAGCTGCACCAACAGGAGCAGCAAGCTGGGAAAACAGAGCAACATGACCCGACGTGTTAAGAGAAGGCAAAACACTTCAGCAATTAAAAAGTAGCCCAGCAGCTTCACCCTTTCAAATTGGGAGGGGGAGGTTGGAAAGAAATTTAACAACATCCATAGACTTTTGCTATGTACATTTAAACCGCAGTCCTGGAACATTCCGAGTTTAAAACTTGCTTTTTCAACACTGGCTGACAAGCAACATGTTTTAAGGAGCCCCCCATTAAATCCTTACTCGCGGGACTCTCGAGTTCAAGCCAGCATTTTGTCGCCACCTCCCCCCCCAACCCCGCCCGCAATCGATGAGCCGCAATGCCTCGGCAACACAGGTAAGCGGGTCAACCTGAATGCCTCTTTCACCCCAAAGTTTGCTGCACGATCGGCTATCGCGGGAAGAAGCCCAACGGAGCTAGGGCGGACTCAAGCCCCACTGCAAACTTGTTCTGCAACATCTTTTTGAATCACAACTTGGCCTTTCTTCCTCGCATATCCCCAGCTCCCCCCAAAGAGTGGAGGAAAACATTGTCCCGAGACTCACTTCCCCGAGGGACCTCCCACTCCCAACCCCACGGGTGGGTAATGCCGCTGGACAGACCTAGGGCGCAGACTGGGAACCCGATCAGACCAGCAAACCTGGGATCCAGCAGCACGTTACGTAAAACAGGATCGCCCAAAACTTGTCCCAATCCCAGCCCTCCCCCCGAAGCCCCCGGGCTGCCCTGCCAGGCAAACTTCGCCCCTCAAAACCCTGGCCTCCAGATTCACATGTAATCCCCGCCAGCAACTGTTGAAACTCAAAGGGTGGGAAGGACGGGGCCAAATTCCTTCAAACTTGGGAGAAATGCCGGAGGAGAAAAGAATCATCTCGCTGCACCACTTTCCCCATTGCCTTCCAAGACCCAAACTTTTGGGGGTTCTTTCTTAAGGCAAAAGAAAAAGACTTTTTGAAAAGCAAATGCTCCGCCCCCCTTTACCTTGCATAAAACTTCGCTCAAGTCGAAGATGGTGGCAGACACGAGGGTGGTGGTCATCCTGTGCGTTCGCGCGAGCCAGGGGCGAGGATCTGGTGTGTCGCGAAGGTCCCGGTGCGGGGAAGGCGCAGCCTCTCCTGTCTGGAGTCCCACACGCCAGTTCCCGGCGCCCCTCGCCTTTCTGACTCCGGGCTGGGGCGCGCAAAGCCCAATTTATAAAGTTCAGATTTGGTGGGCCGGGGGGAGGAGGAGCTTTAAACTTATTTAAATGAGGAAGAGGAGGAAAAAGAAGTTGATTGACACTGGAGTTGAATCAGCCATGCGGTCAGGCGGGGAGGGGGGGCAGGGGGAGGAGAAGAAACTTTCAAAAGGAAGAAGGGGGAGGGGAGACGAGAAAAGAAGGCGGAAAAAAAAAACCCCACTGTGAGCCGCGCACAACTTTTTTTTTTTTTTCTTTAAGAGGAAAAGTTTCAAGTCGGCTGACTTCCCTACCCGGCGCTTCAGGCGCCCCCTCTCCGGGGCCGCGCGGGCGCAGAGCGGGAGGGGCGCGCCCCCTCCTTTGTCAGCCTCAGAGCGCGGCTGTGACGTCACTCATTCCACTCCCTCCGGGGTTCTTGTTGTCATGTTGTTGTTTTTTGTTGGGCAGGAAGGCGGGCTCGACTTTCTCTTTTTGCCAGCGGGAGCTGAAGCCCGTCCTTAGCGCCCGGGCCGCGGTTTCCATCTTGAGCTGGCGGTCTCCTTGAAACTTCCCCAAGTGTCTGCACAACTTACCTTTTCCCGACTTCTCTTCGACACTCGGCTCCCTTCGGCAAACCGGGCAGGCCGAGGACATTAGAAATTTGGGACGCACAGAATGTTCAAGCCTAGGATTTTATGTTGCTGTTTTTTTTCCAGCGGGGCGTAGGGTGGGGCGCGCTGCTGGGGGGACTAGGGAAACTTTTTCCCCAGGAGGACATGGTCTGGCGGGGGCGAGCGCGGCACAATTTAGTGCGCCGCACGCGTCGACACTCGCGCTCGCTTTGCAGCCGGCGCTCTCCGGGTGTGGGCGGGTGGGGGGCGCCGCAAAAAAAGACCACAACCCGGGACGATTGTTTGTTTTACCAGGCCTAGGCGTGCCGTTTCTTTTCACGCATCCAATCTTTAAACTTTTTAGTCAAGAAAACCCTAATCCTTCCTGAATGCCCCTTCCTCCCAGAAAAAGCCCACCGAGCAACTCACTACTTTCCACGCGCGCTCCGAATTCTGGGCGGCGCCACAACCCTCCCTCCTCCTCCATCCTCCCCACACACACCTCAAGACTCTAGAACAATGAAAAAAGGTTACTTTGGTAAGAATGAAGGTAAAGAGGTGGAGGGAGGCGGCACTTTTAACTTATTGTTGCTTCTCTCTCGCCCCCACCGGAGTGGAACATATGGCTTGTCACGCTGCGCCGTTTTGGCGGGAGGTGGAGAGGGGGACATGGGAGCCACGAAACCGAAGGGCCCGCAATGGAGCATGACTCCCTTGAAAATGATAAAATATATACTGTTAGGTTTGGATGCCGCCCACCCAAATAAAAAGTTAACGAGTCCCCCACCCGCCCCCTGCGCCTTGGCCCGACTGCTGGCGTGATGACCCAGGCGGAAGTCGCAGGGCTGCGCTTCTTTCCGATTTCCACGCGGGCTCCGCCGCCCCCCTCGGCCCTCGCACGTTTCTTCCCAGCACTCGAGGCCGCCGAGTCTGTTATGAAACCCGGTGCTGCGGAGTGGCTAAGATTGAGTTCCATTGCGATGTAATTAGGTCACCCCATTATGAGCACGTTTCTTTGGAAAGGACGGGGCGGGCCGAAGAGAGCGCATTCTCACCACCCCCAACACACACTTTTTTTTAAAACTGCATTTCTTATTTATTCGTAAACATCTGGGCAAACCCAGCGAAACCTTCCAAATCACAATTGTTTGAGAAACCGGCTGTTTTTCAACTTTGTGAAACCCAACTTTTGCTGCAGCCACGAACCTACGTGATCCCAGCGGGGTCGGCTTTCATTTGTCTCCTCTGCCCGAAATGGATGGCCCCCACTTTAACTCGGCTGCTGCCCCTCGCTTGTTCTGCTGCTGCCCTCCAGCCGTCTGTTGCTTCCCTCCCCCGCTCCCATTTTTCAGCTTTTCTTGAAATCTGGCAAGCGCCAGAAAGGGAAATAACTTCCATCCACCTTAATTTAAATCATTCAAGTGTAGGTTTCTTTCTTAGAGGGATGTTTGCTCGTTCCTTTCCCAAGTGGGTGTTGGGGCGGTGGGGGAGAGATTTCGTGCAGTTTCTTGGTGATGAGGTAATGAGTTCCAGATTTCAGGACAGAGCAGAGTGCGCGTTGAAACCACAAGGTTAGTCTGAGTTCTGATGTGAAGCTATTTCGGTTTTTTATTCCCCCGGCCTCCACCCATTCCCGCTCCCCCACCCCCCACCCCCCCCAAAAAAGAGGCCGGCTGGTCTTTAACTCCCGAGGGTTCGCGAAGCTCAGCTGGGGGGACCGGAGGAGGGGCTGGAAAAAAGCAAAGGGGAAGGGGACTGGGAGCGGGCGGGGCCCCCTTCCCGGCCCAGGGCCTGTCCCCGCGGGGCACCGGCTATGCCCCTGCTTCGGGCGGCGCCGCTTTCCCTCCAAGGCTGCGGGACCGGCCAGGAGCACCATCAGGCGCCCCAGAATGGCTACAAAGTGGATTTTTCCAAAGAAAGCTGATTCCTCGAATTTCCTCGGCTTTTCCAACTCCCGGAGGCCCTCCCCTCCCCCTCTCCCCGGGGGCGCGGGCTCCGCAAGGCTGCGACTGGCCTAGCCCGCTCGCTCCCGAGTTGTTTACCGGCCCCGCCGACCAAGGGTTTGTTCCAGCTCCCAGAGCCTGTCTCTATAATTAAACTCTTTTTTAAATTGTCGGGTTGAAACGTCATTTCGGGGACTTTCCAAGGGTGAGGGAGCCGAGAGGAGGGAGCGAGTCCCTTAACCCTTCGCTGACCCGGCGTCCCCGCCGCGGTGAGGGCCCGAGGGCGGGAGCCGACCCGCCCTCGCCCAGACGTGGTCGACAGGTGCCCAGGGGTGGCGGGAGGGCGGCCCTACGGTGCAGGAAGGCCGAGGCGAGGCGTGCGTGGCCGTCCCCCGCCAACTTCGCGGTGCATTCCGCCCTCCCGCTCCTTACCCGCGCAGTCCCCAGGCTGGCCGCCGCCTCACCTGCACTGCCGCTTCCGACCGGGAGGCGGTGGGCCGGCTCCTCTGTCCCAGGCCCGACTTCCGGGCCCTCCCCATTCGCCTGGAGCGCGTCCCTTCGTGGGGAGGGGCGGCCCAGGTATTTTAGCTTGGAGGTGGTGGTGGGGTGGGATGTTCGGTTTTGTGCAAGGGGGAAAGTGAAAGTCTTCGGAGTGAAGGAGGCGCTGCGGGTGTACGTATTCATCGGCCAATCTGGACCCCAGGCGCACCTCAAGGCAGATGACAGTGTGCAGCACTGGGCCGCAGGACCCCAGAAGGTTAGGCCTAGTCACAGGCGTCAGCAGGGTACCCCCTCCTGAGAGCCCTGCAGTGTTGCACTTCCTCTCAGGCTTCAGGTCATTTGCAAAATCCCCCAAATTCTTCAGGTTGAAAGAGAGAGAGACACCTGGAGTCCCCTTGTTTAAAGTTTGGAATGCTGATTCCCTGGCCCAGATGGGGCCGGGGAATCTGCATTTTTGGTAAATTTCCATCTCACGACCCAAATACTAATGTTTGAGAATCAGTGAGCCAGTATATTGAAGTTAGGCAATCCTGGATCCAAATCTTGGCCATTTTCTAGCTATGTGACTTTTCAAGTCACTGACCAAGGCCTCAATTTCTTCATCTCTGAAATAGGAATCATGATAACTGCCTACATTTGGCCCATAAAGTGCCTAGAGTCATGTCTCGCTGCAACCGTCTATATGTCATGCTGTTGTATGTAAACTAAGCCATTTGGCAACCCTTATTACACCACAAAACAAATTCCGGGGCTATTCACTTGGCAAAGGATTATTCAGTGTAGACTTCCATTAAATGGTCAACTGACAACTTATAAGTTTGATCTGTGTCACTCTCTAGCCTCCACCCCCAGCCCTGGATAAGACAGGCCCTGAGGCCTGGAAATGGGGAGAGGCCCTGGGCTTGGAGCCTGGGGGAGAGTAAAGTGGTTCAGGGTAGGGTGATGGGGATCTGTTGCCCATCTGAAAAATACCTGATTATTGACACAAGTATTTTTGAAAACAACTACATCACTGGGGCCCTGTGGTAGTCTGTACAAGCCAGACTATCTTATCTCTCAAAGCCCTCAAGCCCCTCAGAAAGCTTAGTGTGTATTACTGAGCTGTCAATATTCTCCTGAACAAGGCAGAGGCCTCAGGAGAGGGCACTTTAGGGTCTACGGTAAATGCGGCACTGCAGGGTGTCTGGAATCTTTGGGTTTGGGAGCAGGCCGCCTCCTGCTAGGACTACTGAGAATCCAATCCCAGGTCCAGCATTGCCCTGGGGGGTCTGATTGCCCGGGTCTCTGCAAGATGTTCCAACTGTCAGTGAAGTTATCAGGCCAGCCCACAGCTACACCTCTCCACCCACCCTAACCTAGGCCCCACCTAGAGCAGTCTGGCGTAATCTGACTCTCTTATTCCAGCTTGGGTTTTTCTCACTCCCCATGCACTTCTCCCACCCTCCAGGGCACTCCGTGTGCTCTAGTCCTTTTTAGATGAGAATGAGCCATCTTCCTCCTACTCCGGGGCCTTTGCACATGCAAATGCTTCTGTGTGAATCAACCTTCCTTTAGCCCAAGTAAATTCTAAATCATTTTTTAGAACCCAACTCAAGCCTCACTTCCTCAGGGAAAACATTCTTGATGCTTTCCTTTGTCACAAAACAGTGTCCCTCCTCTCTCTTAGGCTCTCATGGAATGTTCATTTCCTTCAAAGTAGTTATTTCAGTTTGTGAGTATACATTCATTCCTGTAACTTTTTTTTTTTACTTTCAATTTAACATACAGTAAAATTGATCTTTATTTGGCATACAGTTCTATGAATTTTAACTTATGAATTGATTCATGTAACCACCACCATAATCAGGTAACAGAACAGTTCCATTACCCCTCAAAAACTCCCTCATACTATCCCTTTGCATTCATACTTTCTCCATCTCTAGTCCCTGACATCCACTGATCTGTTCTCTATCATTGCAATTTTGTCTTTCCCAGAATGTCATACAAATGGAATCATATTGTATGTTTGATTTCACGCAGTATATGCCTTTGATATTTAACCATGTTGTTGCATGTATCAATAGTTCATTCCTTTTTATTGATAAATAGTATTTCACTGTGTGCTTATACAATAGTTTATCCATTTTCCTGTTGAAGGGCATTGGATTATTTCTAGCTTTGGGCCATTATGAATAAAGTTTCAATAAACACTCATGTACAGGTTTTTGTGTGAACACAAGTTCTTATTTCTCTTTTTTTTTTTTTTTCGAGTCTCGCTCTGTCGCCCAGGCTGGAATGCAGTGGCACAATCTTGGCTCACTTGCAAGCTCCGCCTCCCAGGTTCACGCCATTCTCCTGCCTCAACCTCCCGAGTAGCTGGGACTACAGGTGCCCACCACCACGCCCAGCTAATTTTGTTTTTGTATTTTTAGTAGAGATGGGGTTTCATCGTGTTAGCCAGGATGGTCTCGATCTCCTGACCTCGGGATCCGCCCACCTCGGCCTCCCAAAGTGCTGGGATTACAGGCGTGAGCCACTGCACCTGGCCAAATTCTCATTTCTCTAGGGTAAATAACTAGGAGTGAGATTTCTGGGTGATATGGTAACTGCATGTTGAAATTAATACAAAACTGCCAAATCATTTTCCAGAGTGGCTATACTATTTTGCATTTCCAACAACAACATATGAGAGTTTCCACTAGCTCCACATCCTCACCAGCACTTAACAGTATTACTGTTTTTTTGTTTTAGTCATTCTAATAGGTATGTGGTAGTCTCACACTGTGGTTTTAGTTTGCATTCCTCTAATGGCTAATGATGTTGAACATCTTTTCATATGCTTATTTTCCATCTGCATATACTTTTTGGTGAAGTGTCTATTCAAACCTTTTGCCTATTTTTTAGTTGGGTCATTTAGTTGGTCATTTTCTTACTGTTGAGTTTTGAGAGTTCTTTACATATTCTGGATATATAAAGTTCCTTTGTTGCTTATGTGACGTGCAAATATCTTCTCATGTCTGTACCTTATCTTTTAACTCTCCAAGCAAAGGATCTTTCACACAGCAAAAGTTTTTCATTTTAATGAAGTCTAATTTATCAGTTTTACCTTTTGTGGGTCATGCTTTTGGTGTCACAGCTCAGAAATCTTTGCCTAACCCCAGGTCATTAAGATTTTTTGTTACCTTCTGAAAGTGTTATATTTTTCATGGTCTGTTGTTAGGTGCATAAATGTATATAACTGTTCTATCTTCTTGCTATATTGAGCATTTTATTAATATATAATGTCCTTGTCTCTTGTAACCTTTTTTTTTTTTTTTTTTTTTTGAGACGGAGTCTTGCTCTGGCACCAGGCTGGAGTGCAGTGGCGCGGTCTCTGCTCACTGCAACCCCCACCTCCTGGGTTAAAGCGATTCTCCGGCCTCAGCCTCCTCAGTAGCTGGGATTACAGGCATGCGCCACCACACCCAGCTAATTGTTCTATTTTTAGTAGAGACGGGGTTTCACCATGTTGGCCAGGATGGTCTCGATCTCCTGACCTCGTGATCCACCCACCTCAGCCTCCCAAAGTGCTGGGATTACAGGCATGAGCCACCGTGCCTGGCCAGTTGTAACCTTTTTTGATTTAAAGTCTATTTTGTCTAATATTAGTATAGCCATTCCTGCTCTCTTTTGGTTACTATTTGCATGAAATATCTTTTTCTGTCCTTGTACTTTCAATCTGTTTGTGTCTTTAGATCTAAAGTCAGTCTTTTGTAGGCAACATATAGTTGGATCAGGTTTTTTGTTTATCCATTCTGCCAATCACTGTCTTTTGATTGGGGCACTTAATTAACATTTAAAGTAACTACTGATGAGAAGGGACTTAATTCTGTCATTCTGTTATTCGTTTTCTAGATGCCTTAGAGTTGTATTGTTCCTCATTTTTCTATACTACTATCTTATTTTGTGTTACTTGATTTTCCATAGTGAAACATTTAAATTCCTTTCTCATTTTCTTTGGTACATTTTCTTTCTATACTACAACTACAGTAGTCCTTCCTTTATCCACACAGGATATGTTTCAAGACCCCCAGTAGATGCTGGAAACCAGGGATAGTACTGAACCCTGCATGTACTATGACATTTTTTTTCCTTCAGAATTTCATGGATAAAAGTTTCATTCATACTATAGATCCTAGCAATATAAGCATATGATTCTTCTTCCTTGTTGAGAATTTTCACCTTTTCACTTGAAGCAGTTTACTGCTTTGTTCTCTCCAAATTGCCAGCATCACTACTCTTGCATTTTGGGGCCATTATTAAGTAAAATAAAGATTCCTTGAACACAGGTGCTGTGATACCACAGCAGTCAATTAGATAACCGAGATGGCTACCAAGTGACTGATGGGCAGGTAGCAGATATGGTGTGGGTACACTGGACAAAGAGATGATTCATGTCCCAAGCAGGATGGAGCAGGATGGCACGAGATTTCATCATATTACTTAGAATGGCATGCAATTTAAAACTTAAGAATTGTTTATTTCTGAAATTTTCCATTTAATATTTCCAGACTGTGGTCAATTGTGGATAACTGAAACTACAGAAAGTGAAACCACAGATAAGGGGGGACTACTGTATTTTCTTTGTGGTTACCATGGGGATTACATTTAACATCCTAAAGTTAAAACACTGTAATTTGAATTTATAACAGCTTAACTTCAAAAACATACAAAAATTCTGCTCCTTTACAGCTGCATCTGCATCCCTTTTGATTATTGATGTCACATAATTATGTCTTTATACATTTTGTGCCCAAAAATATAAACTAATAATTATTTTAAGTGTGTTAGTCTTTTAAATTCTGTAGAAAACAAATGTGGCATTACAATCCAAAGTTATAATAATTTAAGCTTTTAGACTAATCATTGTTTTTTAAAGTAGTCTCTTAAATTATGTCACAAAGTAAACTTACAAACTGTTGTTTCAATAATACTAGCTCTTATAATTGCCTTTATTGAGATCCTCATTTCTTCATATGGTTTCAAGTTACTATCTACTGTTCTTTATTTTACTTTGCAGGACACCCTTGGGGCATTTCTTATAGGACAAGTCTAGTGGTAATGAATTCCCTCAGCTTTTGTTTATTTGGGAATGTCATTTTCTCCATCACTTTTGAAGGACAGTTTTTCCAGATACAGGATTCTTGTTTGATTTTTTTTTTTCTTTTAACATTTTAAATATGTTGGCCCACTGCCTCTGGTCTCCAAAATTTCTGATGAGAAATTTGCTGATAATCTCATTAAGGATCCCTTGTAGCTGGATGCATTGGCTCACACCTGAAATCCGAGCACTTTGGGAGGCCAAGGCAGGAGGATTGCTTGAGACCTGGAGTTCAAGATCAGCTTGGGCAACAAAGGAAGACCTTATGTCTTTAATTAAAAAAAAAAAAAAGAATCTATTTTATGTGAGTCACTTCTCTTTTGCTGCTTCAAGATTCTCTTTTTGTCTCTGACTTTTGAGAGTTTGATTATAATGTATCCTGGTGTGGGTTTCTTTATTTTACTTGGAGTTCATTGAACTTCTTGGATGTTCATATTCATGTCTTTCATCACATTTCAGAAGTTTTTAGCCATAGTTTCAGATATTCTTTCCCCTTTTCTCTCTCTTATTCTTCTGGGACTCCCAGTATGCATATAATGGTGTTCCACAGGTCCTTTAGGCTCTCTTCACTTTCCTCAATCTTTTTCCTTTCTGTTCCTCAGACTTGATTATTTCCAGTGTCCTATCTTCAAATTTGCTGATTATTTTTCCTGCTTCCTCAAAACTGTCTTTGAATCCTAAAGTGAATTTTTCATTTTAGTTATTGTACTTTTCAGCTCCAGAGTTTCTTTTTACTTTCACTTTAGGCTTGCTATCTCTTTATTGTTATTCCCATTTTATTCATACATCTCTTTCTTGACCATCTCCATATCTTTATTTAGTTCTTTGAGCATCTTTAAGACAGTTGTTTTAAAGTCTTTATCAGTAGATCTTCCATCAGTTATTTTTCAGGAACAGTTTCTGTTGATTTATTTTTTGGATGTGCCATGCTTTCCTGTTTCTTCGTATGTCTTGTGATTTTTGTTGTTGTTGAAAACTGGACATTTCAATCTAATAATGTGGTTACTCTGGAAATCAGATTCTCCCCCTTCACCAAGGTTTGCTGGGTTTGGTAAATTTTTTTTTAATTATTGTTGTAGGCTGTCTCTGTGCCAAGGATCAGCCTGAGGTATAAATGTGAGGTCTTCTGAGATCTATTCTGAGCCTGTGCCTTTCTCTGATCATGCATGGGCATTCATTTTCAAATTTTCCCGGTGTATGTAATTGATTTTGAATGTCCTAGTCTTTAATATCTGGTTCCAAAAAGAGGAAAAAGACAGAAATGAAGAGTTGATTTTTTTAAAGGAGGCCTTCATCCCTTTAAATGCCCTATAAGTTAGTTCAGCAGAAGAGGAGCTTGCAACAATGGGAAAAGGTGTTGGCCCGGTGTGGTGGTTTATGCCTATAATCCCAGCACTTTGGGAGGCCGAGGCTGGTGGGCCCAGCTTGGCTAACATGGTGAAACCCCGTCTCTACTAAAAATACAAAAATTAGCTGGGCGTGGTGGCAGGGGCCTGTAATCCCAGCTATTCCGGAGGCTGAGGCAGGAGAATCGCTGGAACCCAGGAGGCAGAGGTTGCAGTGAGCCAAGATCACCCCAATGCACTCCAGGCTGGGCGACAGAGCAAGACTCCATCTCAAAAAAATAAAAATAAAAATAAAATAAAAAATAAAAACAATGGGAGAAGGTGCAACAACAATGGCCACCTGCATCATTGTCTACATCTCTGTTATCAGAAGCAGTAATCAGAGCACAAATCCCTGATATTTGGAGGACAGGGTCTTTTGGCCCACCCTAGCTCCTGTAAGCTGTGTGCAAGCTACTCCAGGAACATATGCACAGCTGTCTGCCATAGGGTTGGAGGTGGGGGATGGGTAGCTGCTACTGCTCTAAGAGCTGATATTGACCAAAATTAAACACAAATTACTGTTCAAGCCTCCCCCTGGAATTTGCAAGCCTTCAATAGACTCCAGAGTTCCAAAATAGTTGTATCAGACAGATTCTGCCAGTGCAATTGTTTTCTAAGAGGGGAAACATTCCTAGTGCTTCCTACTCTGCCATGTTCCTAGAATCCTCCCCTAAAAGTAGTTACTTCAGATCTGTAATCCATTTAGAGTTAGTTTTTATATAAGATGTAAAATTTAGATTGAGGTTCTTTTTTTGCCTGTGGATTTTCACTTGCAACACTGTTTGTTTGTTGAAAAGACTGTCATTTTACCATTGAGTTGCCTTTACACCTTTCCAAAAATGTAATGGCCGTATTTGTAAGGTCTCTTTATTTTGTTACACTGATCTGTGTCCACCCGTTCACCAATACTACATGATCAATTATTGTAGGTATTTACTAAGTCTTAAGATGGTGTAATTCCTCCAACTTTTTTCTTATTTTTTGAAATTGTTTTAGCTATTCTAGTTCCTTTGCCTTTTCATATAAACTTCAGAATCAGCTTGTCTGTATCTAGAAAAAAAAACCCTACTGAGATTTTTATTGGCAATGCATTAAATCTATAGATCACTACAGGGAGAATTACTATGTTGAGTCTTCTAATTCATGCACATGGTATGTCTATTTAGGACTTATTTGATTTCTTTAATCAGTGTTTTATAGTTTTAATCTTTTTTTGAAATGGGGTCTTGCTATGCTGTCCAGGCTAGCCTCAAACTCCTGGGCTTAAGTGATCCTTCTGCCTCAGCCTCCCAAGTAGCTGGGACCACAGGCATGTGCTACCATGCCCAGCTGTTTTATAGTTTTTAGCACAGGGATTCTATATATATTTCATTAGATTTATACCTAATATTTCCTAGTTTTTAGAACTATTGTAATTTTTTTTTTTTTGAGATGGAGTTTTGCTCTTGTTGCCCAGGCTGGAGTGCAGTGGTGTGATCGCAGCTCACCGCAACCTCCACCCCACTGGGTTCAAGCAATTCTCCTGCCTCAGCCTCCCAAGTAGCTGGGATTACACACATGCACCACCATGCCTGGCTAATTTTGTATTTTTAGTAGAGACGAGGTTTCTCCATGTTGGTCAGGCTGGTCTTGAACTCCCAACCTCTGTTGACCCGCCCGCCTCAGCCTCCCAAAGTGTGGGATTATAGGCGTGAGCCACCACACCCAGCCTTTTGAAATCTTGGTCTCCACTTGTGTATTAGTTTATAGAAATTCAGTTGATTTTTGTGTATTGACCTTGTCTCCTGTGATCTCACAAAATCACTTTAGTTGTAAGAGGATTTTTTTGATAGATTACTTGGGGTGTTTTTGTTTACTTATTTTTGTTTTGTTTTTGTTTTGAGGTAGAGTCTCACCTTGTTACCCAGGCTGGAGTGCAGTGGTGCAATCATAGTTCACTGCAGCCTCAAATTCCTGAGCTCAAGCAGTCCTCCCATCTCAGCCTCCTAAGTAGCTGGAACTATAGGTACATGCCACCATTCCAGCTAGTTTAATTTTTTGTAGAGATAGGATCTCACTATGTTTCCCAGGCTGGTCTCTAACTTTTGTCCTCAAGCAATCCTCCTGCTTGGGCATCCCAAAGTGATGAGATTACAGACATGAGCCCCTGTACCAGGTGTGTTTTTGTTTTTAATGCAGACAAGCACATATTGTCTATACATAGGAATAATTTAATTTCTTCCTTTCCTAACGTATGCATTGTATTTCATTTTCTTGCCTTATTGCTTTATCCAGGATTTGCAATACAGTGTTGAATAGGCATGGTAAGAGTAGATGCCCTGACCTTGTTCCTGATTTTAGGGGGAAAGCATTCAGTCTTTCATTTTAAAATACAACATTCGTTGCCAGTTTTTTTGTAGTCATTTAACTTTTTAACATTCCCTTCCCACTAGGATGTATGCTCCATCAAAGCAGGCTCTCTCTGCTCTCAGCTCAACTCCCAGTGCCTGGCTTAGTGCCTAGCAGAGAGTAGGCCCTCAATAAGTATTCGTGGAAAAAAAATGAAGATTTAGTACTTCTCTACTTCGCTAACTTAGCCAGCCACAATCAGGGTTCTGTATGACAGACAACAGAGGGACTTGGCTGAATATGCACGACATTAGAAGAATAATCTTACAATAAATACCCCAACAGATCCAACTAGGCATTGGCCCCATAGAGTTGACAATCTTAAGCTGCAGAGCATTTGTAGATCAGCTTTTCTGCAAGCTATCCTGTGTCAAAGCATTTATCTATGAGGAATAGATGACCGCAGTATAATAATTATTTCAGATCAAGAGCATTCCATTCCCAAAAGGAATTTAAACAAAAAGCTTTCAGCTCTGAAAAACAGGGGTTTTCAGGATAGAGAATCCCATTGCTCTGAAATCTTAGGCCCTCAGATGGGTGGGGTTGTTTCGCTAAATTTATTTCAGCCACTTATAGAAACAGAAGGGGGAAGAAGGGGGTGGGTGCCTGCACACCAACCCTGGCTCTGTAGCATTAATATCTGCCGGGTTCAGGCTTTTATTTGGGTTTTGTTTTACGTTGCGGGGCTGGAGAGACAGGCAGGCAGCAGGAGTGTCTCACAAATGCACGACTTTCAAATTGCAGTTTCCTACCTTTCTCCATGTACGTTATCGAGAGAGAGAGAGAGAGAGAGAGAGAGAGAGAATCTGCTTGCTTTCTTTCCGGCACAAGTGTGAGTGGAGGGAAACTGGGGTATTTGTCCCTGGCCCCCATGAGAACCCCTACCCAATCCCACACACACATACCTCCAATGGCTCTACTACTTGAATTTTAGGGGTTGTTGGATATAAAATTCAGGCCTTTTAAACCGTGTTTACCTCCTCCCCAGCTTCCCCAAAGCACTGAACACACATTCTCCTTAGTCCCTGATACCTGAACAATCTCTTCTGCCACCCAAACCCCTATAACTAGAAAAAGGATTTGAAATGATGTTGCTTTTTTGGCCTGGCGTGGTGGCTCACGCCTGTAATCCCAGCACTTTGGGAGGCTGAGGCAGGTGACTCATGAGGTCAGGAGTTCAAGACCAGTCTGGTCAAAGTGGTGAAACCCTATCTCTATTAAAAATACAAAAAATTGGCCAGTCGTGGTGGCAGGCACCTGTAATCCCAGCTACTTGGGAGGCAGAGGTTGCAGTGAGCCGAGATAGCGCCACTGCACTCCAGCCTGGGCGACAGAGTAAGACTCCATCAAAAAAAAAAAAAAAAAAAAAAAGAAATGATGTTGCTTTTTTCAAACTTGTTTTTTGCTAAATTTGAAATACTTTACAAAGCACAGGTTAATGACCTCCCACAGATGTAAGGGGAAACTGAGGCACAGGAGCAGGAGGTGGCAGCAGGTGACCCGCACCTACTGCAAGTGGCTGAGATTGAAGTCCAGTATTGATGTCCAGTCCTTGGCTGGCTCTCAGAGGTTCCTGGCTGAACTCAGGACTAGAGAAAGCCTGGGCTCTGTATCTGGGGGCTTGCTGCTGCCTGGCTGCTGCTGTTTGCTGGCAGAAAGAGGAGACATGCATGAGGAAGCTAAGAAATCTGCTGTGCCCGAGACTTGAATAACTACATGAGAACATGGGGAAGTACCGTGCACAGTGCCCAGCCCATGGGAACCCAAGTGCCAGTTTTCTTCCTTGGCTGGGTCACCAAGGAAGGTGGGAGAAGGAGCGTCTGTCCTCTCCTCTCTCTACCCCTGAGGCGGGAAGACTGGCAGGGACTGGTGGGAGGGAGGGTGGCCTGGGGCAGATGCTGGGGAGAGGCCTGGTTTGCAGATAATCCAGGGGGGTCTTGCTCTAAACTGTGGGGTCATCTTCAGGGCAAATCAAGGGATTCACACTTACTAGTAAGCTGTAAAGTGTTCACAGGTAAACCAAGGTACTATTTTGTCCTAGCATCAGTGAGTTTGCTTTGGAATTATCCTCCACTACTCCCTAGCAAGGCCCTGGTATGGCCAACTCCACCCTGAGAGCTGTTCTTTTGAGAAACAGGAACCTCCCCAGCCAGAGCAGAGATCAGACAGCTCTTGGAGGGTTGCCATGTGGACAGCCGGCGGGGGAGTGAGAGAGGACGGGTCTTTGCCACAGCCCTGTGACTTCTTTAGTGCTGAGTTTCTCCCACCAACTGCACCCTCCACCCCGGGGTACTGTGGGCCCCCAAACCAGGGCCTGCTCTTGTCTGACCAAAGGCAACCAGATCTGCTGCAGCTGCTGGGTGAGGAAACAAGCTCTCCCAGAGACCAGGGAAGCAGCTGGAGAAAGATTCCTGCCAGCCCCGGGGGTGTAAATATTTATACAACGTGGTGCTGGTGCGTGGGAAGAGGGAAGGCAGAGCGAGGTGGCAGGAATGAGGAGGCACTGACACGGACAGATTTAAGGAGGCTGCACTTGGGGCCCAGCTAGGAGTGAGGCGGCCCAGGCAGGAAGGAGCAGGAGGCTGCTGGGATCCTAATCCCCACTTGAATTCCTATGTCAAAGAGGCTGGGTCTTTGCCCCCAGCTCTCCTGCCACAGTCAAGGGGAGCAACTTGGAAGAACATTCATCACCCATCCCCTAGTCATTCCTCCTGTTGATTATAGCCCTCTATATAAAGCAGGAGGCACTGCCTGGAATCAGAGATAAACCAAGTCCACAGGGCCTAGGAGTAAGGGCCTTTGGCCTCCTGAAGTTTATGCTTTTCGGGTCTTAAAGGATGCTGGACCCCGAGAGTTGGACTCCAGAGCTAAAGGCTTAGAAAATATAAACAAAATACAAAATGTAAGCAAAGAGTTGTCTCAAGCCTTTATATAACCAACAGCACTTCCCTCAAGTGACAGGGAACACTGTGCATTGATGAAGATGATGAAGGACAGATGGGACCCAGAAAGAGAGCAAGGTGTGCCTATGGAAACAGCCCTCAACCACACTTGCCAGAGAAGCAGGTGGCCACCATCAGCACAGAGCCTAGAAAAGATAAGGCAGTCCAGTGGGTGTCTACCTGGAGCTCTTGAGCCCCCTCACCCCAGGATGCCGCTCAGCTCCGGGTGTGCCCAGGCAGAGCACTGATCCACCGGCCCCTCAGCCGCACCCACTGAGGACTGACGCCCCAGGATGGGAAGCATGCCTGGACCGGTGGGGACAGCCAGATGGACTCCAGTCGATTTGCCTTGGACAGCTGGGGAGCAGGGCCCAGGATGCTCCCACCCCACCCCACCACTCCAGACAGGGAGGGGTGTGGTTGCAATTTCTAGGATTTCTCTGCCACTATGCCCATCAAGAAGTGCCACCTGCCTCATCAGTACCAGGGCTGACCCTCAGAGCCTCCCACAGGTGGGGTTTGCCCAGCGGCCAAGAGTCTTTAATACACCCCACAATTACCAGCCTCTTCTAGCATTCCCCCTGCACCCTCAAAATGACCACTGGCCAAGGGCTGTGATAGTGGGAAAAAAGGACTTTCCACTGGAAAACTGCCTCTGTCTCCCCAGCAGACACCTCTGGATGCCCAGGTCAACTTCAGCCACTGAGTCAGAATTGAAGGAAACCCAGACTCGGGTCCCAGGAGGCAGTCCCTATGCTGCAAAGTCTTCAAACACAGCACCGAGTTTTGTAAGGAATACATTCCCAGTGGGTGCAACTCCATGGAGCTCCAGCCTTTCCTGGTCTAACCTGGTTAATCCTCCAACCCACAGCCCGAAGGGTGGATTCCATTGCCTCCCCGAGCCATGAAGTCCCAGGCCCACACACTGTGGAGGAGACACCATCTGCCCCAACCCTCAGCCCAGGCCTGGCAGACAACATCAACCCTAACAGGGAGAGCAGCACTGTCCCCATCCCCCTCCCCAGAAGGACACCAGGGCTGGGAGGAGAATCTTCAGGCGCCCAAGACCTCTTCTGCCGCCGTGGCTCTGCCTGCCGGCTGTGGCCTCCTCCTTGCCAGCTCTGCTTAAACAGATGAACAAGAATAAAAGCTGTGTGACCCAAGGAAAGCTTTAGGGAAAAGAACTGAAGCTGAAAGGGAAAAAAAAAAAATCCCAAAAAACTCTTAAGAAATGGGAGAGGATCAGAATTCAAGAAACAGACAAAATAAATCATCCAGGAATCCAGATGTAAAACAAGGCAGGCCAAAAGAAAATAAAAATTATGCTAAGAAGGCAGAGTGAGGTGGGGAAAGGAGCTGAGAAGGATAAAGAGGGGGCCAGTTATAAATATTCTGAAAAGGGAGAAGAATGTCAAAGCAAACAACACCCAAAAAATTTTTTTTTAAAAGACCCAGGAGAGAAAAGGAGGCAGCAGTGAATTTAAAACAACTGCCCTGATCCCAACCAAATCCACTCAGTAATGTTCTGGGTGACTACAAGTGAGTCTTAGGGCTTTTGTATATGTGTGGATTTCAGACTCTTCCTAACACTGAACAAGGACAGTCCTAGAAAAGCAAGCTTTCCTTCTCGCCTTTGTGTTTCCTAACTTTTCCCACCTCACCCCCGCTGTTAGTCTGTTGCAGAGAAAGGGCTAGTCTTCCTGGGACAAGGCCAAAAACCAGTCCAACTCACCCCAGAGTAGGGTGGCTGCCATCATGATACCCTATGGCTGGCTCACTGGAGAATTTGAGCAGGAGCCCTGTGCCAGGAGAACATCAGGTATGAGTAGAGCGGTGTGATCAGCTTTTCATCTAGAGAGAGGTCCGGCCCAGCCACCTTTCTGTGGATAAGGGCTCATCTAACTCACAGACACACCATTTCTAGAAAAACAGAGGTTCATGGCAGATTGGCATACCCACCTCTATGCAAAGCCAGAGAAATCCCAGCAAATGCAACTTTTGTTAACAACTAAAATGATTTAAATTAATTTCCAGGTGTTCCCAAGGGAGCCTAAAGACAGCCACAACCATCGTTCTGGTTGGCAAACAGCTTCTTGAAATTCAATGCCTCAATGCCTTGTGTCCATAAACCCCATGAAAACTTATGGAAGATGCTAGTCCTTTGTCGGCTTGGCTTCTTTCAGCCTTCTAACTGTTCTCTGTCTTCTGTAATTCTGTCAGTGCCTCCCTTCTCCATGACTGCTTTGGTTTTTCCAATTTCCTTACTTAATCAAACCTCTGCCCACTCTTCGTTTCCCTAAGGGAGCAGGAGTTGGGAGAAAGCTGAAGCAAACCCAGGCAAAATCCAGAAGCAAAGAAAGTAACACATGGGTGTTGGGTTTAGTGGCCAGCTGTGCAATTCCCAGGCTGTCCTCAGTGGGTGAGGCAGGATCCCCATAGACAGGCGGCTCACCAAGCACCTTATACTGCTCCTCCCAAGTTCAGCCACACCCTGAGCTCTGATCAGCTGGGACAAGGAAAATGGTACTCATGTCAGCCCATCTCCCTCCAAAAATTCTTACATACTTGACCCTGATACTTCTATATATTCCAAAAGTAACATTTTTTTTTTCTATCAAAAACTGAGAGGTGACAAAAAGTGCAGAAGGATGAATGTCTAAGTTGTGGCCTTACACACTCAGCTTCTTGCCATCCCTCCTAACCTTCAACCTGTCACAGTCATATAATCTATGACTCAAACTATTCTTTAACCATGAAAAAAGACAAACCAGGAAATTATAGGCTGAAATACCTAAAATTTATTCTATTCAACTGAACGAATCTCCTAATAAGTGTGTGTATATTGAGAAGTCATGCTCTACCTGTTTTGAAAGACATGGAAATTTCAGGAAAAGTGCAAGGTGACAGCAGATCGCAGCTTGTCGAGATTTGTCCTCAAAAGGGTAAGTGCCTGGTCTTGGGCCGAGTTGCCCAACAGTTTGTTAAAGGAGTCTTAAGAGCTGGGAACCGGTATGTTGCCATGGAGCACACCAACTCAATGTTCAAGCTGACCATATTCAAAGTCTGGCACTGCCCCCTCCTAGGCAAGCAGAGGACTCACCTGCCTCCCTCAGTCTCCTCCTTTGTGAAATGGCGATGACAACAATACCCATCTCCTGGGGTTGCTGTGAGGACAGATGAGCAAAGCATTTGGCACACTCTTGGGTATGAGGTCCCCTCCAAAAAAAAGGAACCCAGTCAACTTTTGTTGTTAAGCAGCAACTGGCAAGACCAAGAAGAGCCCTGGAGGCCCCACAAAGTGGGATTCCATAGAGCCACTGGAGCATAGTCAAGTATCCCAAGCAAGAGAGAGGAGAGGGTCCCAGAGGAGGCCCAGGCAGCTGGCGGGTGGAGCACTGGTCGGGAAAGCCAAGGACAGGCACTCGCAGCCAGGGCGGCTGTGTGGGTGGGAGGACGCAGGGGGCTGCGCTCCAGTCTCCCCTAATTAGCTCAACCTGGCTACATCCTTACCATTGCATGTGTTCATCCTTATGTGAAACGGAGCCCATATTGACCTAGCACCCAGTATGTGCAAGGCGCTGGCTGAATAGGGAGCTGCAGCGGGAGATTTCAGCGTGATCATCACCTCAGAGACTTAATAACTGGGTGTTTCTGCCCAGATTCAGAAGTCTGTCCTTTTGTGAGCTGGATTGTAAGGAGATGACCAGATGCTGAGAAATTTTTATTTGGAGGCTGATTTTTTTTTTCTTTCAGTAAGTGGAAAAGCAAAGAATTTGAAAGTGTTTTGGGAAATCTGAACACCAGTTGAATCTTGGTAATGTTTAGGGGGTATTATTAATTTTTAGGTGGAATAATGATAATGTGGCTAAGTTTGACAAGAATCTATTCTTTGGGGATAAAGAATGAACTTTTTTTTTTTTTTTGAGACAGAGTCTTGCTCTGTTGCCCAGGCTGGAGTGCAGTGGCACAATCTCGGCTCACTGTAACCTCCATCTCCCGGGTTAAAACGATTCACCTGCCTCCCAAATAGCTGGGACTACAGGCACACTCCACCACGCCCGGCTAATTTTTGTATTTTTAGTAGAGACAAGGTTTCACCATATTGGCCAGGCTGGTCTCAAACTCCTGACCTCAACTGATCCGCCCACCTCGGCCTCCCAAAGTGCTGGGATTACAAGCATGAGCCACCACACCCGGCCCAGAAGAACTATTGACAGATGAAATGATATGATGTGATATACAGGATATACTTCAGAATTGTACAGGAGGTAGGGCGGTGGATGGTGGCACTGATGAACAGGTTTGGCCATGAGTTGGTGATGCTGAGACTGGGTGGGTACACGGGGTTCATCATATCACTCTGTCTCCTTCTGCATATATTTGAAATTTTCCATAATAAAATGTTTTAAGTTCAGAAAAACTAAAAATGTTTTAACTCAATGATTCTTGTCTTACTAGCACTTGCAATACAGTATTTACTTCCTACAGACGTGTTCTTGGACAAGAAATGAAGCTATGGAAAAACCTGTCAGGGAGGGCTGGAGAACAGATGGACACCCCCACCCGAGGTCAGAAAAGCAACCTACACAGCCCTCCCCACACTTATGTGGGGACCAAGAGTGGGGTCCTGCCCCTCTGGGCCTCTTGGGCTGGAAGAGTACAGGCAGAAGGACTGATGTCCATTTTGACACTGCTTTTAAGCTCAGTAAAAATTACTATAAAATTGGTTTCAATATATTTTTAAAGCACAATGAACTTTTTTTTTTATTTCCTCAGCAGAAAGCCATCATAGCAGGGTAGGCAAGCTACTCAACCTTTCTAACCTTACTTTTCACAACAGGAAAATGGGGATACTTACATATCCCCCATTTCCCAGGGCATGAGGGTGAATGAGATCAGTGTGTCGAGTGCCTAGCACAGTAAGAACTGTAACAGGGTGGGTCTAATATGTGGCTTTTTTGTGGCTGTTAAGCCTCTGAGAGGACCACAGTAGAGCCACCCCATCGTGAACACTCTGAATTTGAATGCTTTTCTTAAACATTTAAATTAAATAAAAATCAAGGCACACATCCTCTGAAACCCCTTTGGGCCAGGTACCTTGCTGGGTGTCAGCCCCTTCAAGTGTCACAGAAGCCATGGCTGTGCTCAGCGCCCCCCAGCCAGAGGAGCTGCCCAGGCTCTGGAAAGAACAGGGCAGTTGGGATAGAGCCACCACAGCTCTCTCTAGTTGAAGAATTACTTGGAAAATGAAGAGTAAGGCACTGCCCACTCTGGTCCATGGCTTTGAATGTCAAAATGCACCCCCAGAAAGCAGACCTGCAGCAGACCAACCCTTCCCAAAGATGGGGTTCAGGGTCCTCTAGACAAACAGCAGACCCTGGGCGTGGCAACATCTCCCAAAAAGGAGCTGAGTCTCAGGCAAGTGGTCCCTGAAGGCCTCTATACACCACAATGTACCTTCACTGGTGCAAAGGCCCTGCCAAATGGCTGTGCAAAAGTGGCCAGGCAAGAGATACAGTTCTAAGAAGAAATCAAGGAGCCATGGCACGCAGGACTCCCAGGAGAGGCAGGTGGCCTGCACAGCCAGTTCACGCTCCAGGCTACTGTGTGGGTGGCCTCCTGCTGACAAGCTTCAGCCAGAAGCGGGTATTTGGGACTTTGGGTGACAAGACTGGAGGAGACAAGGGAACCTAAGCAGAAGGTCATCCAGACCACCGTCAGAGTGGCCACACCAAGTCTTTGGGTTCTTGCTCTAAGTCTGCCAGCCAGATGAAGGGATGGAGGATTCACATCCAGCCACATCTTGACCCTGCTGATTCTGGAGGAGAATGGATGGAGCCCTGCACTGGCTCCACCTGCTCCCTCTTCTCCCATAAGAGGAAACAAGAAAGGAGGCTGGAGAGCCCAAGACAAAACTCAAGAATGTTCTCGAAAGGTCCTTGGGCTTTGAGACCTTCACAATGCAGTCATAAGATTATCCTGAGCTTCTGAAAGCCCCCTGGCTCCAGAGAAGAGAGCAATCTCTGGCTGCTAAACCTTGAGTGCAAAGGCTAAGGGCACGCCGGGGCCAGAATGCCTGGGTTCAAATCCTAGCTCTGCTATGTATTAGCTCTGTAACATTGGGCAAAGTACTTAACCCCTGTTTCCTCCTCTGTAAAATGAGGATAACTATGGCCCTATAGGGCAGAGTCGTTGCCTAGAACAGTAGAGAACTCAAAATTAATTTAGCAAGGGGCCCTCCTCTGCCCAGTGGGATGTGCTACTATTGACCCCATGGGGTTCTGGAAGAAATCAACATGCTACTACAATGGAAGGCATTTGAAGGAAGTGGAAAGTTTTCACAGAAAGTAGCCCAGAGACATGCACAGAGTGCTGCTCTCTGTGCAGACCAGAAACCCCAAAGATTTGTGCCTCTTTCTGTCAGAATGCAGCTTTCTGGAGCCCACCGGGCTATAGAAGCTGCATGGCGTCTGGAATGGGAATGGGTTGGCCTAGTCTTCCCCTGGAGGTATGGAGAGGAAAGGTGACACTTTCAGGCTTTGTGCAGGACAAGCAGAGAATATCACTCAAATCCAAGCTGGCTGCCCTGTGGGGGACACAGGCCCATGCCGGCAGGCCTGGGGAGAGCCACCGCTTGCTGAGGTTAGGCCAGCACCAGTGGGTGTGAGGAACCCACCTCCAGTCTCAAGAGCAGGGTTGGGCTTCCCTGGATGGGGAGGAAAGGGTTAAGCCGGCTTGGGCTCTGGAGGGAAAGCACTCGGCAGCTATAAACAGAGAGCCTAGGGAGGGAGGGGGCTGACAGGATGTGGCCAGGGCTCGAGCTGTCTGATTATTAACTTCACTTTTATTTGGAGGGGGATTTGATTCTCTGTTTTACTTCCCATCAAGGAAGTGAAAGCCCAGGTCTCAGAGGGGCCTGGTTTCAAATTGTTTTGTCACAGCTCATTTATTTTTCCTTTTAAATAAATAAACAAAACCACCTCTTTGTTTTCCCCTTAATGAGCATTCAGCAAATCATCTGTGGGTGAGGCATGAACGGGGTTTTCTGGAGTCCTTCATGGGAGAACATTTGGCTTATTATTTTAAAAGGAAAAAGCAAGGATGTCTCCTTTAGCTCCCAGTCTTCTCCAAGGCTGTGAAGGCACTTTCTCTTTTGCCTCCTCTGAAATACCGACCTAGACCAGCGAGGAGTCTGAAATCACAGCCTCAAGCTCGGCCAAGGCCCCAGGAGCTTCCTTGGTTGGACCTTGGGGCTGGACCCGCAGCCTGCCATTCCATCTGACAGGCCCTGACCCTGAGGCCACGCAGAGGAAGCACCCAGCACGGGCTCAGTGGTTTGTCTTCTTGCTTGGGCTCAGACCCATGGCTTTTGTTCCTCTGACACCCTGACATTTCTACTAAAATAACAAAGCAATTAAACACACAAAAGGATTCCATGACAGCCTTAAAAAACACCATTACATGTTCCTTTACCCAAGGTTGAAAACATTTGGGAACTTGATTTCCAACATCAAAATCCAGATCAAAACCCATTCAACAATCCCATGATCCCCTTGCAACAACCCTTTCCTGGCCAGTATCACAGGGTGCCGACCCTCACAGGGTCTCACAATTCAACAATTCAGTGAGAGAGGATGCAGCAACAAAGACTGTAACGAAAAAACAAGAGAGTCTAGGGTCTCACATCAACAATTCAGTGAAAGAGGATGCAGCAACAAAGACTGTAAGGGAAAAACAGGAGAGTCTACAGCTGAAGCTACTGCTACTCAAGGTGGGCAGAGAACGGAAGAGACGGATTCTGTTGGAAACTAAGAGGGGAAATCCAGGAAGGCTTCCTGGTGGAGCTGATCTTTAAGCTGAACCTTGAAGGACTGGTAAGATGAACGGATGTTCTGGAACCTGAGAAACACCCAAGTACCAGAGAGACAGCATCCATGTGTGAACTACTCTAGACAGAGGCAACAGGCGTGGTGGGGCCTGGGGCTCCTCAGAATGGCACCTCAAGTCCCCATGGTGGTCAGGGACTGGAATGCATCGGCCGCCTGCAGCCAGCTCCGCGGGGCCAGTCCCTGACCTCTGGCTCGGAGATTGGTGTGCCCGGTGAAGGAGTTGCCCAAGCATCTTAGGCAACCAGATACTACGCCTGGCCTTGGACCCTGCCACTTGCCTGCCCCACAAAAACCTGCTGACCGCTGTGACCTACTTTAACGCCCTCTGACTTCCCGCTCTTTGAATATGGGGCAAAAAGAAGAAGGGCGACTGGCACCATCCAATTCACTTGAGGCTCGGAGGCTCAGGCCTGCCTTCCTGGCGGCTACTGGGGTGGCGTTTCCCAGCACCCCCGGGAAGCTACCAAGGTCCAGGGCTCTCCTGGGCTTCTGCGACGCCCACGCACTCCTGCGGCCGAGCTTCGCGGTCGGGCTCTCCCGTCGCCACCCCGGCGTCTGCTCAGCCGCGAGCGAGAACCAAGCCGGGCCGGGCGCGGGGCCCGGGCGAGGCCGCCAAGATGGCCGACGCGCTCGGCAGCGCGCGGATCACGCGGGAAGGCTGCCCTTGGCCTCCCGGGAAACAGCCAAGGTTCCGCCGCCCTCCTTGGCGCTCTGCCCCGGCCGGCCTGCCGGGATCTCCTCCCCGGCGCGGTCTGCGGCTCCCGGGGCCTCGCAAACCTTCCAGGCCCGAGGCCATCCAGACGTGCACACCAGGCCCGGCCCGCGAGGGGAGACACAGGGGCCGGGGCTGCGGCGGCTGAGCTCCCTGGGCGGCTCGGAACGCAAGGGGCCGGCGAGCCGACGCTGCTGCAGGAGGCTGCGGCGTGGGGCGAGGTTCTCGCTACGGCTTCGTTCCCGTCCTCCCGCGGCCGCTCTCCCCCGGAAGCCCTCGGAGGCAGCACGATGGACGTGGCCACACTGCCCTCCAGTGGCCAGCTCGCCGAACAACACGTCTGGGCCCCTTTTGGGGGTCTGGGTGACGTGTCCACCCTCTCTCTGCCCTTTGCTACATTTGAAGGTGGGGTTTGCTCATCCATGGTTCCTCTTACAGGTCACCAAAGCTGCCACAGTGCACACTCACCCAACAGCAGGGGATTTGCCGCCTTCGGTGGTTCTCAAACTTCAGTGTGCACAGGAATCCCCCCTTGGACAGTTCTTTCAAACCCGGATTGCTGGGTCCCCCAACCAAGTCAGAGAATTTGCATTTCTAACAAATCCTCAGGCGATGCTGAGCTGCTGGTCCGCTGGTCCTGGAGCCACACTTAGAGAACCACTGGCTCGGCTCACTCTTTCTCTCACGGGGTTTCTGTCATCTACTCATTTAATACAGAATATGTCCTGCTAGCCCCGGAGGACGAGTGGACGGAACAACTTTCTCACCCCTCGCGGAGCTTAGTCTAACGGAGGAGACAGACTTGTTTCAACAAATCACCTAGAAAGAAATATAAGATTCCATTTGAAAAGACTTTCAAATTCCTATGAAGGAAAAGAATCAGGTGCTCAGAGAACATATATAAATGGGGCACTCATTTAGATTTGGGATGGGAAGGTTCTTGAGGAAGACCTCTCTGAGGAAACCCTTAAGCTGAGGCCAGGAGGAGGGATGAGGTCCTGAGGGGAATGGGGAGGGGACTGGAACTGGCAGGAGGAGCAGGTAAGATGCAGACCCTGTCTGTAGAAGCAGAGACTGGTAGGGGGCCAGGCAGGGGGTCACAGCCTCCTAGGCCCATGCCTCTGGTACCCACAGAGCTGCCTCCTCAGAAGGGCAGCATCCAGGGGAGAAGAGGGCCTGCCTGCATGCTCAGATCTTAGCTACCCCCGTCAGTGCCAAGAAGAATGCTCCACCTTGAGGAACCCCAGCCAGGTGCCCACAGCCCACAAACTTCTCTTTGCCTGAGCAGATTTATGTAGGTACCTTCTGTAAGGCCTGAAGGGCAGTCACATCTGATGGAACCAGGTCTGCTGAGTAATGATGAACAGACATGATGTTACCATCTACCCATCAATGCCCTCAGTGTGCCATCTCCTCCCTCCTGCAGTCCAGGATCCAGCTGTTTCTCCAATGAGCATTTTTAAGCACCTACTATGTGCTCTGCACTAGGATCACTGCAATGCTCTGTGGGGCATGGCACAAAGAGGCCAGCCTGCCCTAGGAGGCGCCAAGCACCCTGGAGGGCAGGTAGGTGGAGTACACCCTCCCCGCCCCAGTCTCAGCTCCAGCCTGCTGTGTGCACCCCCACCCCACCCAAACATCCCTGGGGTCACTCATTGCAGGTGGGCCAGGCTGACAAATGGCAGCCAGGAATTCTAGTGTTCTAATGATTCTTACTTTGTATCAATGCCAGCTTGATGGCAGGGGCCAGGATGACCACCAACCACTGCCACTTTATCCCTTGTGCTGACAAGGAGGTATCATCCCATTAATCCTGTTACCTTGCTCAGTCCCTTCTGTCCCGTTTTCACATCTGAAAAATGTGGGGTGCGGATGAGTTGTGTTAGATGATCTCCAAGGGTTTCTGATCCATGCCTAGCCCACCAGTGCACTGTTGGAGAGATGGACGAGAACAGCCCTGCCCAATGACCCCATGACCCTAGCATTATGCAAAGCAAGGCCTTTGTCGTTAACAGACTCCAGGTTAGGGGAAGGGAGCGGGGAGCAGCTGAAAAACTATGTGCAGCTTTAGAATCAATCAAATCAATCCAACTCTATTCCTGACTCTGTGATAGCCAGTAAGTGGTTTAACTTCTCTGAGCCTGTTTCCTCATCTGAGAAATGGGAATAGCATGGTACCTACCTCACTGGGCTGTTCTGAAGATTACTGATAATAGCTACCACTTAGCAAGTGCTTGATCCGTGCCAGGCAGCACACTAGAGGCTTCCCATCCACTCCATGAGGTCATGTGCAGAAGTACTGGTCCCATGCCAGCAAGGAGTAGGGCTCCATCACAGTTGTTAACGCATGACACCCCTACTGCTCTGCACACATATATTTATGTAGTCCTACGGCCCTACTGCTCTGCACACATATATTTATGTAGTCCTACGGCCCTACTGCTCTGCACACATATATTTATGTAGTCCTACGGCCCTACTGCTCTGCACACATATATTTATGTAGTCCTACGGCCCTACTGCTCTGCACACATATATTTATGTAGTCCTACGGCCCTACTGCTCTGCACACATATTTAACAGGCGAAGGGGCTTAGCAAGCTCTTGGCACATAATAAGCACTCAATAAACGGTGGGCTTCATCATTAGCCAGAGAGAAGGGACTCTGTGAGGAGGTCCTACAGAAGGAGAAATATGGAGAAGTGGGTGACCCAAGATGATGGCTCACACACCTCTCCCAGGAGGGCCAGCCCCATGCCTAGCTAGGCAGTTCCCTGGCTAGGACGTCAGCTCTTACTCACTCTTTCCAGAGAGCAGCTAATTAGCCTCCCAGCAGCCAGGAGCTCTCCAGATGAAAGGTGCTTAATACAAGCTCAAGGCGTAACTCCCATATGTATAACTAAGGTTCCCTGAGGTGAGGAAGGCCCCAGGGCGGAGAGACAGGCCAGATCAGGGCCTCGCCTTCTTTATGACGGAGGTTCCCAGGGAAGGGAGCCGGCTGGGGTGGCAGTGAGCCTGAGAAAGGGCTCGGGGTGGTGGGTGTGCGGCTTCAGAGGGAGCCCCTCCCTGGGAGTGGGCGGGGCCCGGTGGCTGAGGAGGCAGAGTGAATGCTTCAGGGCCCAAGCTGCCTCCCAGAGTGGGAGCTCCAGGTCAGAAGACAGCTTAGAACTGGGTGGGTCAGAGCGAGGGCTTTGCTGCTGGGCTGCCAGGTCAGAATCCCAGCTCTGCTATGGCCATTCCATGTCCCAGAGCCTCAGCTTCCTCCTCTGTAAAACGGAGATAATGATAACATTGACCTCACAGCTATTTACTGACAGCACTTAGTACAGACAGGACCTGGCACCCACTACGTAAAGAATGAGGATTTGTACATTTGTTCATTTAACAGATATTTATTGAGTACCTGCTATGTGCCAGGCACTGGGTGTTAGAAATACAGTCATGAACAAAACAGATCCATTTTCCCTTGATTCTGTAGGGAAGATAGACCACAGACCCCAGAACCAAGAGATCGGTAATACACTGCCTGGCAGTGACCTGCGCTGTGGGAATCGGGTATGAGGATGGGGTCAGGTGTCCAATACAGCGGCAGAAGAGCAGGTACCCAGGCAGATATGGGCAGATTAAGAAACGAACCAGGGTTGAAGGGCCAACCCAAAGTGCGCAGCAAATCAGAGGCGGGAGCCTGGGCCTGCAGCATAGGAATGTTCACCCACAGCTGCTGAAGCAGCCGCAGCAGCTCCCTCTGCCCCTGACTAAGGGGTGTGCCCAGCGAAGCCACCTGCCCTCACCTCCCCCTTGGCTCCTGCCCCTGACTCCCGCAGTCTGGAGTCCAGCAAGGCAAGGGAACTGACACAGCCCCCAGGGTCACGATGGCTTCCATTCTTTGACATTCACCAGTGTCACTGGCTGAGCTCAGGCTACACGGCCATCTTCTCTTTGAAGCCTCCAAACCAGCTGGTGAAGTCAGTAGCACCCCTGTGTTTTTTATCAAGGTAAGGTTCACATAACATAAAATGAAGCATTTTAAAGTGAACACTTCAGTGGAATTTAGTATATTTACAGGGTTGTGGAACCTCCGCCTCTGTCTAGTTCCAAAACATTTTTATCACCCCAAAAGGAAACCCATACCCACTAAACAGTTGCTCTCCTTTCCCTCCTCCCCCAGGCCCTGGAAACCACCCTCTACTTCCTGTCGCTATGGGGTTGCCTATTCTGGATACTTCACCTATCCAGAGCTTTTGTGTCTGGCTTCTGTCACTTAGCATCATGTTTTCGAGGTTTATCCAGGTTGTAACATGTATTGTTATTACACCTTGGTCTATGGCTAAATAATGTTCCATTGTCTGTAAGCACTCCCATCTTACAGATGAGGAAACAGTCCCGAGGCGCTGAGACTCCCAGCTTGAGTCCACACCGGAGAGACATGGTCCGTGCAAGCCTGCTCCCCAGATGGCCCCATCCTGGCACTGCCGTCTGGGAGGAGGCTGCCCCTGGGGGCATGCTGGTCCCTGAGTGGTGACCTGACCCCTTCTGAGGTTCACTTCTCAGCGCAGGTTCACTTCTCAGCGCAGGTTCACAGGCGAGGGTGCTCTGGCCTCCCAGTCACCCTGATCCAGGCAAGACCATAGCGTGGCCGCAGGGGCCGCCTCCTTGGGGGAATTCCAGCCCCTGGCCAACCACAGACCATAGCACTCCCGGGGGTTGAACCGTTTCTCACAACTGGGTTGTGACAGCTGGGAGGTGCTCAACCCTGGGGGCCAGCCTGGTGGCAGGCCGGGTTGGGAACGCTGTTCCCAGCCAGCTTCCCTAGGCAACATGGCCAGCCCCGTCCAGCAAGTGGACCACTCAGATGGCAGGCATGTACTGAGCACCCACTGTATACCAGCCAGGCACCACGAGGCCTCCAAGGAGCTCCCTTTCTGATGAGGATGAGCCACCCCAGAACAGAAACTGGGTGCTGGGGCCAGGGGCAGGACAGAGGGGTGCTCCGGAGAACAAGCACCAGCACTGAGCCTGGGGAGTTCCCCGCTGGCAGCGCCTGACACAGCCCACACCGGGGATCCCTGGCCTCAGGAAAGCAGGGCTGTCACATCAAGAAGGCCATGACATAAGGGCCCCTACCAACGTCCAGCCTTAGGTGGAGGGCACAGATATGGCAATACACAGGACCCTAGAATGCCTGCCTGGGGATGCCCACCTTGGCCCACTTGATGGCCAGTTGAGACTCAGTGTGCACTGTCCACACACCCTGTTCTGACACTGACTGCCTAGTGTCCAATTATTCTTCCATCTCACTCATTCAGTGCCAGTTACTCTACTGAGCAATAAGGATATAACATTTTAAAAACAAAACAAACATGTTCCTGTCCTCTAGAAGCTTAAAATAGAGCAAACTGAGAAGGAAACTAATAATGACCACCTTGCCAGGGGCAAGGAGACCAGAGGCAGGGCCCTAACCCACGGGCAGCTGCAGCTGGAATATATGAGACAGTGTGTGTGTGCTCACATGTCCACAGCCGAGCTCACCTCCAGACAGTTATGCACCCCTACCGCTCACCCCATCCCACCTCATCCTCACCAAGGCAGGTCTACTCAGTAAGTCAGGCTGAAAACATGAGCCTGGGGAGTTGGGACTTCTTAACTGCCACCCCCACCTGCACCCCATCCAGGATGAAAGAAGCATTATCCAGCAAGGACATGGCCACTGAAAGTGCCACCAAGGACCGGCCAAGGGGAGGGGAAGGGCTCCCTACAGCCCTTCCCCTGCTGGCTGAGTTGAATGGCCAGGGACTTACCCAGGCTGGTACAAAGCCACTGGCCCCAGGGCCATCCCCTTATAACACAGCACTTCCTGGGTGTCAGTGCATGCTGAGTATGTCACGTGTATTTCTTAAACCACTAAGATTTTACCAGTGACTTATCCAAGGTCACCAGGCCAGTGTGTAGAAAATTTGCATTCTGGTGTGAGCCACTCAAAGGTCCACACCCACATTTCTACACATCCCCTAATAAAAGCCAAGGGGCCCACAACGCTCCCCTGTGAACCTCACATGGCTGCCTGTCTAGGGGAAATGAAGGAAATCCCTTCACACGGAGCCCCTGCCCCAGCCGTGCTCCAGTCCCTCTCTTTTCCCCTGCCCTAGCTGACCCCACAGCTAAGCCCACCTTTTGGCATTCAGGGTGCACCTCCTGCCCCAGGGAACTCCCAGATGAGCTGGAGGGAACAGTCTGCACTGGGGCTCTGGGTGGAAGGGAAGAGGATGGGGGCTAACCAGGTCCTGGGCACATAGGGCCTCATGTGGGAAGGAAAATGCTCCCTCAGAGGGTCAGATGCTCTCAACCAGTTCCCACCCCCTGCTGCTGTCACAGAGAACTTCCTTGGCAGAGAGGGGAGAGAGCAAGCTAGATCTTGCTCCAGGTGTCTTGGCTGACCTGAAAACCCCAGGGCGCCCTGAGGGAAAGAAAGCCAGGGAAGGGATGCATGGGAAGCTGGGTGATTATTGCCCTCTATTCCAGGGTTGGGGGTGGGGACCACCTGTCCAGGGAGCATAGCCTAGCTGAGGGGCAGGAATGGGCCCCTGCCTGTCCCAGGGTCAGCCCAGGGTCAGATGGGGCCAACTATAGTCCCCACGGCCAGGACATGGCTGCTGAGAGGCCCGGTGACCACAGCTGTGTTCTCTGGGCTCTGGTTGAAGCACTTTGCATGCATTAATCCTAAAGCCGATCTTTACAGCCTCCCTGAAAGGAAGGTGCATGAGGTCCCTGTTTTACAGATGAAGAAACTAAGGCTCACAGATTGGAGAAATGTGCCCATAGCTAGGTGGCCAGGAAACAGTACAGTCAGGATTCACATCCTTCTGATTCCAAAGGCTTTGCCCTTGACAACTGCTTAGAGCTTTTCTGCTGGCTGTGCCTAGCACCAGGCTGGCACCTCAGATGTTCAGGTATTCACTGGGATGAGGGAGGGAGTGGACAGGTAAGGGGATATGTGAGAGGATATGGGGATGAGTGGGAGGGCAAGTGAGTGTATAAGCGCGCATGGGTGAGTGAGTGGTTGAGCAGTCAGTGGACATGCAGACTAGTAAATGAATGTTGCGGTGGTTAAAGGGTTGACCTAGAGAGAGGAGCAATCGCTGCTCTGTCAAATGGCCTCTGGGAGTGAAGAGGGAATGGGGCTTTTGAGAAATTGGGTGGCCCACTGGGATCTGGCTTACCATGAATAATAGCCCCCAGGTGGTCTCCCCCCCTGGAAAGAACCCTACCCAGAAAGGGACTCTGGAGGCCACAGGGCTTCTGCTTGCCAGGCACACACACATTCCATGACCAAGTAATGGGCTGGCCAGGTCAATCATCTACAGGGCTTTGGGAGCTCCATTGCTTAAGAGGAACCTGGGCCACGTATCGATCTGCCCACCCCTGCTGGGAGGAAAAGAAGAAAAAGAGATCCATTGGTTCTGCCCAAGGTGGAGGTGGGGGTGGGTGGCCAAGAGGCCCCAACTGCTGTCCTGGAAAGGCAAGTAGGCCTGGCCAGGGCAGAACTCCTTTGCACTGGCTGTTGGGCCCTGGGGGTCACTGCCCGGGCCCTGTTTGCCCAAGGGGGTGGGTGCAAGGTGGTGCGGATGTGACTCAGCAAGGGGTCACTGCCATGGACAGGGAAGGCCAATGGGGTAAGGGGCAGGCTGGACTGGACCCAGGAGTCAGGATAACTTGGCAAAAAGGGGCTGTGGATCTTGGGGCTGCAGGCAGGGAAACATAGGGATCTATAGCCCACCAACACCTTCCATGAGGCACAAGGGGAAAGTAACTGGACCAAGTCAAGGGCAACTCCATGAGTTAAAGGGCACACAGGGGAACTCTCCCATCCAGCCCTCAGCCAGCTCTCCAAGGAAGACTGGAGTAAGCCAGGGGCAGGTGCTGGCCAGCGTGCTTCTGGAGAACAAGTCCCAGATGCTGCTCAACTTGGGGTCAGAGGAAGCCAAGAGGGGACCCCAGAGCCATGCCTGGTCAGGCACAGCCCCTCCCCAGCAGTGAGTTTGTACCCACTGCCCACTTCGGGAGTGGGGGCTTGTCATGACATACAGTGAGCTAACAGAGGGTATGAAGGGCCTCCTGGAGGGGGTGGGGTGCACAGGAAACTGCTCAACACCTTGGTGCCCTCCCCTGTGCACTCAGGTCTTGCATGAGCTGCCTGTCCTGGAGGAATCCTTGAAGGGGACAGACAGCACCATCCTCCCTCACCTTTCTGCACAGAGTCCCAGGAACCTGAGCAGGGCAAATGTTTTCACCACCCTGTTCTGAGAACAAATTGAGCAGGCCTATTAGCCCCATATTCCCACATGTGGTCCTGGAGACTACGCTCCATCCTGGAAAATGCCATAGAGGTCACTTTGGGCATGCGGCACAGCGGCTGTCCGAGGGGGTGTGTTTAGGGCTGGACACCTTCCGGTCCAGCACAGGCCATGAGGAGCAGGCGAGTGCCCTCTAGTGGCCTCTCCCGGCACGGGTTGCATAGAGCCCCACTTCCCAAAGACAGCTCGCCTAGGAGCACAGGGACAATCCCAGTCTCCTTCCTACAGGGTCTGGAAGCGTTGTGCAACTAACCCTCAATTTTTTCAAAAGAAAAAAGGAAGTGATAGATCTACATCAGAAGGTCATTGCAAGATGGAAGAACAACATATACAGCCCTTTAGCATGGCTTTCTTCAAATATTAGTGATGACAACACCAACAAGAGTAAAAGTTATCTTAATCCTCACAATGACCCATGAGGTAGGTGTTACTATTTCTAGTTCACAAATGAAAAAGGGGTGGCCAGGCACGGTGGCTCACGCCTGTAATCCCAGCACTTTGGGAGGCCGAGGCGGGTGCATCACTTGAGGCCAGGAGTTTGAGATCAGCCTGGTCAACATGGTGAAACCCCGTCTCTGCTAAAAACACAAAAATTAGCCAGGCATGCTGGCAGGCGCCTGTAATCTCAGCTACTTGGGAGGCTGAGGCATGAGAATAGCTTGAACCCACGAGCCAGAGGTTGCAGTGAGCCGAGATTGCACCGCTGCACTCCAGCCTGGGCAACAAAGCAAGACTCTGCCTCAAATAAAAACAAAATAAAACAAACAAAAAATACAAATGAAAAAGATACAGAACTTGGGTTTTTCAACTCAGCTGTGATGGCAAACTTGTGCTGGTGTTTAGGCACTCGACTTTAACTGCTCAGATTTTAACAAGAGGCTATTTCCAACCAAAAGCGTAGCTTTTTCTCTCCTGTCTCCTGCTCCCAAGAGAGACTGCACTGTTGAGGAGAAAGCAGGGAAATGGCTCTTCCTCCTCTCTGTGGTAAAAAGGATCAATGATAAACTTTTCCTTATCTTGTTATACTTTACAAAGGCCTTTCACCTGTGTTATCTTATTTGCACGTCACACCAGCCCTGTGAGGGAGGAAGTATTAGCCCCATCCAATATGTAACTCCAAAGGTAGCTGTCCACTTAACTTCCAGCCCTGCAGCTACACAAGCCCCATGGGACCAAACCCAAATGAAGTCTCAATAAATTTAAAAAGATAACTGTCATATAAAGTATCTCCTTGGACCACAACAGGATGAAGTTAAAAAATCAATAACAGAAATATAACTGAAGGCCGGTCGTGGTGGCTCACGCCTGTAATCCCAGCAATTTGGGAGGCCTCGGAGGTGGGCAGATCACTTGAGCCCAGAATTCGAGAACAGCCTGGGCAACATGCTGAAACCCCATCTCTACAAAATAATAATAATAATAATAATAATAATAATAAATAAAAAATAGCCAGGCATGGTGGCGCACACCTGTAGTCCCAGCTACTCTTAGAGGCTGAGGTGGGAAGATCATCTGAGCCTGGGAAGGTTGGGGCTGCAGTGAGCTGTGATCACACCACTGCACTCCAGTCTGGGCGACAGAGTGAGACCCTGTCTACAAAAAAAGAAAAGAAAAGGAAATACAACTGGAAAATTCACAAATTTGTGAAAAAACAATGCACTCTTAACCAATGGATCAAAGAAGACATCACAAAGGAAACCAGAAAATACCTAGAAATAAAAGAAAATGAAAACACAACAAAGCAAAATGTATGAGATACAACAAAAGCAGCGCTAAGGAGAAAATTTATAGCTATAAGTAACACAACATAGCAAAATGTATGACATACAATAAAAGCAGTGCTAAGGTGGAAATTTATAGCTGTAAGTGTTTACATTAAAAAACAAGAAAGATTTCAAATCAACAACCTAACTTTACAACTTGAGGAAGTATAAAGAGAAAACCAAACAACCCAATATTTAAATAAATTTAAAAAGATAACTGTCATATAAAGTATCTCCTCGGACCACAACAGGATGAAGTTAAAAATCAATAACAGAAATATAACTGGAGGCCAGTCGTGGTAGTCAAAATAAATATTAGCAACAAATGAAACTGAGAATAGAAACACAATAGAAAAGGCTGGGCACAGTTATTCATGCCTGTAATCCCAGCACTCTGGGAGGCCAAGGCAGGCAGATCACTTGAGCTCAGGAGTTCAAGACCAGCATGGGCAACATGGCAAAACCCCACCTCTACCAAAAATACAAAAAATTAGCTGGGCATGGCGGTGTGTGCCTGTAGTCCCAGCTACTCAGGAGGCTGAAATGGGCGGATCGCTTGAGCCTGGGAAGCAGAAGTTGCAGGGAGCCAAGATCATGCCACTGCACCCCAGCCTGGGCAACAGAGCAAGACCCCATTTCAGAAAAAGAAAAAGAAAAACAATAGAGATAAACCAGCGAAACAAAAAGTTTGTTTTTTGAAATGATCAACAAAATTGAAAAACCTTTAGCTAGATGGACTAATAAAAGAGAGAGAGAAGCCTCAAATTACTGAAATCAGAAATGAAAGTGGGGACATTTGGCCGGGCGCGGTGGCTCACTCCTGTAATCCCAGCACTTTGGGAGGCCAAGGCGGGTGTTATCACCTGATGTCAGGAGTTCGAGACCAGCCTGGCCAATATGGTGAAACCCTGTCTCTACTAAAAAAGTACAAAAATTAGCCAGGCGTGGTGGCACATGCCTGTAATGCCCAGCTACTCAGGAGGCTGAGGCAGGAGAATCTCTTGAACCTGGTAGGCGGAGGTTGCAGTGAGCCAAGATCGCGCCATTGCACTCCAGCCTGAGTGACAAGAGTGAGACTCCGTCTCACAAAAAGAAAAAAAAAAAAAGAAAGAAAGTGGGGACGTTTATTTCCAATTCTATGGAAATAAAAAGGATTCTGAGAGTACTATGAACAATTGTACACCAACAAATTGGATAGCCTAGGTGAAATAGACATATTCATAAAACCTACCAAGACTAAATCAAGAAGAAATTGAAAATCTGAATAGATCTATAACTAGTAAAGAGATTGACTCAGTAATCAAAACCTTCCAATAAAGAAAAGCTCTAGACTTGATGGATTCACTGGTGAATCCTATCAAATATCTAAAGAACTAACACCTATTTTTTTCAAACGTTTTTAAAAATTAAAAAGGAGGGGTTGGGCAAAGTGGCTCATACCTGTAATCTCAGCACTTTGGGAAACCAAGACAGGCAGATTGCTTGAGAGTTTGAGACCAGCCTGGGAAACACAGTGAGACCTTGTCCCTACAAGAAATACAAAAATTAGTCAAGCATCATGGTGCACACCTGTGGTCCCAGCTACTCTGGAGGCTGAGGCGAGAGAATCATTTGAGCCCAGGAAGTTGAGGCTGCAGTTAGCCATGATCATGCTGTGCACTCCAGCCTAGGCAACAGAGCGAGACCCTATCTAAAAAAAAAAAAAAAAAAAAAAAGGAGAAAACACTTCCTAATTCATTCTATGAGGCCAGTATTACCCTGAAAGCAATGCCAGACAGACATGCCAAGAAAACAATAGACCAATATCCCTTAAGAACATTGATGCAAGAACCTCAACAAAATACTGGCAAGCCAAATTCAGCAGCATATTAAAAGGATTACATACATGACCAAGTGAAATTTATTCCCAGAATTCAAGGATGGATCAACATACAAAAAATGATCAATATAATGTACCACATTAACAGACAAAAGGGAAAAATGATAATCTCAACTGATGCAAAAAAAGCATTTGTCAAAATTCAATACCGTTTCATGATAAAAACACTCAACAAATTAGGAATAGAATTCTAAATGTTCAACAACAGATGAATGGATAAAGAAAATGTGGTATATATACACAATGGAATACTTTTTAGCTATTTAAAAAAGAATGAAATTCTGTCATTCTTGGCAACATGGGTGGAACTGGAGGACATTATATTAAGTGAAATAAGCCAGGAATGGAACACTGCATGTCTCATTCATATGTGGAAGTGAAAAATAAAAGTTGACCTCATAGAAAAAGTAGAACAGAGGATACTGGAGGCTGAGAAGGGTAAGGGGAAGAGAGAGTTAGAGAGAAATTTGTTAGAAGATATAATATTATAGCTAGATAGGAGGAATAAGTTCTGTGTTCTGTACCACTGTAGGATGACTATAGTTAAAAATAAAATATATAGTTTCAAATAGCTAGAAGGAGGATACTGACTGTTCCCAATATAAGAAATGATCAGTGTTTGAGATGAGGGATATGCTAGTTACCTTGATCTGATCACTACATATTATATGTATAATCAAATCAGTAGGTAACCCATGAGTATGCACAATTATTATCTGTTGATTTTTAAAAAATAAAAGTTTTTTTAAAAAATAAAAGGAAATTACTTCAACATTAAAAAGCTGTATACAAAAAACTCACTGCAAATATACTCAATGGTGAAAAGTTGAAAGCTTTCCCTCTATGATCAGGAACAAGGAAAGGATGCCTGCTTTCACCACTTCTATTCCACATAGTACTGGAAGTTCTCACTACAGCAAGTCAATCTACAGATTCAATGCAAGCCCTATCAAATCCCAATGACTTTTTTTTTTGCAGAAAAGAAAAACTCATCCTAAAATTTATATTGAATTTCATGGTTCCCTAAGTAGCCAAAATGATCTTGAAAAAGAAGAACAAAGCTGGCCGGGCACGGTGGCTCACACCTGTAATCCCAGCACTTTGGGAGGCCGAGGTGGGTGGATCACGAGGTCAGGAGATCGAGACCATCCTGGCTAACACGGTGAAACCCCGTCTCTACTAAAAATACAAAAAATTAGCCGGGCCTGGTGGCGGGCGCCTGTAGTCCCAGCTACTTGGGAGGCTGAGGCAGAAGAATGGCGTGAACCCGGGAGGCGGAGCTTGCAGTGAGCCAAGATCGCGCCCCTGTGCTCCAGCCTGGGCGACAGAGAGACTCTGTCTCAAAAAAAAAGAAAAAGAAAAAGAACGAAGCTAAAGGACTCACTTTTCCTGATTTCAAAACAAAGCTACAGTATTCAAAACAATGTGGAACTGGCATAAAGACAGACATATAAACCAATGAAGTAGAAGACAGAGCCCAGAAACAAACCCTCACATATATGGTCAAATGATTTTTTTCCTTTACACATTTTATTTTATTTTAAGGTATGTTTATTTTTTATTGATACATAATAGATGTACATATTTTCAGGGTACATGTAATAATTTAATACATTCATATCATGTGTAAATATCAAATCAGGATAATTGAGATATCTGTCCCTTGAATATCTGTCTTTTCTTTATACTGGAAACATTCAAGTTATTCCCTTCTAGCTATTTTGAAATACATAATAGGTTATTGCAAACTATTGTCACCCTACAGATCTATAGAACAATAGATCTTACTTTTTCTGACTGTATATTTGTACCCATTAATCAACCTCTCTTCATCCCCTCACTCCCCTCTCCTTCCCAGCCTCTGAAAACCACAAATTTACTCTCTGTCTTCAAGAGATCCAAGTTTTTAGCTCCCACATATGAGTGAGAACATGCAATATTTGTCTTTCTGCACTTGGCTTATTTCACTTAACATGGTGACATCCACTTGCATCCATGTTGCTACAAATGACATAATTTTATTTTATTATGGTTGAATAATACTTCATTGGGTATATATACCACATCTTCTCTATCTATTCATCCATTGATGGACACTTAGGTTGATTCCATTTTTTGGCTATTGTGAATAGTGCTGTGATAAATACAGGAGTGCAGATATCTCTTTGATATATTGATTTCTTTTCTTTTGGATATATACCCAGTAGTGGATTGCTGGATCAAATGGTGGTTCTCTTTTTAGTTTTTTGTGCTAAAAATAGCTCAAAAAGTGCTATTGATAGTGGTTGTACTAATTTACATTCCCACCAACAGTCTATGAGGGTTCCCCTTTCTCCATATCCTCAGCAGCATCCCTTTTTGATAAAAGCCATTTTAAGTGGAGTGAGATGATCTCACTGTTGTTTTGATTTGTATTTCTTTTTTCTTTTTCTTTTTCTTTTTCTTTTCTTTTTTTTTTTTTTTTTGAGACAGAGTCTTGCTCTGTCACCCAGGCTGGAGTGCAGTGGCACGATCTCGGCTCACCGCAACCTCCGCCTCCCGGGTTCATGCCATTCTCCTGCCTCAGCCTCCCGAGTAGCTGGTACTACAGGCGCCCGCCACCACGCCCAACTAATTTTTTGTGTTTTTAGTAGAGACGGGGTTTCACTGTGTTAGCCAGGATGGTCTCGATCTCCTGACCTCGTTGATCCGCTCACCTTGGCCTCCCAAAGTGCTGGGATTACAGGCGTGAGCCACCTCGCCCAGGCTTGATTTGTATTTCTTTGATGATTAGTGATGTGGAGCATTTTTTCATACACCATTTGTGTGTCTTCTTTTGAGAAATGTCTGTTCAGATGTTTTGCCCATTTTTAAATCAGATTTTTTTTTTGCTATTAAGTTGTTTGAACTCCTTATATATTCAGTTATTAATCCCTTGTTGGATGAGTAGTTTGCAAATATTTTCTCTCATTCTGGGGGTTACCTCTTTACTTTGTTGATTGTTTCTTTTGCTGTGCAGAAGCTTTTTAGCTAGCTGTAATCCTCTTTGTCTATTTTTGCTTTTATTGCCCGTGCTTTTGAGTCTTACACAAAAAATCTTTGTCCTGGAGTGTTTCCCAATGTTTTCTTCTAGTAGTTTCATAGTTTCAGGTCATAGACTTAAGTAATTAATCCATTTTTATATATGGTAAGAAATAGGGGTCTAGTTTTATTATTTTGCATATGGTTATCCAGTTTCCCCAGCACCATTTATTGAAAAGACTCTTCTTTCTCCAGTGTATATTCATGGCATCTTCATTGAAAATTAGTTGGCTATAAATGAATGGATTTTATATCTGAGTTCTCTGTTGTGTTCCCATTGATCTGTGTATCTGTTTTATGGCAGTACCATGCTGATTTGGTTATTACAACCTTGTAGTATATTTTGAAATCACATAATGGGATGTGATGCCACCAGCTTTGTGCTTTTTGCTCAGTATTGCTTTGGCTATTTGGGGTCTTTTGTGGTTCCATATAAATTTTAGGGTTTTTTTTTTTCCTATTACTGTGAATAATATCATTAGTATTTTGAAAGGGCTTGTGTTCAAGCTATAAATTGCTTTGGGTAATATTGCCATTTTAACAATGTTAATTCTTCCAATCCATGAGCAGGGACTATCTTTTCCTTTTTCGTATGTCGTCTTCAATTTCCTTTGTCAAAATTTTATGGTTTTCCTTGTATAGATCTTTCACGTCTTTGGTTAAATTGATTCCTAGGGGCCAGGCACGGTGGCTCATGCTTTTAATCCCAGCACTTTGGGAGGCTGAGGTGTGTGGATCACGAGGTCAGGAGTTTGAGACCAGCCTGGCCAATATGGTGAAACTGCATCTCTACTAAAAATACAAACAACAACAAAAAATTAGCCGGGCATGGTGGCATGTGCCTGTAGTCCCAGCTACTCAGGAGGCTGAGGCAGAAGAATCGCTTGAACCTGGGAGGCTTGCAGTGAGCCAAGATTGAGCCACTGCACTCCAGCCTGGGTGACAGAGCAAGACTCTGTCTCAAAAGAAAAAAAAAAAAATTGATTCCTCGGTATTTTATATTCTTTGTAGCTATTATAAATGGCATTGCTTTCTTGATTTCTTTTGCAGATTGTTTGCTGTTGATGTATGTAAATGCTGATTTTTGTACATTGATTTTGCAACTTTACTGAATTCGTTTATCAGTTCTAACAGTTTTTTGGTGGAATCTATAGATTTTTCTAAGTATAAAATTATGTCATCTGTGAACAAAGCTAATGTGATTTCTTTCATTCCAATTGGATGCCCTTTATTTCTTTCTCTTTCCTACTTGCTCCGGCCAGTACTTCCAATATTATGTTGATTAAAAGGTTGAGAGTGGGCATTCTCGTCATGTTTCACATCTTAAAGAAAAGGCTTTCCATTTTTCCCTGTTCAGTATGATGTTAGCTGACAGTTTGTCAGATATGGCCTGTATTATTTTGAGATATGCTCCTTCTCTACCCAATTTGTTGAGAGTTTTCATCATAAAGGGATGTTGAATTTTATTGAATACTTTTTCAGCCTTGATTGAAATGGTCTTATGGTTCTGTTAATGTGATGTATCACATTTATTGATTTGCAAATGTTGAACCATCCTTATGTCTCTAGGATGAATCCCACTTGGTCATGGCAAATGGTTTTTTTTTGAGACAGAGCCTCACTCTGTCCCCAGGCTGGAGTGCAGTGGCACAATCTCGGCTCACTGCAACCTCTGCGTCCCAGATTCAAGCGATTCTCCTGCCTCAGCCTCCCGAGTAGCTGGGACTACAGGCATGTGCCACTATGCCTAGTTAATTTTTGTATTTGTAGTAGAGATGGGGTTTCACCATGTTGGCCAGGATGGTCTCGATCTCCTGACCTCATGACCCGCCTCCCTCAGCCTCCCAAAATGCTGGGATTACAGGCGTGAGCCACTGTGCCCAGCCGCCAAATGGTCTTTTTAATGTGTTATTGAATTCAGTTTGCTAGTATTTTGTTGAGGGGTTTTGCATCTATTTTTATCAGTGATATTAGCCTGTTGTTTCTTTTCTTGTCATGTCCTTGTCTAGTTTTGGTATCAGGGTAATGACGACCTTGTAGAACAAGTTTGGAAGTATTCCCTATTCTTCAGTTTTATTGAAGAGTTTGCATGGAATTGGTATTAATTCTTGTTTAAATGTTTGGTAGAATTCAGCAGTGAAGGTATCATGTCCTGGGCTTTTCTTGATGGGAGACTCTTTGTTACAGCTTCAATTTCATTAGTCATTATTGGCTTGTTCAGGTTTTCTATTTTCTTCATAGTTCAGTCTTGATATTCATATGAACAATATTCATAGTTCAGTCTTGATAAGTGTATATGTTCAGGAATTTATCCATTTCTTCTAGGTTTTCCAGTTTGTTGGCATGTAGTTGTTTATAATAGTCTCTAATGATTCTTTGAACTTCTGTAGTCTCACTTATGTCTCCTTTTCAGTTTCTGATCTTGTTTACTTGGGTCTTTTCTCTTTTTTTCTTAGATAGTCTAGCTAAATGTTTGTTGATTTTATTTTTTCAAAAGAACCAACTTTTTGTTTCATTGATCTTCTGTATTTTTTAAATCTCAATTTCATTTATTTCTGCTCTAATCTTTAGTATTTATTTCCTTCTACTAATTTAGGGTTTGGTTTGTTATTGCTTTTCTAGTTTCCTGAGGTGCATCATTAGGTTATTTATTTGAAATCTTTCTGCTTTTTTGATATAGTTGTTTGTTGTATAAACTTCCTTCTTAGTATTGCCTTTGATGTATCCCCCAGATTATGGTATATTTCCTTTTAATTTGTTTTGAGAGACTTTTTACATTTTTTTTCTTAATTTATTCATTGTCCCATTCATCATTCAGGAGCATGTTGCTTAGTTTCCATGTATTTGTGTAGTTTCTGAGGTTCTTCTTGTTATTGATTTCTTGTTTTATTCCATTGTAGCCAGAAAGGATACTTGATATTATTTCTTCTTTTCTGAATTTGTTGAGACTTGTTTTGTGGCCTAAGACATGGTCTACTCTGGAGAATGTTCCATATGCTGATGAAAAGAATGTGTATTCTGCAGCAGTTGGGTGAAATATTCTGTAAATATTAGTTAGGTCTACTTTGTCTAGTGTGTAGTTTAATGTTTCTTTATTGATATTCTGCATGGATGTTCTGTGCATTACTGAGAGTAGAGTGTTGACATTCCCTACTATTATTATATTGTAGTCTATCTCTCCCTTTAGATAGATTTATGTTTGATTTATATATTTGGGAGCTCTAACGTTAGGTGCATAGATATTTATAATTGTTGTATCATCTTGCTGAATCGACCCCTTTATCATCATATAGTGACCTTCTTTGTCTCTTTTTACAGTCTTTGACTTGTAGTCTATTTTATCTGGTATAAACATATCTACTTCCCTTTTTTGGTTTCCAGTTGCGTACTATATCTTATTTTAACTGGACACACTTCCAGTCTATGTGTATCTTTTTTTTTTTTTTTTTTTTTTAGACAGAGTCTTGCTCTGTCAGCCAGGCTGCAGTGACATAATCTCGGCTCACTGAAATCTATGCCTCCCAGGCTCAAGCAATTCCCCTGCCTCAGCCTCCCGAGTAGCTGGGATTACGGGCATGTGCCACCATGCCTGGCTAATTTTTGTGTTTTTAGTAGAGACGGGGTCACCATGTTGGCCAGGCTGGTCTCGAACTCCTGACCTCAGGTAATCCGCCCACCTTGGCCTCCCAAAGTGCTGGGATTACAGGTATGAGCCACCGTGCCCAGCCCAGTCTATGTGTATCTCAAAAAAAAAAAAAAAAAAAAAAAGGTATCATTCTGTCTTCTAAGCTGGAGTGCAGTGATACGATCATAGCTCACAGCAGCCTCAATCTCCTGGGCTCTATGTGTGTCTTTATAGGTGAAATGGGTTTTTTTGTAGGCAACATATAGTTGGGTCTTGTTTCTTTATCCATTTAGCCATTCTATGCCTTTTAATTGGAGAATTTAATTCATTTACATTCAGTGTTATTTTGATAAGTAAGAACTTACCACTACCATTTTGTTGCTTGTTTTTTGGTTGTTTTGTAACTCCTCTCTTCCTTTCTCTCTTTCTTACTGTCTTCCTTTGTGGTTAAGTGGTTTTCTCTGGCAGTATGTTTTAATTCATTGCTTTTTATTTGCAGTGACTCTATTATAGGTTTTTGCATTGTGGTTACTATGAGGCTTACAGAAAACATCTTATAAATATAACAAGTCATTTTACAGAGGTGGCAACTTATCACAAAGTTCTAGATCACAAAGAAAATAATAGAAACAAAAATGAAAAAAATTCTACACTTGAACTCCATCCTCCTCACATTTTGTCTTTTTATTGTCTCAATTTACATATTTTTATACTGCCTATCTCTTAGTAGGCTGCTGTAGCTATATTGTTTTTGATAGATTTGCTCTTTAGGTTTCATACTAGAGTTATGCATGAATTGCACACCACATTTACAATATTAGAATATTCTGGGTTTGTCCATGTATTTAATTTTACCAGTGGATTTTATACCTTCAAGTGTTTTCTTTTTGCATGTTCGTGGGGTGGTTTTTTTCCTTCTGGTTGAAGAACTCTCTTTAGCATTCCTTGTAAGATGAGTCTGGTGGTGGTGAATTCTCTGCTTTTGTTTGTCTGAAAAAGATTACATCTCTCCTTAATATTTGAAGGACAACTTTGCTGGATACAGTATTCCTGGATGGCAGGGTTATTTTGTTTTGTTTTGTTTTTTCCAGCACTTTGAAAATGTCATCCTACTCCCTCCTGGCCAATGTGGTTTCCATTGAGCAGTCTATTGCCAGACAAACTGATGCTCCTTTATATGTTATTTGCTTTTCTCTTGCTGCTTTTAGGATCCTTTATTTATCTTAGACTTTTGAGAGAAAATTATTTTATGCCTTGGGGTGCTCTTATTTCGGTAGAATCTGTTTGATGTTCTCTGACCTTCCTGTACTGGATATTCATATATTTCTCAAGTTTTGGAAAGTTTTCTGGTATTATTTCTTTGAATAGAGTTTCTGCCCCTTGCTGTTGTACATATCCCTCTTGAATACCAATAATTCTTAGATTTGGTGTTTAGAGGTAATTTTCTATATCTTGTAGATAATTTTCATTCCTTTTCATTCTTCTTTTTTCTCCTATGGCCATATTTTTTATTAGCCTGTCTTCAAGCTCACTAATTATTTCCTCCACTTAACCCATTCTGCTGTTAAGAGCCTCTAGTGCATTTTTCTGTTTGGCAAATGTATTTCTCAGTTCCAAGATTTCTGTTTGTTTGATTTTTTAATTATTATTTCAATCTCTTTGTTAAATTTTTCTTGGCTGGGCACAGTGGCTCATGCCTGTAATCCCAGCACTTTGGGAGGCTGAGGTGGGTGGATCGCCTGAGGTCAGGAATTCAAGACCAGCCTGACCAATGTGGAGAAACCCTGTCTCTACTAAAAATACAAAAATTAGTCTGACATGGTGGCAGGCACCTGTAATCCCAGCTACTCGGAGGCTGAGGCAGGAAAATCACTTGAACCTGGGAGGCGGAGGTTGCAGTGAGCCGAGATCACGCCACTGCACTCTGGCCTGGGCAAAAGACTGAAACTCCATCTCAAAAACAAAACAAAACAAAAGTCTCAAACATTTCTGAATTGATTTTATGTGTTATCTTGGCGATCACTGTTTCCTTAAAACTGCTGTTTTGAACAATTGGTCAAGGGGTTCATGTATCACTGTCTCATTAGAGTCAGTCACTGGTTCCTTGCTTTGTCCATTACAGAAGGTCATGGTTCCCTGTTTGCTGTTGTTTCTTCTGGATGTCTCCTCTGTTTTTGCACTGAAGGATCAGTTATTTACTCTAGTCTTCTAGGTTGGAAGAGTTTGGAGGGCTCAGAAGAAGACAGGATGATGAGGGAAAATTTGGAGCTTTTTAGATACTGAGTAAATGGTTGTGACCAAAATACTGAGAGATATAGCCAGTGAAGGCCAGGCTGATGAGGTTCAGATGGAAATGAGTAAGTTACTGAGAACTGGATTAAAGTCACTTGTGTTATGCCCTAGCATAGAACTTGGCTGCATTGTGTTCATGTCCTTATAATCTATGGAAGTTTGAACATAAGAGTAATGACCTAGGGTATCAGATGCAAGAAATTTTTAAGCAGCAAAGCATTCAAGAAGTGGCATGTAGCCAGGCATGGTAGCTCACATCTGTAATCCCAGCACTTTGGGAGGCCAAGGCTGAAGTATTGCTTGAGCCCAGGAGTTCAGCCTGCGTAAACAGTGAGACACCGTCTCTACAAAAGATTTAAAAATCAGCCAGACATGGCAGTGCATGCCTGTGGTCCCAGCCACTCAGGAGACTGAGTGAGACAGGAGGATCAATTGAGCCTGGGAGGTCAAGGCTGCAGTGAGCCATGATCATTCCACTGCACTCCAGCCTGGGTGACAGAGCGAGACTCTGTCTCAAAAAAAAAAATTTTTTTAGGAAAAAATAAATATAGGAGTGATGTGGCTGCTTCCAACAGTCTAAATCAGATGCAGGAGAAAAGGAATGACTTAAAGTTGGAACTTATATTTAAAAGGGAAGCAGAGCATGGAAGTTTGGAAAATTTGCAAACTGGCCCTGTGGCAGATAAATAAAAATCATTTTCAGGCAAGAAATATAAGCAGGCTGCAGAGCAAGCACTTGCTAAACAGATTGGCACAACTAAAAGGGAGCCAAGTGCTAATATCTAAGACAATGGGGAAAAGGCCTTGAAGGTATTTCAGAAATCTTGGAGAAACCCTCTCCTATTATAGACCCAGAAGCCTAGGAGGAAAGAATGGTTTTAGGGGGCAGGCCCAGAATGCAGCTGCTCTGCTCTGCCTCAGGAGGCTGCTCCCCGCATTCCAGTTACTTCAGCTCCAGCCTCAACTCACAGGAGCCCAGGTACAGCTTGGGCTACCACTCCAGAGGGTGCAAGCTATAAGCTTTGGTGCTTCCACATGGTGTTAAGCCTGCAGGCTCACAGAGTGCAAAAGTAAAGGAGGCTGCCAGCTTCCTGCTGGATTTCAAAGGATGTTCCAGAAAGCCTGAGTGTCCAGGCAAAAGCCTCCTGCAGGGGCAGAGCCCTTATGGAGAACCTCTACTAGGGCAGCACCAAGGGGAAAGGTGGGGTTGGAGCCCCACACAGAGTCCCTACCAGGGCACTGGCTAGTGGAGCTGTGAGAAGGGGTCTGCTGCCCTCCAGATCGCAGGATGGTAGAGACATGGGCAGCTTGCATCCTGAGTCTGGAAAAGCCACAGGCACTCAACCTCAATCTGTGAGAGCAGACACGGAGGCTGCACTCTGTAAAGCCACAGAGGCAAGGATGCTTGAGGCCTTGGGAGCCCTCCCCCTGCACCAGTGTGTTCTGGATACAAGACATGGAGTCAAGGATCATTTGGGAACTTTGAGGTTTAATGTCTTCCTTGTTGAGTTTCAGACATGCATGGAGCCTTCAGCCTCTTTCTTTTGGCCAATTTCTCCCTTTTGGAATGACAATGTTTACCCAATGCCTGTACTGCCATTTTATCTTGGGGTAAATAACTTGATTTGATTGTACAGCCAAAGAGATGGAAGGAGATGAGACTCAGATGAGACAGGACTTTGGACTTGATGCTGGAATGAGTTAAGACTTTTGAAGACTAGTGGCAGGGAATGATTGTATTTTGCAATGTGAGAAGAACGTGATATTTAGGGGGCCGGGATGGAATAATATGGTTTGGATGTCTGTTTCCTCCAAATGTCATGTCAAAATGTAATCCCCAGTGTTGGAGGTGGGGCCTGGTGGGAGTCCCCACCACTGTGTGGGGGTGGATCCCTCATAAGTGGCTTAGTGCCGTCTCCTTGGTGATAAGTGAGTTCTCCCTCTGAGTTCCTATGAGATCTGGTTGTTTGAAAGTGTGTGACACCTCCACCCTCTCTCTCTTGCTCCACTTTCACCATGGAATATGCCTGCTCCCCCTTTACATTCCACCATGGTTGAAAGCATCCTGAGGCCTCACTAGAAGCTGAGCAGATGCCAGTGCCGTGCTTCCTGTACAGCCTGCAGAACAGTGAGCCAACTCAACCTCTTTCCTTTATAAATTGCCCAGGCTCAGGTATTTCTTTATAGCAATGCAATAATGGATGAACACACTAATTAGGGACATACAAATCAAAACTATAATGAGATACCACTCACATACATTAGGATGGTCACTATTAAAAAAACAAAACAAAACAAAAAAACAGAAAATAACAAGTGTTGCTGAAAATGTGGAGAAATTGGAACCTTTGTTCAACGTTGTTGGGAATGCAAAATGATGCATTTACTGTTTCTCAAAAAATTAAAAATAGAATTACTATATGATCCAGTAATTTCATTTCTGGGTATATACCCAAAAGAATTGAAAGAAGGGTCTCAGATATTTGTACACCATGTTTATAGCATTATTATTTGCAATAGCTAAAATGTGGAGGTAACCCAAATGTCCATCACTGGATGAATGGATAAGCATAATGTGGTATATACATGTAACAGAATATTATTTAGCCTTGGCCAGGCGCAGCAGCTCACGCCTGTAATTCCAGCACTTCGGGAGGCCAAGGCAGGTGGATCATTTGAGGTCAGGAGTTTGAGACCAGCCTGACCAACATGGAGAAACCCCACTTCTACTAAAAATACAAAGTTAGCCAGGCGTGGTGGCTCATGCCTGTAATCCCAGCTACTCGGGAGCTGAGGCAGGAGAATCTCTTGAATCTGGGAGGTAGAGGTTGCAGTGAGCCAAGATTGTGCCATTGCACTCCAGCCTGAGCAACAAGAGCAAAACTCCATCTCAAAAAAAAGAAAAGAAAAAAAACAGAATATTATTTAGCCTTGAAAATTAAAAAAAAAAAACCCTCTGACATGCCACAACATGAATGAGCCTTGAGGACATTTTGCTACCTGAAATAGGCCAGTCACAGAAGGACAAATAATGCGTGAGTCTGTGAAGTACCTAGAGTAGTCAAAACCATGGAAACAGAAAGTAGAATGTTGGTTTCCAGGGCCAGGACATGGAGGTATGGGGAATTATTGGTTAGTGAGTATAGAGTTTCAGTTTTACAAGATAAAAAGTGTTCTAGAGACAGATGGTGGTGATTGGTTGCACAACATTATGAATGCACTTAATACCACTAAACTGTGCACTTAAAAAATGATGAAGATGAGGCGGGCATGGTGGCCTCATCTTAACCTGTGATCCCAACAGTCTGAGAGGCTGAGGCAAGAGGATCAGTTGAGCTGGGAGTTCAAGACCAGCCTGGGCAACATAGGGAGACCCTGCCTCTACAAAAATAAAAATAAAGATAATTAGCCAGGTGTGGTGGTGCATACCTGTGTCCCAGCTGCTCAGCTACTTGGGAGGCTGGGCAGGAGGACTGCTTGAGCCCTAGAGGTCAAGGCTGCAGTGAGCCATGATCGTACCACTGCACTCCAGCCTGGGCAACAGAGTGTGATCCTGTTTCAAAAAAAAAAAAAAAGAAAAAAAAGAAAATGGTTAAGTTGGTACGTTTTATGTTATGTGTATATTACTGCAATTTTTTAAATGGAAAAAATAAGATCATCAGCATCATTAGTCATCAGGGAAATAAAACCACAATGAAATATCCTGTACACCCACAGGAATGGCTAAAATTAAAATACCTGACAAAACTGGAACTTTCACACATTGTTGGTGTTACAGACTGATTGTTTGTGTCCCTCCAAAATTCTTATCTTGAAACCTCCCGTGTGACAGTATTTGGTGATAGGACCATTAAAGTTAAGATTAAGGTTAAATAAAGTAATAAAGGCTGGGCCCTGATTCAATAGGATTAATGTCCTTATAAGAAAAGACACTAAAGAGCACCCTCTCTCTCTCTCTCTTTCTCTCTCTGTCTCCACTCACACACTTAAAAAAAAGGTCATGTAAGCACACGGCAAGATGGCAGGGGCCTTCTTGGCTAGAAGAAAGCCCTCACTCTGGCACCCTGACCTCGGGCTTCCTGCCTCCAGAACTGTGAGAAAATAAATGTCTGTTGTTTAAGCCATTCTGCCTATGGTATTTTGTTATGGCAGCTTGAGCTGATTAATACAGTTGGTAAAAGCATAAAACGGTACAGCCACTCTGGAATAGGGCTAGTGGTTTCTTATAAAACTAAACATAACCTACCCTATGACCTAGCACTCCCACTTCTAGGTATTTATCCAAGAGAAATATAAATGTATGTTCACAAAAAGACATACAGAAATTTTCCTAGCAGCCTAATTACAATAACCAAAAATCAGAAACAGCATAGTGGATAAACAAACTGTGACATACCTATACAACGGAAGAGCACACAGCAATAAAAAGGGACAGATGACTGATACAGTGACACAGATGTGTCTAAAAACATTATGCTGCATAAATGAAGGGTTACACAGCAGTACCTATCATACAGTTCCATGGGTACGGAATTCTAAAACTGGCAAAGTAATTTATATTGCAGAAAATAAGTCAAAACAACTGCTGCCTCTAGGGACTGGAGCAGGGATCGATTAGGAAGAGGTATGAGGGAACTTTCTGGGTGGCTGGTCAGGTTTTATGTCTTGACTGGAGTCCAAGTTTACATTGGTAGATGCACTTGTTAAAACTTAGAGGTACAGTTCATGTATATATTTCATTGTATATAGGTTTTACCTCAAAGGGAAAAATTATAACAAATATTGAATCCTGGGCAGTAACTTGCACGTGGAACTATTTCAGGGACATGTACTGATTGGTCCCCATCCCTCTGTAGCCTTCTCTCTGCTGCTCCCACTGTGGCACCAGCATCGTTCACTCCCATGAGTTATGGCTGATAGCTGTGCTTCTCAAACTCCCCCAAGCAAACAAATCACCTGAACAGCTTGAAAAGTTGCAGATTCTGGGTGAGTAGACCTGGGCTGGGGTCCAAGATTCTGCACTTCTAACAAGCACCCAGGAGCAGCTGCTGCTGGTGAGTCTTTGGACCACACTTTGAGTAGTGAGGACTTAGAATCTCACCCTCCTACCTCTTCACCTTTGTTCCCACGAGTTCTTTCTTTTCCAGCTTGAATTGCTTTTCCCATCCCGCGCATTTGTCTTGGCTGTGCCTATCCATATCCCACCTTTTCTAATCCCTCCTTTTCCAGCAGATGACAACTGATATTAATGATCATGATGAATGACAACAACAACAATCACTTGTGAGACCTTACTAGCTGCCAGGGACTATGCTGCATGCTTCAAAAGGATTATTGTGTTTAATCCTCTTAACAGCCCTATGAGGTCAATACTAATATTGCTCCCAGTTTACAGATGAAGAAACTGAGGTATAGGGAGGTTAAGTATTTGCCCAAGGTCATATAGGCTCAGCCATCTGGATGCTTCCCTTGGCTCCAGTTGCTGACAACCTTATGGTAACAGTCTTTGTGTGTGTGTGTGTGTGTGTGTGTGTGTGTGTGTGTGTGCACTTGTACACTGGCACATTTTCACTTTCCACCAAGATTACACTGTCCCTGAGGGTAGAGACAAAATAATTCTCTTTCTCTCTTCCCTTTGTCTTTATCTCCCTGCCTCTTTCTCTCTATCTCTCTCCCTCTCTTCCCAACTACAGCCTTTGCCAAAGCAAGGCCTCTTCTTCAAAATAGGACACACCCCTCCCAGCCTCATCTGTGACCAGGGCACAGGGTGCCACTCTCCCCTCCCACAGGCTCAGGCTGGGCATCCCCCAGCTCGAAGCTCCCTGCTCTTGCCCTGTGACCCCCAGTAGCCACTCTCTTCCCTTGCCCTGGTTCAGCTGATCCCTATTCCCCGATGGCTCCTTCCAGTCTAGTCTCCCCATCCCAGGGAGTCTGGAGTCTGGGCAGTGGCCTGGACCCCTTGAGAAAGTTGCCCTACTCCCTCCCCAAACACACCTCAACAACCCCCTTAGATCCTGGTCACTGCTATTTCCTGCCCACCCCCCTCCGCCCCCCGTCCTGCAGGCTCTGTGAGGGCAGGGACCAGGCCTGTCTTGTCACAGCTGTGTCACCAGTGCCTGGCATTTAGTCACAGTAGGTGGGTGAAGGAGGGGCTCTCCCAGCCTGGCCTGGGCTGGGCAGAGCATCTTCAGCCCACCCAAGTAATCTTGCACCCATTCGGTCTCTGTTACCCTCCCGCCTAAGCCCAGAAGCCCACAGGCCCGGGACTTGCTGTCCTCAGACCTAGGATACTTCCCACTCCAAGCCCCAAATCCTACCCTGCCGTTCCCAGCCCTTCTCCAGCACCCCTCCCTCTTCACAAAGGCTGCTTGGCGGTTTCTCTCCGCCCTCCCCAAGACTGCTCTTGGGAGGGTATGTTGCTTTCCCAGACAAGCTCAGCGATGCAATTTCTCCTCCTAAGAGGTTAGGCTAATTGCTCTTCCCAGAAGAAAATCCTCAGAGGTTTTCCTTGTGGTGGACTGGAAGGTTTGAAAATTATATGTTCAGGGCAACATCGGGTTACTATATTAAATCCAGTTTCACGGATCGCGGCCACGGGGAGCACAAGCGCCACCTGCTGGCCCACAGCGAGATTCCAAGAGAGGACGAGACCTGAGCACAACCAGCTCAAGACGCACAGTCCCCGGTCACCGTCAATCAAGTGTCCGGTCCTCCATTTCGCTTTGGTTTTTCTCATTGTTGGAGTTTTTTTTTTTATTGATACATCATAGTTATACATATTTTGGGGGTGTCTGTGATTTTTTAAATTTAATTTATTTCTTATTCTGTTTCTTCCCCCCACCCCTCTTCTTTTGGGACAGGATCCCCATCTGTGGCCCAAGCTGGTCTCAAACTCCCGGCCTCAAGCTATTCTCCCACCTCAGCCTCCCAAAGTACTGGGGTCACAGGCGTGATCCCCACGCCCAGCCTCAGGTGATATTTTTATTACATGTGTACAACATGTAAAGAGAAAATCAGACACCCATCACCCCAAACATTTATATCTACTTTGTGTCAGAAACATTATAAGTCTTCTAGCTATTTTGAAATATACAATACATTATTGTTAACTATAATTCCCCTGCAGTAGTATCAACTACTAGATCTTATTCCCTCTGTCTAGCTGTATGTTTGTACCCATTAGCCAACCTCTCTTCATCTTCCCCAGCCCCCTTCCCAGCCTCTGTTAACTATCATTCAACCCTCTAGCTCCATGAGATCCACTTTTGTTTTTAGCTTCCACATGACTGAAAATATGTGGCATTTGTCTTTCTGTGCCTGGCTTATTTCACATAACATGATGACCTCCATTCCACCCATGTTGCTGCAAATGACAGGATTTTATCATTTTTTATAGCTAAATAATATTCCATTGTGTATATACGTCACATTTTCTTTCTTTATTCATCCATTGATGGACACTTATGTTGATCTGTATCTTGGCCATCAGGAATAGTGCTGCAGTAAACAGGAGGGCAAATATCTCTTCAATATACTTATTCCCTTTCTTTTGGATATACGTGTGTGTGTGTGTGTGTGTGTGTGTGTGTGTGTGTGTATCCAGCAGGTTTTTCTCATTTTAAAAACTCCATAGAAATAGTGATGTCTAATGTACTAACTCTTACATATGTAAATTGTGTGGTTTCCAGGGATACAGAGACTTAACAAATAGCAGACATGGCTGGGCGCAGTGGTTTACGCCTGTAATCCCAGAACTTTAGGAAGCCGAGGCAGGTGGATCTACCTGAGATCAGGAGTTCGACACCAGCCTGGCCAACATGGTGAAACCCTGTCTCTACTAAAAATACAAAAATTACCTGGGCGTGGTGGCAGGCACCTGTAATCTCAGCAATTCAGGAGGCTGAGGCAGGAGAATCGCTTGAACCCAGGAGGCGGAGGTTGCAGTGAGCCGAGATCACGCCATTGCACTCCAGCCTGTGTGGCAAGGGCAAAACTCCGTCTAAAAAAAAAAAAAGACATATACTTTATAAACATTAGGAAAAAAATTTGTGTTTGTATACACACACATACATACATACAAATGCACAAAGATACCTCTACCACTTCTTCTCTTCTTATCATTATTATTCTTTTTTTTTTTTCTTTTAAGACAGTGTCAGGCCAGGCGCCGTGGCTCATGCCTGTAATCCCAGCACTTTGGGAGACCAAGGCGGGTGGATCACGAGATCAGGAGATCGAAACCATGGTGAAACCCTGTCTCTACTAAAAATACAAAAAAATTAGCCAGGCGCAGTGGCGGGCGCCTGTAGTCCCAGCTACTCGGGAGGCTGAGGCAGGAGAATGGTGTGAACCCAGGAGGTAGAGCTTGCAGTGAGCCCAGATCGCGCCACTGCACTCCAGCCTGGGTGACAGAGCGAGACTCCATCTCAAAAAAAAAAAAGACAGTGTCTTATTCTGTCACCCAGGCTGGAATGCAGTGGTACAATCTTGGTTCACTGGTGCCTTCACCTCCTTGGCTCAAGGAATTCTCCTGCCTCAGCCTCTTGAGTAGCTGGAACTACAGGTGTGTGCCATGACATCTGGCTAAGTTTTTAAAAAAATTTTTTTAGGGATGGGGGTCTCACTATGTCACCCAGGCTGGTCTTGAACTCTTGACCTCAAGCAGTCCTCCCACCTTAGCCTCCCAAAGTGGTGGTATTACAGGCATGAGCCACCATGCCTGGCCTCTCTGTCACTTCTTACATCAAATTTGGTTATGCAGTTTTTATCCTATTAGATTGTTTTAAAGTCCTAGTTGAACAAATGGTTTTTTTCAAACACTAATGTAGGAATGTTAATTAGAAGTAATTTTAAGTCTTTTAAATTATAAAAGCACATATTCATTAATGCAGCAATTCCTTCACTGGTAACGAACCCTACAGATACATTCATGTTCATGGGTGTAAAGATGTATGTACAGGGATTCCTCTGAAGCCCAGTTAATAGTAGCAAAAAAACTGGGACTCACCAGTAGGGCACTAGTTAGATAAAGGATGGTGCATCCATGTGATGGAAAACCAGCAAACCACTGAAAACGATGACAGAGATCCATACTCACTTATGCGGAACCATCTCCAAGAGGCAGTGTTGAGTGAGAAAGCACCATGGGAGTGTCTGGACTGTGGTGATGGTTGCACAACTGTATAAATTAACCTTGAAAATCACTGAACTGAATTGGGTATGGCAACTCACATCTGTAATCTCAGCACTTTGGGAGGCTGAGGCAGGCAGACTGCTTGAGCCCAGGAGTTCGAGACCAGCCTGGGAAACATAGTGAAACCCCATCTCTACAAAAATTACAAAAGTAGCCAGGCGTGGTGGTGCATGGCTGTAGTCCCAGGTACTAGGGAGGCTGAGGTGGGAGGATTGCTTGAACCCGGGAGGTCGAGGCTGCAGTGAGCTGAGGTCGTGCCACCGCATTTGAGCCTGGGCAACAGAGTTGAGACCTCATCTCACACACAAATCACTGAACTATACTCTTTAAATGAGGGGATTTTATAGTATGTGAATTATACATTAATAAAACGTTTTTAAAAGATCATAAAAAAGTATGTAACTTATTCTCTTCTATAAAACTAAATTAAAAATACACACATAGGTTGGTATATGCATGGTAACATTCTGGTGATTATTTCTTGGGGAGGGGAAAGGTTTATTACATACACTGTACAATATATATTTTTTTTACCGTAGCAGGTACACTTGTTCAATAATTTTTAATAGTTGCATTTATCCTTTCATAGAATATCCATTACAATAGTTTCCACAGCAGTAATTGACCAGGGATTTAAGTAGAATAAGAAATGCCTTTAATATTTTAACAACTTGAAGAAACGAGGAATTTTTTCTTCACCAAAAGGCATAGGTTTTACACACAAGGAACTTATGTCTTTATAAATCTAATTTAAAGAAAACATTTCTTCCATGATGATAAGACCTAGAATAGACACACAAATGGTGGAGTTTTTTACTGCTGATAAAAATAATAACTGTTTGTTATAGAAATTTTAAAAGAGAAAAATATAAAAAGAAGAAAACAACAATCACCTATACCCCACCCGATTACAGCAACTGCAGACATGTTGGTGTATTTTCGGCCAGTTACTATGTGTACACAATTTTCTGTTTTACAATGTTATGAACCCACTACAAATGATTATGTATTTTCTTTTTTTTCCATCAATTCCCATATCATGCAAATTTTCCCATGTTCTTAAAATGTTATTCAAGAACATGATAGTACATCCTATGGTCATTTTACTTACTTATTTATTTATTTATTTATTTATTTATTTATTTATTTATTTTTTGAGACAGAGTCTTACTCTGTCACCCAGGCTAGAGTGCAACAGCGCAATCTTGGCTCACTGCAACCTCCGTCTCCCGGGTTCAAGCTATTCTCCTGCCTCAGCCTCCTGAGTAGCTGGGATTACAGGCACCTGCCACCACACCTGGCTAATTTTTGTATTTTTAGTAAAGACGGAGTTTCGCCACATTGGCCAGGCTAGTCTCGAACTCCTGACCTCAGGTGATCTGCCCACCTCGGCCTCCCAAACTGCTGGGATTACAGGCGTGAGCCACCGCGCCCGGCCTGTAGTCACATTTATTGAATGCACTACCTGCTAAGCACAAAGCACTCTACTAGGCACTTTATATATATTATTTCACTTATTTTTCACAATGAGACAGGTATTATCTCCATTTTACCTATAGGAAGCTGAGGCTAGGACCCTTGCTCATCGACTGTCTCCCAGAGAGTTAGTGCCAAAGCAGGAGCTGAAAATCAGGTCTGTCTGATTCCAAAACCCACACTCTTCCATTAACAAGGAGAAAAGAAGGGCTGTGGTACATTTGCCAAAGAAAACCACTTTTCTAGTTGTCCAAGTGCCAAGGGCCACAGTCCACAGTCAGGGTTTCAGAATAAACTGAGAGTCCTTGAATGGATCAATAGGTTTTGAAATGCAAATATAACTTTTTCAATTTTTTATTTTTTAGAGACAGGGTCTCACTCTGTCACTCAGGCTGGAGTGCAGTGACACAGTTATGGCTCACTGAAGTTTTGACCTCCTAGGTTCAAGGGCTCCTCTCACCTCAGCCTCCCAAGTAGCTGGGACTGCAGGTGCTGCCACCACACCCAGCTAATTTTTATTTTTAGTAGAGACAAGGTCTCACTATGTTGACCAGGCTGGTCTCAAACTCCTGGCCTTAAACAGTCCTCTCACTCAGCCTCCCAAAGTGCCTAGATTGCAGGCATGAGCCACTGCACCTAATCTGAAATGTAAATATAGCTTCCATACAGAAAAAAAAAAAAAAAAAAAAAAAAAAAACACACAACTATCAAACATTTAGCCAGAATATCTCAAAACGACAGCAACAACAAATTTTTGGAAACAGATTTCTGATTCATAGCTATCAGCATTACTTTAAAAGTGTGGCCAAAAGCAAGCACATACATGTGTTATATATTGAAGGAAAACACAGCTGGGCATGGTGGCTCATGCCTATAATCCCAGCACTTTGGGAAGCTGAGGTGGGAGGGCCACTTTATGCCAGGAGTTTGAGACCAGCCTGGGAAACATGGCAAGATCCCCATCTCTACAAACTTTTTTTGTAGTGGTGGCCTGCATCTATAGACCCAGCTACTGGAGAGGCTGAGACAGGAGGCTCTCTTGAGCCCAAGAAGTTAAGGCTACAGTGAGCTCTGATCACCACTGCACTCTAGCCTGGGCAACAGAGTGAGACCCTGTCTCAAAACAAAACACAAACAAAATAAAATAAAATAAAGGAAAACACTAGATAGGACAAAACTGATGGGAAAGCCCAAACACAGGCCATAGCTGGGTGGGCAAAAAGCTCAGAGACCCCTACGTGCCTTAACTAGTGCCTAGGGCACACATGGTCAGGACTGCAGCTCAACCATGGTGGAGGGAGCCTGTTTCACTCTATCCTGAACCTCTACAGGCAGTAGCCAGGGAAAGTGAAATAGGCCTGCAGGCCTCTGGAGAGCTGGGAGACCTAGGAGGCCAACAGCCATGGCCCAGAGCTCCCAGAAGCCCTCGGACACCCGAGCCACTGCAGACCCAGACTTTCCCAGAGCCCCACTGTGATAGTGGAAAGCAGCCAACAGGCCATCACTCTGCTATTTAGGGACAGGGAAGTCTCAGAGATTGGGCTGGAGAAAAGCAGGGGATGGGGTGGTGGGGAACACTGTGGGGGCAGAAATATATATACTGCAAGGCATATATATAATTTGAAATTTTCTAGTAGTAACGTCAAACAAGGAAAAAGAAACAGGTGAAATTATTTTTATTTATTTACTTTTTTGAGACAGGGTCTTGCTCTGTCTGGAGTGCAGGTAGAGTGCTGGAGTGCAGTGGTACCATCTCGGCTCACTACAACCTCCACCTCCCAGGTTCAGGTGATTCTCCTGACTCAGCCTCCTGAGTAGCTGGGATTACAGGCATATACCACCATGCCCAGCTAATTTTTGTATTTTTAGTAGAGATGGATGTTTTGCCATGTTGGCCAGCCTGGTCTCGAACCCCTGACCTCAAGTGATCCACCTGCCTTGGCCTCCCAAAGTGCTGGGATTGCAGACATGAGCCACCACACCCAGCCAGGTGAAATTAAGTTTGAAATATGTTATTTAACCCAATATATAGAATTTTATTTTATTTTTTTCACAAAGTATTTTTTAAATAATTTCCACAAAGTATTTAAATATATACACTAGTGCAGGTCTAGGCTTTCCCAACCTGTCAGCATCCCTGGAACATGCTCAGCACTACATTCTGGTCCCTGCCTCACCTGCACAGCATCATCGTGTCTTTCTTACACCCAGCGACTGCTCATTAAACAGGAGAAGCAGCCCCTAAGATAGGCCTGGGATCTAGTCAGGCACTTATTAAGCAGATAATGCTCTCAAATCACTTAGCCTGTCCTAACTCCGTTTCCTCATCTGCAGCACAGGGAGCCCAAGGGTTGCCCTGCTTCCCTCCCAGGTCCTGGGGTGGAGAAAATTCACTGGGAAAGCTGCCAGCATGTAACAGGCCTCGTGGCAAGGTGAGGAATGGGCACATTTGTCCTCATGCATGGCCTGTTCACTTTCACCTCCCACCTTCTAAGAACAGAGGGCTAGTGGCAGACTCTGCGCATCTATTGTAGCTCAGCTCTGCCCCCAGGAATTGCGGAGAGATCAAAAATGGCTTCCCTGGGCCTGGTGCAGTGTCTCAGGCCTGTAATCCCAGCATTTTGGGAGGCCGAGGCAGGTGGATCACTTGAGGTCAGGAGTTCAAGACCAGTCTGGGCAACACGGTGACACCCTGTCACTATTGAAAATACAAAAATTAGCCAGGCATGGTGGTGGGCACCTGTAATCCCAGCGATTCGGGAGGCTGAGGCAGGAGAATTGCTTGAACCCGGGAGGCAGAAGTTGCAGTGAGCCGAGATTGCCACTGCACTCCAGCCTGGGCAACAGAGAGAGACTCTGTCTCAAAAAAAAAAAAAAAGAAGAAAAAAAAAAAGAAAAGAAAATGGCTTCCCTGGCCTCAGAAAGGCTGAGCAGCCTTGTAGACTCAAACGGACCTTGACAGAAGCCAGAAACCACAGGCAAAGCTGAGACCCTCAAGAACAAGCCACCCAGGGGCAGCAGCACAGGCAAAAGGAGCAGGCAGCAGTGCCTGGGCAGAGGCGACTTCCGGAGTGGGGCCGCCTCATCAGTCATTGTACCCTGCTATCTTCCAGAGACAGAAGCCCCAGAAGCACACAAACCACCAATCAGAAGAAAAAGAACTACTGCATTTCATCGATTGTAAGATACACATTTTTTTATATTACATTTTGTTATCTCTGAAATCTGGGTGCATCTTACAACTGATGGCAGGTCAGTTTATTTGGCAGCTGTTTTCCTTTCTTAGAGGAGCTAAAGTAAAGGTGCCTCTTCAAATGAGTGGCATGCCAGATTCAATGAAATATAGGATGACTTACGGAGCCCTAATTATGCTGCAGGCATCATTTTGGCCAGTTAGCACACACCATCATACCCCTCCAAGAGATCTGCATTACAAACCACAAAAGCGGCTCAGAGGGGTTCAGAAAACTTCCCAAAGTCACACAGCCTGTAAACAGCAGACGCAGCATTCAAACCCAAGTGTGCTGGGGCCCAATGCATCTATCCCTCTCACTATATTGGCCTCATCTCCTTTCCTTCTAGGTGAAGTGATGGGGGACAAGGCCAAATTCAGTGTGTCATTTCGGTCCTCAGGTCTGTGGGTCCTGGATAATTCTCCAGGGTAGGTCACTCCTCTGGCACCTCTATTTGGGCCCTTACTGCAATAGACTGAATGTTTGTGTACCCCCAAAACTCATATGTTGAAACCTAACCCCCAGTGTGATGGTATTTGGAGATGGGGCCTTTGGGGGTGATTAAGTGATGGGATTCATGTCCTTTTATTTATTTTTCATTAATTTGCACATATATTTTTTGGGGATAGGATTTCACTCTGTCACCCAGGCTGGAGTGCAGTGGCGTGATCTCGGCTCACTGCAACCTCTGCCTCCCGGGCTCAAGTGATCCTCCCATCTCAGCCTTCTGAGTTGCTGGGGACTACAGGTACATGCCACCACATCCGGCTAATTTTTGTATTTTTTGTAGAGATGGGGTTGGTCTCTGTAGAAAGTAAAAATTTCTCTTCAAAGTTTCCCTTCTTGTTAAAGAATAAATCATAAGTGTTAGAAATAATGGTTTCTTTTAAAAACTAACTTTATGCTAGACATACTAACAGGTATGTAGTACATTCCATATCCTTGTACTTTAACCAGGATATCTGTGCTAGACATGCTCACAGGCATGTCCCTGCTAGCGGCCTATTCCCCTTCTTTATTTGGGAATGTTATTACTTTTCTAAGTCCCTTCATAAGCAACTTCCCCTTTTCCTTTGTCTTTCTATTGCCATTACCTATTTAGAAAAGTTTTCAACTGTTAGCCAATCAGGTTTTAGTTTAGATTGTGAGGTCTGGCTCCAGCCAATGGAGACAAGACACAGTAGCAGGGACAAACTGCGTAAGGGAGGGATAAAAATTGCTTCCCTTCTTTGTTCAGGTGTGCTGCCACCATTGTTCCATCTGCGATGAGCACCCTTTCTGCAGAACGTAAAAATGGCCTTGCTGAGAGAATTAAATTTATGTTCGAGTGCTATTTCTTTGCAGCACTGGGGAACAAGCATTCTATTTCTTTTTTTTTTGAGACAGCTTCTCACTCTGTCGCCTAGGCTGGAGTGCAGTGGTGTGATCTCCGCTCACTGCAAGCTCCACCTCCCGGGTTCACACCATTCTCCTGCCTCAGCCTCCAGAGTAGCTGGGACTACAGGCACCTGACACCACACCCGGCTAATTTTTGTATTTTTAGTAGAGATGGGGTTTCACCGTGTTAGCCAGGATGGTCTCAATCTCCTGACCTCGTGATCCACCCTCCTTGGCCTCCCAAAGTGCTGGGATTACAGGCTTGAGCCACCGTGCCCGGCCCACAGGCATTCTATTTCTAAATAAACATTTTTACATATAACAGTCTTGAACTCCTGGGCTCAAGCCTTCCACCTGTCTTGGCCTCCCCAAATTCTGGGATTACAGGCATGAGCCACTGCGCCCTGCCCAAGTGTCCTTTTAAAAGAGAGCTTAGGCCGGGCACAGTGGCTCATGCCTGTAATCCCAGCACTTTGGGAGGCCGAGGCAGGCGAATCACCTGAGGTCAGGAGTTCGAGACCAGCCTGACCAACATTGAGAAACCCCATCTCTACTAAAAATACAAAAAATTAGCCGGGCATGGTGGTGCATGCCTGTCATCTCAGCTACTTGGGAGGCTGAGGCAGGAGAATCACTTGAACCCGGGAGGCGGAGGTTGCAGTGAGCCAAGATCGCGCCATTGCACTCCAGCCTGGGCAACAAGAGCAAAACTCTGTCTTTAAAAAAAAAAAGAGAGAGAGCTAAGAGAACTCTCTTACCCCTTCTGCCCTGTGAGGGCACAATGAGAAAACAGCCATCTATGGACTAGGAAGTGAGCCTTCATCACACTGCATCTGCCAGTGCCCTGATCTTCAACTTTCCAGCCTCCGGCACTGGGAGAAATAAATTTGTGTTGTTTAAGCCACGTGGTCTACAGTGTTCTGTTGCAGTAGCCTGAACAGTCTAAGGCGCTTATGTTCAGCTCCAAACTGAGAAACTTCCAGGGAGCCCTGGCTCTGTGCTTACATGTCGCCTGGATCTGGAGCAGCTCTGTAAACCTGGCCTCCCGTGCCTGCCTCCACCCCGCACCCTGCCCAGCTCTAGCTGTGGGTTTCCTGTGACCTTCCCAGGCCCACTGGGCTCCTTACTAGCCAAACCGGCTCCTCCACCCACACCAGGCCCTGGGTAAAGAGGTTGAAGTTTCTCCTCCAGGTGGCATCTTTGGGAAGGACACGAATTGCAAGTTCTCCAGTCAGGCTGGAACTGGCAGGCTCTGTGGCCAGGCCAGGGCTCCCACTTTCATGTCAGCACTGACGGAAGGGGTCACTGGAAGGCCTGCCTGGGTTCTGGTCTCAGGGGTACCAGGGGACAGCAGGCCAAACCAGGGTCATTGTCCCCCACAGAGGCAGAGGGTCACCTTTCTCTTCCTCTATGCTGCAGCCCTCGCAACCCGGAGTACCCAATATTCTCCAGACACGCCCTCCCTGGCTCCAGCTTTGCCCTTGCAGACCCCTGCATGTTCAGTCTCTCCCTGCCAGGGCTGGAGGACCCCCAAGCTGATGTTTCCAGTCTCAGCTGGGAGGTGGCCTCCATGCAGCCTCTTCACCTCTCCCCTAGCCCAGGACATGCTTCCCTGACAGCAGCTCTCCAACCACCATTGTGGCTTTTACTTATGGCTCCACGAGTATTAGTACCCATGATGAGTGGACACTGCGACAGTGCTAAGGTCTCCTTGTAGAGGGGACACAGAGTACTAGACAGACAATTACATTAGAGGGTGGCAAGGGTTACAGCAGTGACCCAGGCTGCAGCCAGCCCAAACCACTTCGTGAGAGCCAACACTATGCACTTCTCCTCAACTCTGTGGTCAGTGACGTCAACTTCATAGATGGAAACCAGCCATGGGGGCAGTATTTACACCACGGAAATCAGCAAACTGCAAACCAGGGCTTTTTTCCCCGTTCTGCAAGTTGTTAAATGTTTCCTAGCACCCCACTGCAGAAGCAGCATTACAGGGGACTGTGAGCCCCGAGAAGGCTGCTAGCTTCATTTGTGTTCGCCCTAAAAATGGATCCTGAGACGAGCACTTGGGAGAAAGTATTTTTTTTGGAAGGCGATGTAGGAGAGAAAAAGTCATGTCTTTTGCTCACCCATCACAAGGCCCGTGGGTTGTCAGCCATGAACCCCTACAACAAAAGACAGATTTACAAAAGAAAAGCACACACATTTAATTCATATAAGTTTTACACGACACAGAAGTCTTTAGAAAATGCAGACCCAAAGAAACAGGGAAATTTGTACATTCTTAAGGACAGTCATGAAAAAGTATGTTGGACCAGGGGTGTATAATCTAATGGTAGAAATCTGGGAGAACTTAGCAAACAGAACAACAAACAGAACAAACAAAAGTCCTGTTTGTTCGGGTTCTTCTTGGCCTCTCTGTGTCTTCTGAGATAAGAACGTTAATGAAGACGACCTACTTCAGGGTAGACGGGAATGAGGTCAGAAAGTGACCTTCTTGCTTCTGTGGTTTTCTCAGTTTCCTGCATCGTCAAATACTCACTATGTCAAGGTGCTTATCCTGGGGTGTCCGAGCCCCATCAGTGATCACAAAGAGCAACAACAGTGAGGCAGGGAAGGGAAGGGGCTTATTTAGACGGGGATTATCAAGCCATTTTGCCAACGTGGCCAGTCGGAACTCCATCCTACCAGGCATGGCAGAGGTAGAGCAGACCTCAGCGGTCACACGGAGCCGTGAGCAAGCCAGTATTTACTCACCAACCCCGTCACCGTTTGGCCCGCATTGACTCCCTGGCGCTTCCAGCGGGTTCTGTGCTTGGACCCAGCTTGCTCCCGTTTCCAGGAAAAATGCTGCACCTGAGGCACTCAGTGCAGGCAGCCGCCCTCAAATAGAGGTGACCTGGGTAGGGTACCACCGTGTCTGGTAAGGGAGCCCACTCAGGCTGGAGGCTCGGCACCCCCAGACTATACATTTCCTGCCTGCAGAGACTGCTGTTCTGCCCCCGGGCGTCCTTGAGACCTGTCAGGAGAGTCATAAGATTGTTGTGGCTTAGAAATCCTACCCCAAGCCGGCGCGGTGGCTCACACCTGTAATCCCAGCACTTTGGGAGGCCAAAGCAGGTGGATCACCTGCGGTCAGGAGTTCGAGACCAGCCTGGCCAATATGGTGAAACGCCATCTCTACTAAAAATACAAAAATAAAAAAATTAGCCGGGTGTGGTGGTGCGCCATTGTAATCCCAGCTACTTGGGAGGCTGAGGCAGGAGAATCGCTTGAACCCGGGAGGCGGAGGTTGCAATGAGCTGAGATTGCACCATCACACTCCAGCCTGGGCCACAGAACAAGACTCCATCTCAGGAAAAAAAAAAAAAAAGAAAGAAAGAAAGAAAAAGAAATCCTACCCCAAAATACGGCACTCGGGCATTTGAGAAAACAGCAAAACCTAGAAAGGTCATTCTCTGACCTTCTCCCTCCCTTCTCCCCGAAGACCCTCATGTGAGAGATGTCCTGCACCATACACAGAGAAAAGAAATGTCACATGGGAATGCCAAGAAGAATCTGAGCAAACAGGCCTTGCTGACTTCCCCCAGTTTTTAAATTTTAGATCCTCTCTCCCTGTGCTCCGATCCTACTTCTTCATGGCTGTCCATAAAAACACAGGTTACCCGAGGTCTGTGAGTCTTCATTTTCCGAAGGCTCCCAAGTCACATAAAACTGATATTGAATACATTTGTTATGCTTTCCTCTTATTAATCTGTCTTTGGTTTTAGGGGTGTCAGCCATGAACCTTGCGACAGGTGAGGAAAAGATATTACTTTTTCTCCCCCACAAGATCAAAACTATTTTTATAGCAACACTAAGACATTAGTATTTTGCCCTCTCGTTCTCTTGTGCCCTCTCATTCTCTTGTGTGTACAGAATTTTCCAGAGGCTGCATGACATGTGATATTGCAGTAGATTGAATGCAGAAGCAAATATGAGTGTCCAGCTGGTTTCTATTAAGCCAGACATTAAAAAGACTTGAAAAAAATGTATTAAAAAGACTGATTTGGGGCCAGGTGCTGTGGCTCACGCCTGTAATCCCAGCACTTTGGGAAGCCGAGACGGGTGGATCACCTGAGGTCAGGAGTTCCAGACTAGCCTGGCCAACATGGTGAAACCCCGTCTCTATTAAAAATACAAAATTTAGCCAGGTATGGTCGCACCAAAAAAAAAAAAAATACTGATTTGGGATGGTTCCCAGAGGATGGGAAGGGTAGTAAGAGGGTGGGGAGAAGGTGGGGATGGTCAGTGAGTACAAAAAAAAAATAGAAAGAATGGGTAAGACCTAGTATTTGACAGCACCACAGGGTGACTATAGTCAATAATAATTTAATTGTATATTGAAAAATAATTAAAAGAGTAGAACTAGATTCTTTGTAAGACAAAGGATAAATGCTTGAGGGGATGGATGCCCCATTCTATATGATATGATTATTATGCATTGCACGTCTTACCAAACAAAACATCTCATGTTCCTCATAAATATATACATGAACTATGTACCCACAAAAATTAAAAATTATTTTAAAAATAATACTGATTTTCTCACTTTTTTGTTTTGGAAGATATAATTTAAAAAATTTTTATTATAAATATAACAATATATACATTCATTATTTTAAACTAATAAATACTACTTTAACTTTTTCTTAATTTTCATTTCTAATGTGGTAAACATTGATAGTGTCGGGGCTCAGAAAACAATACCCTGAAGTCTGGACCTTGGGCAGGCTGAGTACTTTGAACTAAAGGAGATTAGAAGGCCTCAGAAGCAAAGTCTCTCTCTGACCTTCTCCTGCCCTCATTTCTTCTTTTCCCATTTCTCCCCGAAGCAGGTCATAGAAACTAGAATTTCTCCTCCCCAAGGTGTGTCATAAAAACTAGAACTACTCTCCCGCAAAGCCAGCCATAAAACCTAGAGACCTCTGACCTACCTTCCCCTCAAGGTGGCCACAGGAACCTCATTGCAAAAGGATCCTACCCCATATTTGGGGCGAGGACATGCCTCACAGAGAGGCCAGAAAGAATCTGAACAAACAGGCTTTGGCAAGATCCCTCCAGTTCATTACCACTGGGTCATACCCCCAGGTCTTTGTGTCTTCATCATGTAAAACTTACCCTGAATACCCTTGCTATGCCTCTCTCTGGTTAATCTGTCTTTTGCAATAAGGGTATGGGGTAGACCTTGCAACACCTTTTCCTCATTCGGAAGGCTTGCTACAGGTGCCAGGTGCCAGTATGCTATAAAAATGCTTTGCCTTTTTTCCCCCTCATTCAACCCTCCAAAGAGGCTTAAAACAGAGGTCATTTTTAACTCTATGAGGAAATCAAGATTTAGAGAATTAAAGCTGCTTAAGGACACAAAGTTGGCAAGGGACAGAGCTAGGATTTGAGCACAAGCAATCGGACCCTGCGGCCTGAAACTTCAAGCCTACAATTTCCTTTATATCCTACTACTTCAGTTCTCAGCACTCCTCCACACCATCACACAGTCTTATCTGCACCTGCCTGGTAATACCTGGGGGCCATGGGGGCGTCTTAGCACCAACTTGACATCCGTATGTGTCGCACGTAAGTGTGTCTCAAATTGGAGCACTTAGACCTGCCCGTGTTCAGGAACTAAAATTCTATGAGATTTTTAAGTTTTGTGTTTATTTTAATAAATAATCTTAAGGTTTTGTGTTTTTTTTTACAAGTTTTTAAGGATGACATTGTTATATTACTATTTCACAACTGAAAGCCATTTTAACAGAATAAGACCTTAAATTTCCAAGTTAGAATTTTCCAGACTGGGTCCTGAGACGTTTTCTTTGAAATAAAATGATCCCTCTTAACCTTGCCGGGGTTAAGAACACAATACTGCAGGAGTCCGGAACGTGCCGCCCCAAAGTATGAAGGATCCTTGAGCAGATGTGGGAAAGATCCCTGACCTCCCTCTATTTGCCTAAATGTAGGACATAGACTTACAACAACAAAAGGTGTCCCAACCCCCCTTTTTTTCTGAGACGGAGATTTGCTCTTGTCACCCAGGCTGGAGTGCAGTGGTGCGATCTCAGCTCACTGCCACCTCCGCCTCCCGGGTTCAAGCGATTCTCCTGCGTCCGTCCCCCAAGTAGCTAGGATTACAGGCTCCTGCCACCACGCCCAGCTAATTTTTGTATTTTTAGTAGAGACGGAGTTTCACCATATTGGTCAGGCTGGCCTCGAACTCCTGACCTTAGGTGATCTGCCTATCTTGGCCTCCCAAAGTGTTGGGATTACAGGCGTGAGCCAATTTGCCCAGCCCCAACCACCTTTCTAACCAGGGAGAACAAAGGTTAACCACTGAAGACAGATTTAGACCCTATCAGCCTGGAGATGGTACCAGAGGAATCTACATTAATAAGCTTTACTAACTAGTCTTTGTCTGCCATTTATTTGCCTTCCCCACAAGCCGCTGCCGCCAGAGACTCAACGCCCTTTTCCTTTGTCTTGTCACTGCTCTAAAAATGGACTGTTCTTTGCTCTGTGTTGAAGATGCTACACAAGCTAGAATTCAAAGCTACCTCTTTGAGAACTATTCATTCTCTGAGTGTCTTCCATGTATACATAAAATATACATGTTAATAAACTTCTGTTTGTTTTTCTCTTCTTAGTCTGTCTTTCATAACAGGGGCGCTTTTCTAACTACAAACCCATGGGGGCTATTATTTTTCCCCTGCAATACTCCAAAGCATGGCGCCTTGGCATCTGAGGTTTTTTCTTTGTTTTGTTTTTTTGTTTGTTTGTTTGTTTTTGTCTTTTTTGAGACAGAGTTTTGCTCTTGTTGCCCAGGCTGGAGTGCAATGACGTGATCTCTGATCATCGCAACCTCCGCCACCCAGGTTCAAGCGATTCTCCTGCCTCAGCCTCCTGAGTAGCTGGGATTACAGGCATGTGCCACCACGCCTGGCTAATTTTGTATTTTTAGTAGAGATGGGGTTTCTCCATGTTGGCCAGGCTGGTCTCGAACTCCTGACCTCAGGTGATCCTCCCACCTCGGCCTCCCAAAGTGCTGGGATTACAGGCGTGAGCCACCGCACCTGGCCAAAACTGTCCATTGTTCATCAAACCTAAGCATAAAAATACCGTTTTCCCTGGGTCTTTGGGTCTTTATTTCTGAAGGCTCCCATGTGACATAAAACTTTGGTTAAATAAATTTGTTAAACTTTCCTCTTGTTAATCTGTCTTTTGTTACAGGGGTGTCAGCCATGAACCTCTTGGTGGGTGAAGGAAAGATCTTAGTTTTTCTCCCCTACACCCTGCTTTCCTGGAGATCATTCCATTTGTAGTTTTCTCCAAATGAAACTTTTTTATATATGATTATAAAAGTGACACTTGATTCATGCAAAAAAAAAAAAATCAGCTAATACAACATGGTATAAAGAGGAAAGTGTGGCCAGGCACAGTGGCTCACACCTGTAATCCCAGCACTTTGGGAGGCTGAACCGGGGGGCGGGTCACAAGGTCAAGAGTTCAAAACCGGCCTGGCCAACATGGTGAAATCCCGTCTCTACTAAAAATACAAAACACAATTAGCCAGGCGTGGTGGCACATGCCTGTAGTCCCAGCTACTCAGGAGGCTGAGGCAGGAGAATCGCTTGAACCCAGGAGGCAGAGGTTGCAGTGAGCCAAGATCGCACCACTCCACTCCAGCCTGGGTAACAGAGCAAGACTCTGTCTCAGAAAGAAAAAAAAAAGGGAAAGTGTGAGGGGCAGAATGTAAGGAGAGGAGCACCTTCAGGGGTGGAAGTGAGAGACGCCCTACCGATTCTGGGGAGGAACTGGGAGTGACAGGGCCCAAACTGTGAGATAGCTAGCCTCACCCTGCTCCCAGCCTTCCTCAGAGCTTTCATGCTACTCTGGTTCCTGGGACCCTCTGACAACCCTGGGCTTGCCTTCATGGGATCTTTTCCCTGCGGAGGACATGTTCTGATTTGACAGCACTTGGCAGGTTCCCCTGAGAAGCAGCCCCAAGGTGACCAGGACTCGGCTCCCAAATGTCCAGTTATAGCACTTTCTCTCCTCCACAGGACCTTCCCCCAGGGATTAGCGGCTCCAGATACCAGGATTGATGTCACCTTAGTGACACATGGGGCAGCTGCTCCATAGGTCCCTCAGTTCCTCATCGCTCAAGCCTGTTCACAGCAGATGGGGCATTTCAGCTCAACAGATACAATCTGTGACCTTCGCCAGACAACACTCAAAGGCCTTCAACAACATCAAGGTGCACAATTTCCATAGGGAGACTCACCATAAGCACATAATGGAATGCCAAATGAAGCAGGTGCAGGGCCCCAAGTTAGAAGAAAGGAGGGAGAGATTAATACTCTCTTGAAGGTATCAGAGCCTGGTATCCTCATCTGCAAACTGCAGGCACCTACTCAAAGAGCCACCAAGAGGAGATGAAATTGTGTATATGAAAGCACCAATCCAAATGCTGGCACGCAGCAATAGTTGGATCAGAATATAGATATGACTATTAGAAAGTTCTCTCTTCTATCCATACAAAATCTCCCTCTTGGTAATGATGAGGTTTTAATCTAGCACTTCTCAAAGGTGGTCCATGAACTTGTTTCCATTACCAGACCCCACCCAGAATGTCCTAGGGACAAATTCCCAGTTGTCTTTACTTCTCTTAGAAATAATCAGAATCTCTGGGGACACAGTCCTACATGCTGCCTCTTTACCAATCTCCCTAAACAATTCTTGGGCATCGCAAAGTTTGAGAACCACTGGTGAAGTGGATAAAATATCGCTCCTGGGGATGAGGGAAACATAGTTTCAAGTCCTAGCTCTGTCACTCACTGGAGATCTCAGGCCGTGGCCTCCTGTTTTTGTTTGTTTTTTAAGAAAGGGTCTCTCAGTTGTCTGGGTTTTCAGCGGGCTTCCCAGGGACAAAAATGGTTATGGCTAGCGATTTCTACCTGCGCTACTACGTAGGGCACAAGGGCAAGTTTGGGCATGAGTTTTTGGAGTCCGAATTTCAGCTGGATGGAAAGCTTAGATATGCCAACAGTAGCAATTACAAAAATGACGTCATGATCAGAAAAGAGGCTTACGTGCACAAGAGTTTAATGGAAGAACTGAAGAGAATTATTGATGACAATGAAATCACAAAAGAAGATGATGGTTTGTGGCCTCCCCCTGACAGGGCTGGCCGACAGGAGCTTGAAATTGTAATTGGAGATGAGCACATATCTTTTTTTTTTTTTTTTTTGAGACGGAGTCTTGCCCTGTTGCCCAAGCTGGAGTGCAATGGTGCGATCTCGGCACACCGCATCCTCTGCCTCCCAGGTTCAAGCGATTCTCCTGCCTCAGCCTCCCAAGTAGCTGGGATTACAGGCACAAGCCACCACACCCGGCTAATTTTGTATTTTTAGTAGAGACGAGGTTTATCCATGTTGGCCAGGCTGGTCTCAAACTCCTGACCTCATGATCCACCCGCCTTGGTGGTGGTGCTGGGATGACAAAGTGCTGGGATTACAGGTGTGAGCCACCACGCCCGGCCCACATATCTTTTACCACATCAAAAATAGGTTCTCTTATTGATGTAAATCAGTCAAAGGATCCCGAAGGCCTTCGAGTATTTTACTATTTGGTACAAGACTTGAATTGTTTAGTTTTCAGTCTCATTGGATTACACTTCAAGATTAACCCAATTTAAATTGTATGTTTTTCAAGCTGTTTGTATATTTAATTAAGGGATGGGAGGGGTTATTTGTCATTTACAATATTGGTTTTTTTTATTAATGTGAAGCTAACAAAAAAAATTGTATGTAAACTGAAAATAAGAAAATACATTAGCAGGCTTAATGGTTACCCTTACTTGAGTCCACATGGGTTGGACAGTCCCCACTGTCCCCACATTAAATTCTGTAAATAAAAGCCACCTTTTGTTAAAAATTTGCTCTAATAAAACATACCAAATCCTGAAAAAAAAAAAAAAAAAAAAGACAGGGTCTCTCTCTGTGACCCAGGCAGGAGTACAGTGGTGTGATCATAGCTTACTGCAGCCTCAACCTCCTGGGTTCAAGGGATCTCCCCTCTCAGCCTCCCAAGTAGCAGCTGGGACTACAGACACGTGCCACCATGCCTGGCCAATTTTTGTGGTTTTTTGTAGAGACAGGGTCTCACTATGTTCCCTAGGCTGGTCTTGAACTCCTGGCCTCAAGCAATCTGCCCACCTCAGCCTCCCAAAGTGCTAGGATTACAGGCATTAGCCACATAGCTTGGCCTTGTTTTTTTAAGTTGAGATAACAATGGTATGTGTGATGATTAAAGGCATGTCAATCATTTGAGATTTAGGCCAATGCAAAGTAAGCACTCAGCAAATGTTAGCTATTGTTTTTCTCCTGCTAAATGCACCTTGTTGCTTCTGCTGTCCCTTTGTGGCACAGATCCAAGCCCCTTCAGCACCCCAGGAATATCCCAGCAGTATTCCCATTAGGAGCAGTCTGTGAAGCACTGGGAAGAAGCAGGGGGGAAGGGTTTGATTTTGCTTCCTGGTCCTCTTCTGACATGCTTTAAGGGCACACTTGGCCACTGGAGGGCAGCATCCACTCGCTCGTTTTTTAGGAAGGCCATTCTAAAAAAGCATTTTCCAGCTGCAGAGGTGCAGAAGATGGAAGGAAGCCTTCATGGGGGCTTACTGGACACTGGGTTAGTTCTTTTATCCTAGTAGTTCATTTTATGCATCCTATTCCAGGCAGCCCTTAGTAAACAGATATAACCTATCACAGAATACACAGAATAGGTTCTATAATTTTTTTTTTTTTTTTTTTTTTTTTTTTTTAGACAGAGTGTCGCTCTGTTGCCCAGGCTGGAGTGCAATGGCGCAATCTCGGCTCACTACACTCTCCGCCTCCTGGGTTCAAGCAGTTCTCCTTCCTCAGTCTCCTGAGTAGCTGGGACTACAGGCGCATGCAACCACGCCTGGCTAATTTTTGTAGTTTTAGTAGAGATGGGGTTTCACCATATTGGTCAGCCTGGTCTCGAACTCCTGACCTCAGGTGACCCACCCACTTCGGCCTCCCACAGTTCTGGGATTACAGGCATGAGCCACCGCACCCAGCCTAAGTTCTATAAAATATTAATACAACCTATAAAATATAACCTATATAACCTATAGAGAGATGTTTTCCTTAAAGAACTGTTTTCTCATTGTCTTGAATCATAAAATGAGAATTTTGTTTCTAAACCTGGGGTCCCCTACAGGCACCGAGGTCTCCACAGGTGACCCCTGCTGTGCCACATGCCTGCATGCCTGGACCCCCACTCCTGCAGGCACACAGGAGCTTCCTGTTCTCCCGCTTGGTCCGTGGGGGCTGCCAATGAAGAACAAGGGGGCAGCTGAAGGAGAGGTGGCAGCTCCTTCCCAAGCCCTTGGTGCCCCCTCCTTACCGCAGAAGCAGGAATGGTTTCTTTACCTGTGGGTCTAAGTGTTCCAGTGCTGTTTGAGGACCTGGTGTGGGGCTCCTTCCCAGCCCATCTCAAAGGTCTAGAGCGGGACTTCCAGGTGAAGTCACTGTCCCCAGGTAGGTCCCAGAGAGTGGGCTGTGTCCTAGTTTGGGACACCCCAAAGCACGCACTAGATGAGGGTTCTAGCACCAGTGGTTTACGTGGGAGGTGCAGGGGATGGAAATGAGGAAGAGACTCAGGGAAGGGGGACTTAACAGTGAAGCTGTGCTATGAGCTCAGCACCGCATGGGCATCTGCACTGAATCCCATGGGAGAAAGAAGCGCCAAGAAACAGTCTAAAACACGTGCCTCAGAATCATCCCATCCAAGTGTGAGGGAGCTGAGGGCCTCAGACACCCACCCTGAGGGCTGAGGGCTGCTCTTGGTGGCTGCTTCTTCAGTAGCCTGCTCCATCCACAGGCAGAGTGGTCTTCTGCAGTTCTGGGAGGAAAGCCCCAGGCACACAGATGCAGGTACACACAGGTGGAAGTTTGCTGGAACAAACTGAAGGGTGGGACAGGCACGGGCGGGGTGGTGACAACTGCTGCTAGAGGCTACCTTCACCTCTGACTCAGGTGCTGGCTGCCTATTGTCCCAACAGCGCTTCTCCTGGATCCGGGCTGGGAGCCCACTCCTCCCCATGCTCATAGATGTCTGTCCTGTCTCTCGACCGGCATCTGCCTCTGGAGAAGCCCACGCCCTATATGAGTTTTGGGGGCAGGCAGAAAGGGTTTCTGTTGCTTGTGATAAGGAGCCCTGACATACTGGCCAGGCCATTCTGAATTCAGGTGGCCTGGGTGGGACCGCACCCGCCACCCTAGGGTGAGCATACAACCCAAGCTAGGCCTCAAACAGTAAGTGTAGAAAGTAAAAAGTTTCCTCTTCAAAGTTTTCCTTCTTGTTAAAAAATAAATCATGTTAGAAATAATAGTTTATTTTAAAGACTAACTTCCTTCAAGCCTCCTTGCTTTGTGCTATTAACTCTTTGTTAAGCCCTATCCTATGTAGCTGCTAGATATAAAGGAATAAGTGCATTCTATTTCCTTATACTTTAACCAAAATACTTGTGCTAGACATGCTCACAGGCACGTAATACAGTCTATGTCCTTGTACTTTAACCAAGATATTTGTGCCGGACGTGCTCACAGGCATGTCCCAGCTCTTAGCCTATGCCCCTTCCCTATTTGGCATAAGCAACTTCCTCTTTTCCTTTGTTCTCCCTTGCCTTTACCTATTTAGAAAAGTTTTAAATTATTAGCCTGTTGGGTTTTAGTTTAGATTGTGAGATCTGGCTCCAGCCAATGGAGACAGGACACAGTAGCAGGGACAAGCTGTGTAAAGGATAAAAATTGCTTCCCTCCTTTGTTCAGGTGTGCTCCCACCATTGTTCCATCTGCAAGGAGCACCGTTTCTGCAGAAAGTAAAATTGCCTTGCTGAGAAAACTTCTTGTCTGAATGCTAATTTTTCCTTGTGGTGCCGAGGAACAAGCATTCTATTTCTGAATAAACATTTTACATATAACAATAAGCAAAACCCACTGTCCTGGCTGGGGCCACTATGTTGCCTGCCTCCAGCTGGGGTCACTCCTTTTTCTCTCTGCCAGACTTGCAATCACAAGGTGGGGAAGCTGGAGCTGCTGGAAGTCATTTTGCTGCCTTGGAGAGAGACACTTTTGAGAATGGGGTCCAGCCAGAGAAGCTAGGCCCTGCTGGCATTTGAGCCTCTGCCTCAGCCACCTGGAAAGTCAGCATTACCTCTGAACACTTCAGTTATTTGAGCCAGTAACTTATCCGGGGGGGGGCGGGGGATGGAATCTCGCTCTGTTGCCCAGGCTGGAGTGCAGTGGCTTGGCCTCAGCTCACTGCAACCTCTGCCTCATGGGTTCAAGTGATTCTCCTGCCTCAGCCTCCTGAGTAGCTAGGGTTACAGCTAGGATTACAGGTGCCTGCCACCACACCTGGCTAATTTTTTGTATTTTTAGTAGAGATGGGGTTTCACCATGTTGGCTAGGCTGGTCTTGAATTCTTGACCTTGTAATCCACCCGCCTCAGCCTCCCAAAGCGCTGGGATTACAGGCGTGAGCCACCGCGCCTGGCCCCCCCTATCCTTTTACAAGTGCTCACAAGCCATCTTTCAAATAGCTTGTTTCCAGAAGCCAGCTTCCCCAGCTATTGGAGTTTGCAAAATTTCTCTTGCATTGTTGGTTGGAAAAGTAGGACTTAAGGAGATTTCTAGACAAGAAGCATGATTAGAAATGGAAGATGCTACAGAGTGCAATTAGAAAGTATATCTTAAGGTAATCTGTGATAAGAGGGGATTTTTATATTGCCTTTTTTAAGTTGACATTAAAATATATTATTATTTGACCAGGTTTGTCTTTTGAAGACTTCTCTACTGATAGGCACTTCTGCAACAAATTTGCATAATTTGATATAAATATTTTGTAATTATTCTTAAAGGCCAATCAATGGGTATTTATGATGGCTCATAATAAATATACAATAGTATATATTACATAATATATATTAATTGATGGGTTGCATTTTTTTCTTTGAGCTTATACAATGTTTTAGAAACAGTCTACTTTTTATAAATATCAAATGGATATTCCTGTGTGTTGCATTTGCTAAAGAGTCAACAGTTAAGAATCTGTTTATCTATGTCAGATTGTGTCCATTCAGAATACAGAATCCCCTGCATAAAACTAACATGTTTTGCTGAAGTACTTGTTAATTTGGCTCTAAAATATTTATTCTTTTTCTAACTTACAGCATTTATTTTAAAAAGATTAATCCCTTCATTCACTTATCCAAGGCTCTTTTGTAGCTCAAAAAATTACCATAAAGGGAAAGAAAGCCCTCTGGCCTTCTACTACAATTACTTTAGAGTAGGAGTCAGAAAACTTTTTCTGTAATGGATCAAACAGTAAATACTGTAGGCTTTGCAAGCCATACATGCCCTGCTGCATCTACTCAACTCTGCAGCTATAGAGCAAAAACAACCTAGACAATAGTGAATGAATGGGTGTGGCCATATTTGACTCATGGTTGTAGTTTGCCTACCCTTGCTTTAGTGTAACTAAATTAACACTGTTCATATAAAATATCCAGTAAGATAAATAATAATTTAGTGCTTAAAAGAAAGTTATAGAACCTTTTACTTTTAGAGTCCTTTAGGAAAAGCATCATGTATTGCTTGGGAAGTATTCTCTATTTTAAATATTAAATACAGTTTAACACACAAGAATATCCAACTTGATATTTATAAAAAGTAGACTGTTTCTAAAACATTGTATAAGCTCAAAGAAAAAAAATGCAACTGTATTTAAATTTTAAATACAGTTTCATTCTTTTATTACCCTGAGATATTTATTAAGAAGGGGTAATCTGGAGTCTAGTACATAAAACATCTTTGGGTATATACACTTTGTAAATAGGAAGTGATATTACTTCTAGCATTCTAAGAACCCCAGCTCCCAAATAATGACTCTCGGGTAATAAGCAAGTACCTGTAGCATGCCTCCAATATATTGACTGTTAAAGGGCAGTAAGTTCTCCCTGGCAGTGACTGCAGAAATTGAAAGTTATATTTTCATATCTAGCCTAGGGATGAAATCATCCAGAATTTTTCTTTGCAGCAAGTAAGGTGGTTGGTGAAAACTCAAAACATGGATTATCAGGTGAGCTCTCTGTATAGGTAGTTGGATCTAAAGTTTATAGAACCATTTCAGCCATTTTCTCAGCTGGGGTGCTGCAGAATTCAACTGTCGATGGAATCTTTTTTTGATAGTTAATGCCAACGTTTCGCAGAAGATGAGAATTTGCTGCTTTTGCCAACTTGTGATTTGTTAATGCCAGCTCTGCTGTGCTGTGGGGTTGTACATTAGGGGAGTAAAGTTGCCCTCTTCCCCACTGCAAGGAGACTAAGAGCTCCTCCAATAATTTCTGGGTAGCTATCATTTCCTGAAGAAACTGTTCCCATTCACTTAGGAGATCCTGTATGGCCCCACGTGCATCACGTTTTTGACGTCATCCCAGTACTGTGGGAGGCTGAAGCAGAAGGATCACTTGAGGCCAGGAGTTCGAGACCAGCCTGGCCAACATGGCAAAACCCCAACTCTACTAAAAATACAAAAATTAGCCAGGCGTGGTGATGGGTGCCTGTAATCCCAGCTACTTGGGAGGCTGAGGCACAAGAATCGCTTGAACCCGGGAGGCAGAGGTTGCAGTGAGCTGAGATTGCACCACTGCACTCCAGCCTGGGCAACAAAGCAAGACTCCATCTCAAAAAAAAAAAAAAAAAAAGAAAAACAAAACTGCTCTTGATGCTCTTGACTTGGTTAACTCATCTGCCATTACCCTGCTTGCAAGGAATTTACTTTGCCATGTATCACACTGTATTGACATACGTTCTGTTTGGAAAGCTGAGCTGTATTTCAACCTAGGGCTTCATTTTCTAAAATAAGCTGATTTTTCTCAAGGACTAGACATTCAAAGTGATACTGAAGATCATCCCCAACAGAAGCCATCAGCAACTTTTTAATCTCATGATTTACCTCCTTCTGTATACAGAGCTGGTTTCAAAGACCTTCTTTGTCCTGTAGTAACCTTCTTTCATAATTCTTGAGCTTTTCTTTTTTTTTTTTTTTTTTGAGACGGAGTCTTGCTCTGTTGCCTAGGCTGGAGTGCAGTGGCACAATCTCGGCTCACTGCAACCTCCGCCTCCCAGGTGCAAGCGATTCTTCTGCCTCAGCCTCCCGAGTAGCTGGGACTACAGGCACGCACCACCACACCCGGCTAATTTTTGTATTTTTAGTAGAGACAGAGTTTCATCATATTGGCCAGGCTGGTCTCAAACTCCTGACCTCGTGATCCACCTGCCTCAGCCTCCCAAAGTGCTGGGGTTAAAGGCGTGAGCCAGCCTCCAATACATTCTTTACTCTGAGAGTTCCTTATTAGGTTCTGTAAACTCCCTCTGACTAAGGAATTCTCCTTTATGATGTCCCAGAGACATCATAATTTTGTTGGAGCTATCATGTGTTATTGTATTTTTATATTTTTGTTGGAGCTATCATAAGTTATAGTAGCTTTGGGATATAATCTTTTTTTTTTTTTTTCTTTTTTGAGACAGAGTTTTGCTCTTGTTGCCCAGGCTGGAGTGCAGTGGCACAATCTCGGCTCACCACAACCTCTGCCTCCCGGGTTCAAGCAATTCTCCTGCCTCAACCTCCCAAGTAGCTGGGATTACAGGCGCCCACCACCACGCCCAGCTAATTTTGTATTTTTAGTAGAGACTAGGTTTCTCCATGTTGGTCAGGCTGGTCTCAAACCCCCAACCTCAGGTGATCTGCCCGCCTTGGCCTCACCAAAGTGCTTGGATTGCAGGCGTGAGCCATCACGCCCAGAGGGACCTAATATTCTTACAGCTTCCACTTCTACTGCTTTTCAGTGAGCATTTTCCCTGGCTGAACTCCTGGGCTCTCTGTAATGGAACTGCTTTCTTCCATGGACCCTGAAGGCTATGATGGCTTCTGGATTGGACCCCAGAGGGAACTTCAACAGATTTAGGTGGCTCCTCAGTTTGGGGATGAAGTAAGGGCGACTTTGGTTTCTCAACTTTTAAGAGTAGTCATTTTTTTCCCTTAACCACTGAAAATGCATTCCAAGACTTCTACTGAACAACCTCTAAGATTCTTATTCTCCCCATTTTAGGGGGCTTCACTTGACAGGCTCTTTGAATCGGTATCACCAGGTTAACTTCTCACAGACTTCTTCCACTCTGAAGACCTTCCCAGGCCCTCCAGACATCCCTTACATTGCTTTTGGATTAAGTTTAGGATGTATCTTTCTTTTCCTCTTCCATCAAATATAGAATCCAGATTTGGTGGATTTGACAGGCAATAGGGCCCATAGGCCATATTATACTCTTCAGATATGATCAGATTTATAGATGCTCCATTATTTTATGAGCTATAAAGTGTAACCAGTTAAACCATAACACAATGCTTTCTTTAGAATTTTATTATGTTCTTTATGTACTCATATATGTACATTATTATATACTTATTGAAAGAGCTCAGACTTTTTTAGACTTGTATCATGGACAATAGGAGGAAACCAAATTTGCTAAAATTCTCTTCTGAATCCCTTGTCAGAGTCTTTTTTTTTTTTTTTTTTTTGAGACAAAGTTTCACACTGTCACCCAGGCTGGAGTGCAGTAGCGCGATCTCGGCTCACCGCAACCTCCGCCTCCCGGGTTCAAGCAATTCTCCTGCCTCAGCCTCCCGAGTAGCTGAGATTACAGGCACCCACCACCACACCCAGCTAATTTTTTGTATTTTTAGTAGAGACATAGTTTCACCATGTTGGTCAGGCTAGTCTCGAACTCCTGACCTCATGATTCACCCGCCTCAGCCTCCCAAAGTGCTGGGATTACAGGCATGGGCCACCGTGCCCGGCCCAGAGTCTTTAAGTGCCTGTTTTTCACACACCGTTGCCTGCTGTGCCATCAATAGAACTGAAAATGCAGCATTTCTTTTTCTTTCTCTCTCTCTCGCCTCCCTCCCTCCCTTACTCCCTTCCTTCCTTCAGCATGATCTCGGCTCACTGCAACCTCCATCTCCCAGGTTGAAGTAATTCGCCTGCCTCAGCCACCCAAGTAGCTGGGATTACAGGCATGCGGCACCACATCCGGCTAATTTTGTATTTTTAGTAAAGACGGAGTTTCATCATGTTGCTCAGGCTGGTCTTGAACTTCTGGGCTCGAGCGATCCGCCCACCTCAGCCTGCCAAAGTGCTGGGATTATAGGCATGAGCCATTGCACCCTGGCTAGCATTTCGTAAGCCAGTACTACACTATGATCATCAGCATTTTCTCTCTGGGTACCCACTATGCAACTTTTGATACTGGAGCTTGATCTTACCAGGAGGTAAGATTAATGGAAGTTTTTGAGACAAAAGACAGGACTCACATTCCTGTCTCAAATAGGCAGGCAATGACACTAAGTCATGACTGCTATCTGGCCAACAGCAATTGTAAGACACCATTAATCCTAAAGTGAGATCAATTGTATGCTCTATCTCAATATCAGAGATGCTAAAATGTGAAAATTGATGAACTGAGACAGTTCTTATGAGGCCACCTTTTGGGTTATCCTAAAGGTGATACCCAATCTAGCCCATGAGCAACGGCCCCAGCCTTATCCACTGACAGGCATCACTTTATCACACCAGGTCAGACTGGGCCAAGTGCCTCCTGGACATTTGGAATTGGGACTAGTCTCGTGTCAAGAAAATGTCAACACTAGGCACTGTGGAATTGACCTCTGCCACCATGGGGAGGTGTGCACCCAAAGCTGGGCTGCAGGGAGAGGAGGGAGGCTGACACACAGAGAGGGGCCAAGATAAGCTATAGAGAAGGCAGGACCTCAGCCTCCCAAGGGCTTTCCAGTTCTGTGGCTGGTGCCTACCTGGAGCTGGGCTGCCCTCTGGCTCCTGCATCTGAGACAACAGGAAGCCTTACATCTCCTGCTGGGCCCAGCTATTCTGGCCTTTTTGGGCTCTCAGAACTTGGAAGCTTCCTTCTCCCCTCTCCATGAATGGCGCTTTTAAGGCTTAGGAGATCAAGTCCAGCAGCTAAGGCAGCCTCCCAAGGGCCAATGTTGCACACTCAGGCCTTTGAAGCTAGGGCAGTTTCTCCAGCAGGTCATGCCTATACCACGGGTCACTGACGTCAGGGAGGCAGCCAGCTCCCCAGGGCATGAACGATGGAGCACATATTAGCTTCCTATGGTTGCTGTAACAAATTATCACAAATGAAGTGGCTTAAAACAACACAAACGTATTATCTCACAGTTCTGGAGAATAGAGACCCAAAATGGGTCTGTAGACCTGCATTCTATCTGGAGGCTCTCAGGGAGAATCTGTTTCCCTGGCTTTTCTAGCTTCTAGAGGCTGTCCGCATTCATTGGCTTGTGGCCTCACATCACTCCAACCCCTGCTTCTGTCGTCACATTTCCTCTGATGCCGACATGCCTGCTCCCTAAGGACCCACCCAGATAATCCAGAACCAATCTCCCCACCTCAAGATTCTTAATCCCATCTGCAAAGTCTTATTTGTCATATGAATTAACAATCATGGGTTCCAGGGACTCGGAAATGGATATCTTGGGGGACCATTACTCAGCCTACTACTACCCTCAGCACAGAGACTGAAAGAGGGTTCCCCTTAATGGTATTTTTCTGTAATCAGGCCTTTTTCTTTAAGAATATTTTAAACAGCATAACAAAGCACAGCTGACTTTTTTCCCCCATTTTACAGACAGGGTCTTGTTATGTTGTTCAGGCTGGACTCAAAACTCCTGGGCTCAAGTGATCCTCACCTCAGCCTCCCAAGCAGCTGGCACTACGGACATGCACCACCACGCCCTGCTAGAGCTGGTTTTTTATACAACTCTAGGGACAATACCCATTGCCACTTATTAAATGCCTACTGTGTGCCAGGGAGAGAAGGAAAGCAACATTATCGGCCCCATTTAAGGAGGTCACTTGCCCAAGGTAGTCCAAATGGCCGGTGGCAGGCAGACGAGCTCACATCTGCCTCCCTTGACAGGCACTGATGTTGAGGTTGTATTTCTTCCCTTGGCGTCCATAACGCAGACCCTAAAGTCTTGTTTGTGTTGGAGAGCTTTGGAGCCTTAAATTTAGAGGCGCTTCACACAGCTCATGCCACCTGCAGAAGTACCAGAGAGCCTGGCATAGGCCAAAGAACTGGCAAAGCCTTCAGTCTCTCCTCACCACCTCAGGAAATTGAATCTGTTCTCCCTCCTAGTAACTCACTTAGCCAAATGACTACACTTGTTGGGCACTAACCCCATGTCCAAGGGACAACTATGAGCTGGTCCAGTGATGGAGGAGGTGGGTGGCAGCTGGGTCACACTCCTGCCACAGATTTGGTACCCAGAACAGTCATTAAGGTTTTGTCAAGGGATGGACAAGCCAGAGAGAGGAGAGATGGGCCTTCATGAGGATATCAACAAAGTCCCTACAAAAAAGTCGGAGGTAGATAAAAATATTAGGCAGGAAAGAGATGTAATGGATTCATCCCACTGAGGCATGAACAATTAATTGCCACCTGTCAATTGTCAATGGGGAGAATTCCATCCACCCAATCATTTAAAGCAAGCTGGAACCGGTTACAATGAGAATTAGCCAAGGATGAAATTTAAAGGATGCCCGGGGGCAAGTGATGTAATGGGTTGCAAAACAAACGTCAGATAAAAGGCATGGGCTCAGGGGGCCTGGTGCCAGAGCAGACGGCATCCTATAGAGACTATCTTTTACTCTGGAGAAGCTAGAGCAGTACACACAGTATTCGACATTCAGGGGTGGGGCCTGAGATTCTGTATTTCCAATGAACTCCCAGGTGATGCTGAACAGCTGCCATCTGTGGGTCATCTCGAATAGCAAGGGATGAGATGACTCTTAAGAGACAACTCAAGCTGTTCACTGCAGCAAAAATAAAACGAGTGGGGTGAATGCAGATGTCACAGGGCTGTTTGGTGCCGTGGAAAAATGAAGGTGGGGCTTATCATCAAGAAGTCCTTTACACATCCATGACTTTCTGTCCAACTCATAGGAGACTGTGAAGAAATTACCTTTTCCTTTTTAAAATGAAGAAACTGAAGTGTAAGAAGATTGAACACAGCAGGGTCAAAAACATTAGGAGTAGATACAGGTGCCCCACACCATCCTTGACCCCACACACACTTCCAGAAAACATCAAGCAAGGAGCAGGCAAAGAGCTGTCATAGGAGTGTGGTTTTTTTAATACCATCTGTGCCAAGCAATATCAAAGTTGTCCATACTCTCCAAGTTTGTCCTATTTTTAATAGACAATATTAAAAATTTTTTAAGTGTGTGCTGATAAAGAGACTAGTCACACCTCTGAGGGGATTTAAAAATGAGAAGCCACATAAATTCTCTTCCTTAAAAAACAGCCATTTCAAAAGATTTTCTTTAATATCATAAAATATTTTCATGGACAAGTGAGCTAGCAAACACACATGCACCAATGTGCCTTTTGACAAGAGTACCCCCTACCCCGACTCCCACACCAAAATGGACATGAGATTGGAGAAATGAATACAGCAGATGGAACAGATAGAAGAAAAAAAAATCAGTAAAAAGGATGGAATATAACTTTGTGCTTGGTTATTTTCCTATGTCGCAACAAAACAAGACATTTCGGTGCAAATAGTTAATCTTTCCTCTTTTTTTCCATTTGTCTGGTGGAGAAAAAATACTTTTTCTATAATAAAATATGTAGTTTTTTGGTTTTTAACGTAACTTTTTTTTCTTTTTTGCAGAAAATAATTTTGTAAACTGTCACTTCGCGGGCAGGGAGGATCGATGCCACGTGGGCCCCAGCTCACCCGGGTGGAGGCTGGGAGCTGAAACCGAACCCAGGCAGGAGATGGGCGACGGCGGAGGTGCAAGGCAGGGCACGGCGCACAAGACGAGGGCGGCCGGGCGGGGTGGATTAGAGGTCACTCTCGCCGTACAGCGCCGTGGAGAAGGACATGTAGTCCAGAGCACCTGGCACGGAGTCGGGGCCGGTGTAGGGGGCCATCCGCGCGATGCAGTACTCAGCCTGGTCGGGTGGCAGCTCGCGGCGCAGCTCGTCCATGGTAATGTAGTTCTGCGAGGAGAGAGTGGTCAGGAAGGCCGCAAAGTCCAGCAGCCGTAAAGCGGCGCGGCCCGACACAGCCGCAAAGCCTGGCGGCGTGAAGGCAGCATGTGCCGTTTGCATTTTGCCTCCCTCCTGTAACTACAGGATGTACGGACGTAAATATCCACACATGTACATACCGCATACACAACATGTATTTTTAAAATTCTCTCAGGTTTTCCACTTCAGTACCTACTTTGTAAGCCACTTTCCAATCTAATTCCATGTGCCAATTACACCTATAATCATCTTCTGAATCACACTAGTCTGCAATAATTGCGTGCTGGAGCAGTATCAGCAGATACTCTGGTGGAGCGTATAGGTTCCTGGGGAGACCCCACACGCACTCAACTGAGCTCTCTGGACGCCTCGGACAGACAGTCTAATTTTAATGAGCCCTCCAGCAGATTAAGAACACCATCCATGTTTGGGCATCACTGCTTCCCAAATATGGCCAGGCTATGTTAAGCAGCTTTGCAGAAATGCGGGCCTTGCCCCATGCAAGCAGCTCCAGCCTGGGTATCTACCTTCTCCCAGGTTTGCTCATGATAGGTCTACTTGGAAGCTGCTTCTTTTAGGAGCTTCAAGATCCAGGAGAGCTCATTTGGGGGCTCTGACCCACAAGGTAGTCGCCCTGCACCATGCCCTACCTCTGCCAGAGTGCCCTGGGAACCAGTTTGAGGGAGGGTAGAGCTGCCACTGTCAAGCCAAAAGTTGGGAGACCAGGCCCCTAGCTGGGCCCTAGTTTTCCTCCTCTACAAAATTAGCCACTACAACTAAATGGTTTGAGGATCCTTCCAGCTCCAAAGTGCTATGATGCAAATAACGTTGTTCTTGTATTTAAATCAGAACTTTAGGGACTTCTTTGTAGGTTCAGCCTTTATTCCCTTATAGACAGACATTCCAGAAATTATATTCCCTCCCTATTGGCTTTTGCTTCGCTAACTGATTCTTTAAGGTTTTTTTTAAGACGGAGTCTCACTCTGTCACCCAGGCTGGAGTGCAGTGGCACAATCTTGGCTCACTGCAACCTCCACCTCTCAGGTTCAAGCGATTTTCAGGCCTCAGCCTCCCAAGTAGCTGGAATTACAGGTGCACGCCACCACGCCCGGTTAATTTTTTGTATTTTTAGTAGAGACAAGGTTTTCCCATGTTGGCCAGACTGGTCTTGAACTCCTGACCTGATCCATCCACCTCAGCCTCCCAAAGTACTGGAATTACAGGCGTGAGCCACTGTGCCTGGCCTGAATCTTTTCAGTTTTGAAGGAAGGATGGCATAAGGATTTACTGTGACTTTTACTGAACAGAACACAGACCCTAGGCCCCCACCCCACCCCCACCATTTCTTCTGGCTGCTCTGTGAGTCTTTTCTCTAATATTCGAGGGATCTGTGGCTTCTACAGATCCCCTCAGGTCCCTGGGCTGGAGATGGCTGTGGTTCTGGGTAACATCCAGGTCTACCAATGACCATCTCAGAACAGTGGAGACTTGGACTGAGCCTCTGGCATCCATGGAGACAACCCCCTGCATCCATCCACTGCCAGGTGGAGTGTTGCAGGGTACTTGGGAGACTGGGAAACCCAGAGTAGATCACTGCTCAGGGTAGAAAACACGAGAGACATGCTTCCTTCCTGGGTCCCACAGTCCCTCTTCCTGCTCCCATTATAGTCCGTGCCGATGCGCGGGATGAGACCAAGGGTGAAGTCCCAGGGATTGTCAGATGGACTCCAAGAGTCCGATCACACATCCACACCACTCTATTCTCATCTGCCACCCGTCATTTCATCCCAGCTATGGAGTCCCTCACTGGCATGCAGTGATCCTGGAAGGGTCACTTATACTAATCCTGTGTCCTGACACCTTAGCTGAGCCCAAGACATTACAGAAATGAGTAGAAGTGGCAAACAAGGAGAGGCCAAAGGACCCTGGAAGAAGGGGCGGTTGAGGAGTTCATGTTCCAGCTCTCACCCCTTTAGATCACAGTCCAGCCAGTGCCTGCCACCCCAGCACAGTGCCCACCCATAGGACACCCACCTTGTCCCCAGCCAGGATCTTGAAGGAAGCCATGACTTGGTCTGCTGTATCTGTGTCGGCTGTCTCGCGGGACATGAAGTCAATGAAGGCCTGGAATGTCACTACCCCCAGGCGGTTGGGGTCCACAATGCTCATGATGCGGGCAAATTCTGCTTCTCCCTGGAGGGAACAGCCAAACCCAGGCCTGTCAGCCCATGGCCTGCTGGGAATATCTCATATGGACTGAAGACCCTGGGGGCTCAGAGCAGCCTATGGCTGGAAGAGAAGGGCACATCCCCCTGACCTAACCTGGGTTGTCCTAAGGGTATGATGGGGACACAACACCCAACAGGGGAGACCCAGCTCAGGGTTCCCCACACCCTGCAGATGCCTGAGTTCCTCTTAGAGCAAATAATCATGTTGATAATAACTATAATGACAACAATGATTAACAATGGCTGACACCTATGTAGCATATCAAGTATTAATCTAAAAGCTTTATTTCAATTCATTTAATCCTTACTACAACCATAAAGATAGGTATTTTATTATCTTCATTGTACAGATGAGAAATCTGAAGCCCAGACAGGCTAAGTGATTTGCCCAGGGTCACACAGCCAGGAAGCAGCAGAACTGGGATTTGAACTCAGGCAGTCTGGTTCTAGAATCTGTTCTCTCCCCACCACACTGTATTTTCTACATGCCAGATACATGCACACACTTAAATTCCTTCATTTAATCCTTGTAACAGTCCTGTAGGGTTCCCCCACTTCACCTGAGGTAACACACTAATGACGGCAGGGCTGGGATTTACTCCCAGGTTCACTGCTCCTAGCCCCATGCCCATGCCCTGCGCTGGACAGCCTGTGGGCTCTGCACTTGGCACCATGGCTCAGGAGTCACCTGACTGCTCTGCTCAGAATGTCTGTGCAAGGGGGGACAGACTAGGAAGGTTGGGGGGTGGGGGACGGCCTGGGACAATCCAGAGGGGCGGCAGGCCCAACCAGAGTCACCGCCAGGACAGAGGTGGAAGTCTCGGTTTCCATGCTCCATGTGAGGTGACGCATGCCAGCCCGAAACCTGGGATGTCCCACACCACCAGTCCTTCCTGCCAGCCTCAGGGTCAGCCCAGCTGTCCACAGTGGGAGTGAGAAGTACCAGAAGATGAAGTGGCACAGAGATTGAGGCGAGGAGGTCAGGCCTCCCGGATACACACACGCCCGTGGCCGGGCCGGCTTTCAGGGAGCCATCTTCCCCAAGGACATGGGCCCTGGGGCTCCTCCAGGGAGGGCAGCCCCTAGCCTGAGGGCCTCCAGCCTGCCACTCCTGGGACTTGGCTGCTCCCGCCAGCTGGCTGCCTTCTCACCAGGGCAGACAGAGGGTGGGGTTTACGTTACCATGTTGTAACCCATGGAGATCAGGCAGGCGCGGAAATCATCCGTGTCCATCATGCCTGTCTTCTTCTGTGGGGGGCAGTGGTACCAAGACACAAGGAGGGTCGGGAAGGCAGGAAGAGGAAGGGCCGGCCCGGGGCCAGGAAGACAGGAACAGATGGCCAGAACGGGGATGAGATTTATGGTTTTGGGGGTCAGGATAGGTAAAGGAACATAGGAGAAGATGCGAACACACATCGGTGGAAATGTCCAAAGACAGGAGGAAGACAGAGCAGGGAGATGCAAAAATCCACCCATGGGATGAAGAGCAGCGAGGACGGAAGACAGCGGGCACCCAGTAGGTTGCCATGAAAGACAGCAGAGGGCAGAGGGTGGACCAGTGATGGGGCAGACAGAGACAGCAGGAGAGGACGAGCCCCATGGCCCACAGGAGGGGGACAGGAGATCCAGACAGAGAGAAGAGAAAAAGGAAAAACGCATTATTTCTTGCCCCAGACGCCACCCCTGAGCGTGCTCCATGCAGGAGGCGAGTACCTGGGGGTCGTTGCCAATATCATAACCCAAGCTGATGAGGCAGGCTTTGAACTCCTCGGGACCCAGTGTGCCGGAGTGATCCTGGGGCCGCGGTGCGCCAGGCAGCGAGCCATGCGGTGTCAGGGAGGTGGAGCCGTGAGGGGGGCATGCCCCGGGGGAGGGTGGCGTGTGTGGGGAGACACAGGGACAGGCATGCGGAGGGAGGGTGGGGGGGCGGGGGAGGAGGGGAAATAAAAGTGCACACGGTTAGACACACCAACGAGGCTCCAGGGGGTGCCCTCCCCCCAGCACACGCAGCCCTGCTCCAGGGAGCAGGACCACAGTGGGGTGTGATGAGCCACAAGGGTGAGAAGCTCCCTCAGAAGTGACCCAGCCCCCCCGCTTCCCCAGGGGCTTCCCCCCAGGTGCCTAGAGAGCCATGAAGCAGGTGGGGTGGTGGGCAGCACCCAAGCCCATGCTCCCACGCCTTGGGACCGCCCGCAAGCCCCAGGGCACTGGGAAGGGGCAGCCCACTAAAACCCAGCCTGACCCAGAGCTGGGATGGGAACCCAGGACCAAGGCCTCTGACATCCCCAGCAGAGTCCCAGAGGCCACTGGAGGTCGGGGTAGGGGTAGGGGCCAGCGAGGGCAGGAGGAGTCTCTTCTGCTCCTCTGTCTCCACAGCCAGGGAGCAGCAAGCCTTCACTGAGGGTGACTCCTCATGGTAGGAGAGCAAGGATCAGGGGTCAAAGGTCCTCTTTCTACCCACAGTCTGAACACTCTCTCCCGGAAAGCAGGGAAGCTTATGGGGCACCAACACAGGTTTTCCAAGGCTGGTTTTGCAGGGTGCATTGAGTCAGGGCAGGCTGACGGCAGTTTCCCCTTTCTCTCCCTCCTCACTTGCATGGCAGCCCACGTCCCGGGGAAGTGCCCTCCAGGGCCCTGGGGCAGGGGTTGGGGGCTGCACTAAGAAAGCACAGGATGGGGCTCTCACCCGGTCAAAGTGGTTGAAGGAGGCCCGGAACTCATTCATCTGCTCCTGGCTGATGCCCTTGGCATCCCGGGTCAGGATCTGGTTCTCTACCTCATTGATGGTCCTGGCGATGGTGGTGAGCAGCTGCTCCCAGCCCACACGGATGTGCTGCAGGACGGCAAGGGGCCTGTCAGCAAAGGGGTCCCAGGCCTGGGCTCCTGGCGGCCCCTGCCCATCCTACTCCCCAACCATCAAAATGGCCAAAGCCATCAAACTTGGCCTTCTGTGTGGCTGAGTGTCACCAGAGGAAGGGGAACCAGGACAAGGACAACCTACTAGGACAAGGACCCTAGATGACCAAGGGGCAGGGTGGCAGCCTCTGCCTGGGAGAGCAAAGAAACCAGGACTTGCCAATGGGGGTCAGGTCAGGAAGGAGGGCAGATTTGGGGGTAGGAAAGATTGAGACAAAAAAATGTGTGATTCCCCGAACCTCCAACCCCACAGCCACGCGCGCACACACACATACACACACACACACTCTTGCACAGTTAAAACAAGTAGCCATTTTCAAAGCAGATGCCTGAGCCAGTGTTTGGAGCCCACCAGCACCCAGAACCACCAGAAGTGCTTATTCTGAACTCCACCCCAGAATTAGTGAAGCAAATTCTAGAGATGGGGCCTAGAAATGTGCATTCTCAACACATTCCTTGGGAAAGCAGAAGGTACTAAAAATTGAAGATGTGAGGCTTCAGGGGTGAAGTTAATTTATCCTCCAACTATGACCTGTTCCCTTGGAGACTTCCCCACCCAGGAGAAAGAGCAGAAGGGGCCACGGGCTCCCGAAGAGGAACAAGGCCAGCCCCACCCACCTCCATGGTGTAGTTGGTGTGCTTGTTGTCGAAGATGAGCGCCTCCTGGATGAGCTGGTGGTCGCCCTCCAGCTGATCAATCTTTGGCTTGTAGTTGACGATGCTCTTCTCATACTGCCGCAGGTGGCTGAGCTGGTCCTCCAGGGTCCCATGCATCTCAATGGAGATCCTCCCGATCTCCTGCTCACCGGGAAGGAAGCACCTTGTCAGACCACCTCACTCTGCTCCCATAGGGTGGGGACTGGGGCCTCCAAAATCACTTATTAAGCCCTCAAATGATTCTCAGTTCCCATCCCAGCCCTAAGGAGGCCATCACTGGTAATTAGTAAGACACTTTTAGCATGGGTGCTCTTAGGTATGGAAACAGCACCACAGAGGTATATAACAAGCACTGTTATCATTGGATGAAATACCTACCAACTCTCGGGTACCTGTCAGCCTCAGAAAGGGGATGCAGGGTCAGTTCTAACCTAAATATTCACTCCTCTGCTTGCCATTCAAATGCCCTTTCCCAAGTCTTGTCCATCTCAGGGACCCACTGAACCAGGATCCTCGTAGCCTCGGCAGACCTCACTCACCTCCTCAGTACCCATGCTCTTGCTCCTGCTGTTCCGCCTCCTGGGATGCCTGCCCTGGCCCACCTGAATCCCATTCATCCCTGCAGGCCAGGCCTAATGCCCATTTCTGTCTGTTATTCATCCATGTAAACAACCATTGTTTGTGAAAGCACTTTCTGTCCACTCAGTTCAATTCAGTAGATATTTCCTGCCTGTCTACTAAGGACAATGTGCTGGCAGGGGTGCAGGGGAGCGACACATACCAATGTGAACTCAACATGGTCTCTGTTCTTAAGGAACTCAGAGGCCATGCTCTAGCCAAGCAGGGCCTCTTTCCTGATCTGCTAAAGCACCCCACTATCTACCCCACACAATTCAGAAAAAAATTCTATGCTCTACTGGGGTTCAGTTCTCTTTCTGGGAAGATCAATCATTTTCTTTGGCCAGGCTCATTGCTCAGGAGGAGGAGGAGAGGAAGGGGAGGCCTGATCAACAAGAGACATCAAGGGGATTAAGCTGGATCGGGCGCTCAGGAACTGACCCTAGTATGGGACTTTCATAGGCAGCTTCTTTTTTTTTTTTTTTTTTTGACAGAGTCTTGCTCTGTTGCCCAAGCTGCAGTGCAATGGCGTAATCTCAGCTCACTGCAATCTCCGTCTCCCGGGTTCAAGCGATTCTCCTGCCTCAGGCTCCCAAGTAGCTGGGATTATAGGCACGCATCATCACACCCGGCTGATTTTTGTATTTTTAGTAGAGACGGGGTTTCACCATGTTGGCCAGGCTGGTCTCGAACTCCTGACCTCAGGTGATCCACCTGCCTCGGCCTCCCAAAGTGCTGGGATTACAGGCGTGAGCCCACAGGCAGCTTCTTAGTGGTGTCCTCATATGTCTTTGCTCCCAAATCAGATACTGCCAGCAGGGCTTCTTCACATAGGCCCCCATAGCCTTCTACAGAACAGCAGACCCACGGTGGGCTCCGGGCCTCAGTCCTCCATGGGTCCCACCCAGGGAGACAGGCAGCCTGGCTGGCTAGGATAGTGTCGGGGGGGAGGGGTGGGAGCCCCAGCACTGCTTCCCAGCATGGGACCCACCTCCATCTTGGTCTGGATCCAGGGCCCGATGACATTGGCCTGGGCTCCAAACTGCTTGCGTAGCCTCTCATTGTGCTGCTGTCGGGCATGCTCCTCCGTCAGAGCTTGGTCCCTCCGAGGCACCAGCTGCCGCACCTGGGGCAGGAACAACAAGGCGACTTTCAGGATGGGTCAGCCATCTGTCCATGTGCCAGATGAGGAAATGGAGGACCCAGAAGGGGAAGGGCCGGTCAGTAACAGAACAGGAGTAAAGGTGTCAACCTGTTCTGGAAACCCAGTCATTTGACATTTGGACAAACAATGAGTGTTTACTATATGACAATTTTAAATGAAATTGACAAAAATCAATTAAAATGGACAAAAATCCCTGCCTTTATGAAACTTACAATGGCTCGGCCCATGCCCTTCAACTCACGTGGTCCCATTTGCCATTGATCTCCTGAGGCGTGATGGTTGTGTAGGGGTTGGTGCCCGCCATATTGACGTGGTAGGTCTGGACAATCTTGGACACCTCATTGTGGATGCCCAGGATGGCCAGGCGCTCCTTGTCGGCATCAGGGAGGGTGGCCTTGAACTGCTCATGGGCTGTGGTCAGTCCCTGGACAGAGATGGGAATATGTGGGCAAGAGGAACAAAGGGAGCGCTAGAAGTGAGTGGAAGGGCCATGGAGGTTGAGTTCCACACCAGCTGGGAGACCAGGAGGCATCAATTCAAAGATTCTTGTGGCTGAGAACCAGGATGGCAGGTATGGCCACAGGAAGGTGAAGCCACAGTCATCAAAAGCAACAGCTTCATCCTTAGGGCTGGTCAAATTAGCAGCAACCTCTCTGGTGTGTTCACCACCTCACAGGTCAGGGAGAAGGGCTGCTCCAGAGGCTCACTACCCAGGTGACCTCCCACAACATGAGCTTCCTTAGCTCCTGGCAAAACCTTTTAAATCCAGTATTCTGCAACTGCATGAAAGATTGAGGAAGCTGCTAATTGATGTGAAATGAGCTCCAAATAAATGTTACATTAAAAATCAAGGTTCATGGCTGAGCACAGTGACTCATGCCTGTAATCCCAGCACTTTGGAAGGCCGAAATGGGAGGATCTCTTGAAGCCAGGAGTTCGAGACCAGCCTGAGCAACAAAGAAAAAACCCCACTTCCACAAAAATAAAAATTAAAAAATTAGCCAGGCATGGTGATGTGAGCCTGTAGTCCCAGCTACTAGGGAGGCTGCAGCAGGAGGATCGCTTAAGCCCAGGAGTTGGAGGCTGTAGTGAGCTATGATCCCACCACTGCACTCCAGCCTGGGTGACAGAGTGAGACCTTGTCTCTAAAAAAATAAAATAAATAAAAATCAAGGTTCAGAATATGGTATATAATAAAAGGTACTTTTTGTTTTATACAAAAAGGGTACAAAGCATGGAAACAAACATTTGCTTGTGTGCAGAGACTGTAGTCAAATTCTTACCTTTGGGGAGAGAACTAGGGGCTGGAGGATAAGGAGTCAGAGGGAGACCCTATCATAAACCTTTTTAATTTTTTTTAAATTTTAGATCATGCACATATATTATCTTGTCAAAATAAGTCAAATGCAAAGGTTCTGGGTCTATAAAATCCTTAGGATGCTCTTCCTCAGGGGGCAGTCCTGCAAAAGTGACCCACAGAGCATGGGCCAGGGGCCCCAGGGGAGCCAGCCTCCGGGGAGTGGAGGTGGGGCTCACCTGGATCTCCTCAATGGTGTGCACAATGAAGGTGTCCTGCAGGTCCTCCATGGCCCCCTCCATCCAGTTGTTGAAGGGTGCAGCCCGCTTGGCATACTCCAAGTACAGCTGGTCAATGGTCTCCAGCAGTTTCTCGGTCCGCTGGGAGTGCCAAATAGGGTAAGGGTTAGTACAGTGATGTCCAGAATCATCCCCCACTCCTATCAAGATCCTCCTGGTGAGCCCCAGGTCTAGAAGCACTGACTCAATCAGGCAGAAAGAACAAGCTCTTCCTGCCAGCTGTATGAACCATCTCACATCACAGTCACCTGGCCTGGGTCCCAGAGTCTGGTGTGTAGAATAGGAGGGTTCTCAAATGGCTGGGGTTGGGCTGTAAAGCACACTAAACTGGGAGGATGAGACATGTGAGGGCAAGAGAGGAGGCATCGCCATGAGGGCAAAGTCCAAATCCTGTGCCAAAGTGAATCTTCCACATTTAGGCCAGGGTTGGGGGAGGTCTGGGGAAGCCATAGAGTCTTTTAGCCCAAAGCAAAGAGAGTCAAGAAGCAGGAAGGGGCACCACAGGGCTGCCGGATATGGGCCTAGATCTCCCTCTGGGACCTCTCACCTCCAGAGCTTCCCTTCGCTTCTGAGTTAGGGCCCCCAGATTGTCCCACTGGTCACAGATCTTTTGGCAACGGGCGTTGACACTGGGTGAGTCATAATAGTCCAGCTCACTGGGGAGGGAAGAGACAAGGAAGTCAGGGGACCCAGGTTAATTTCATGGCCCATCTCCCTCTCTCTGAGGCTGTCAGTGGGGTGGCTGGTGGTGCTGGGAAGAGCCAGGGGCGCTCCCTTCAAGAGACCTTCCAGGCACTCCTTCCACCCCTCCCCTCTTTCAGGAGACTGGCAGAGAGGAGACCAAAGAAGACCCCTTTCCCAGTCATGGCTGGAGGTGACACCAGCCTTCACCTCAATGGCCAATGGCAGGGAGCCCTCGAGGCCCAACGAGAAAGCTCAGAACCAAGTCTTGGTCACCCTCTGCTCCTGTACTAGCTACAGGCGAGAACTGGTGGCCTTTAACAGGATGGCAGTGGTCCCGGGCTCCTTCCCCACCAGGAGAGATATTTGTCTCCTGCGTTGACTCCCTCCCCACCTGGGCACCCACCTGTACCCACCCTCCCCATCTTCCACGGCCACACCCCCACCTCCCCCAGCAGCTGAGAAAGCCCAGCCTCAGCCCCTCACCACAGGGTAGGGGTGTCTGGGGCCACCTACTTGAGCTCCTGTGCGATGGCGGCAATCTGCTCCACACGGTCCTGGTGGGCAGCCAGGTCACTCTCGAAGGCCTCATGCTTCTTGAGCAGGGCCTTGATCTCCGAGAGGGTGGCGGTCTCATAGTCCTTCTGTCGCAGCATGGCCTCTTTGCCTGGGTTGAGAGAGGGCCACATGGCTGAGCTGGAGTGAGAAGCATCTCCTTGGTCCCAACCGCCCACCCCTCAGGGCCCCAGGAGCTCCACTTCTGGGGGTGCTTCTCAAGGAGGTGCCCATTGTGCAGGGATCTGCAGGGTGCAAAAGCAGATGTGCAACTAGAACATCCACCAACCGGCGCAACGGGGAAAAGCACTCTCCTCAGAGCACTTCCAAGGCCATGAAAGTGTCTACGCAGGAAGGCTATGCAGGAGTCTGTGGGAATGCATAGGGCATGACGCTATACACACAGCGGGAAACACAGCCATCCACACCCTCTGGTATAACCAGGAAAAAAACAACCCAAGCACCTCAGGAGTACCCTGCCTTTAGAATGTCCCCAGTTACCGTCACTGGCTGCCGGCAGCCCTGCAGGGGCCCCTTCCCTCGGTCAGTGTGTCCAGTGCACTCTGCACAGAACCCGACAGTGGCTAGCGCCTTCTCTGACCCTCAGACACACTGCCCTCTATCTACAGGGCACAAGCAGGTCTTGCGTTTCTTAAATTTGTTTCCACAGGAGGAAAGCAGGAACAAGAAATGACCTCCCAGGGCCATTGTTAGACGACGCTCACCAGCTGCCTTGTGAAGTTGACAGGCACAGGATGGGGGCTGGCCCAGCCTCCCTCACTCACATACCCAACCCTCTGCTGCTGGTATGCTCGGCCCATCTCAATAAATAAGGCTGGGCTGGGAGCCAAGGTTGTGTCCCCAGGTGGCATTTCTTTCCTTCCCCCTACTCTTTCTTCTTTAAAACAGAATGGTAATATATAAAGCTTAGGAAAAAAATTACAGGTAAGCCTACTTATCCACTCCTATTCAGTCTTTCCTTATGTGGATATTCTTTGGGCATATATAAATTATGTTTCCTGCTTTTAAAATATTTAGCAGCACATGGGCCGGGCACGGTGGCTCACGCCTGTAATCCCAGCACTTTGGGAGGCCGAGGCGGGCAGATCACGAGGTCATCAGGAGATCGAGACCATCCTGGCCAACATGGTGAAACCCCATGTCTACTAAAAATACAAAAATTAGCTGGGCGTGGTGGCGCATGCCTGTAATCCCAGCTACTTGGGAGGCTGAGGCAGGAGAATCGCTTGAACCAGGGAGTCAGAGGTTGCAGTGAGCCAAGATCATGCCACTGCACTCCAGCCTGGTGACAGAGCGAGACTCCGTTTCAAAAAAAAAAAAAAATTGGCGGCACATTATTGGAATTTCTGCCCTGGCTCCATAGTCTTCTCATGTAGACGTCTGCAGAAAGGCTGCACGTCCACTCCCCTAACCCTTCACTGCCCTACTGTGAGTTGCTGGGCCCTCAGCTTGCCCTAGTGTGGATGTCTCCATGTTCAGGATGGATTTTTTTTTTTGTATTTTAATAATTGAGATTTTATTGGTTGAAGATCAGTACAGACGTTTCAATTTGTACACAATTCTTAACATACGTAATGAAATTCTAAAAAGCCATGTAGTGTAATTCTTTTTTAAAGTTATTCCAGTGACTTTCCAGCTTAAAATCGGGAAGCAAATTTTCCTTAAGAGGCTATCAAGTACCAGTATTTTCACATGTTGGTCAGCTGTCACATACGGCCCACCAGTTCACAACTGAATAGCACGTACACTACATATTCAAATTTGTAATCTTTCACAGCACAGTGACAAAGTTATTAGGAAAACAGGACTACCACAACCAAAGATGTTACAGAGTGCACAATTCTGACAGGGAGAGCCATGATCAAAGAGTGGTTTTCTTTAGGAAACAATTCTACTAAAAAAACAACATGGCAACAGAAGTAATTTAAAATGTTCAAGATATTAAATGCAGGACTGACTCCATATTGCCATTTAATATGCTTTGTATTATAGGATATAAAAACTAACCCCCCCATCTATGGAATGTTAAGCTGACACCCGAGACAGTCAAAGCCTCCCATAATTCAATATCCCACACTATTTTCTGGTTGTACCAAAAAATAAACAATCAGCAAATGATTTCACCTCTTAAAAAAAAGCATTTACACTTAAAAAATGGGATGAGGTGGGATACCCTCCTTCTTAAAAATGTTTCTAGAGCTACTAAAAAGCTTGCATTTACAAAATAGTTGATAAAAAATATTCCTCTGGATTGTACAAGAAGGGAGACAGGGACCACTGATAAGACATGGTATATGGTATTAATCAGACTCGGCTTCTTTCTCTCCTGCTTCATCAGAGGCTGGACTCTCCTCACTTTTCATTTCCCCGTTTTCTGCAGGTAAATCTTTAGTTTCTTAGTTAGCCACTTCGGCCTGTTTTCCCTTTGCTCCCTTTTTCCCTTTTGTTTGCACTTTTTTGTCTGAAGATTTATCCTTCACTGCTGCGTTTTTCGGCTTCGCTTCCACTTTTGCAGGAGGTTTAACTGACAACCGCGCCGATCTCCTCTTGGGCTTTTCCTTGGCGGCTCCTTCAGCAGAGCTGACCTTCCCCTTGGGCATCCTGGCGGCAGGGAGGGCGCGTGCCAGGTGTCTGCGGGCCGCGGCATGCTGACAGCCTTTGCGAAACTGTGCTGCCTGGCCGCTGCCACTCCTCACGCCCAGGATAGATTCTTTAGACAGTCTCAAGAAATGGAATTCCCAGGTCAGAGTGTAGTAAAATTGGTAGAACTGAATACATGTGGCCAAACTGCTTTCCCCAGAGGCTGTGCCAGCATGCCAGCACTTCTCATGCCCCTGCTGGTGGCTGGCAAGGCAACGAGGTCAATCTTTGCTTTGTACCTTGGCTGTGAGCTGGACCCGACAGAAGCATGTGATGAATCAGTGCAATCCCCACTGTGCCTCCTCCACTCTGCCCGTCACGTCTGGATAAATAACTCCATACACGCACAGTGGATGTGGGGGCAGCAACCTCTTACCATTGTGTGCAAAGCCCAGCATTTGTACTTACAAAGGGGAACTAGAGCCAACCCCCCTTAGCCAGTCAAGCACACTCCCATCCCCTACACCAGGGGTCCCCACCCCCTGGGCCATAGACTGGTACTGGTCCGTGGCCTGTTAGGAACTGGGCTAAATAGCAGGAGGTGAGCCAGCAGGTGGGAGAGCATTACCACCTGAGCTCCGCCTCCTGTTGTGTCAGGGGCGGCACTGGATTCTCACAGGAGCTCAAATCCTATTGTGAACTGCGCATGCGAGGGATCTAGGTTGTGTGCTCCTTATGAGAATCTAATGCCTGATGATCTGAAGTAGAACAGTCATCCTGAAAGCATCTGCCTCCTCCCCACTGCATGGAAAAACTGTCTTCCACGAAACTGGTCCCCGGTACCAACAAGGCTGGGGACCGCTGCCCTACACCAAGCCAAGCCACTCCCAAATGGCCTTGGGGTATGGTTCTTCCTTCTCATCTCCAACCTAAGATCTGAGGAGTACAAAACAGGGCTGACTGGGGGAGTCTTAGGGCATTGAGCTCCGCCGGCCAATAGGTCTGTCCCACGCTCCAGCTGAAATGGCCGGAGGGGCCCCAGCAGATAGGCAGCCTGTTCCCCACCTCCAGCCCTGGTCCAGGTTCTGGGGAAAATACTATCCTAGGTATGATCCTCTCTCTTCAGAGTTCACCTTAGCTGCCAATAAGCAGACACCAGACACGCCCCCAAGAGCCTCAAGGTTGGAGCAACAGGGACACACATGTGCTAAGGCAAAGGCTGGTTCACTGTAATTGGAGGCCAGGAAATAGAGGAAAAAGAGCTGAAGAGATGAAAACCACAAGCATGCAATGTACTATAATATTTAAGCCTCACAACAACCCATGAGGAGACTGAATTAGGTTGAATGGGGTCCCCCATAAAACTCATGTCAACCCAGAACCTCAAGATAGAACCTTATTTGGAAACAGGCTCTTTGCAGACATAATTCCTTAAGATGACATTATACGGCTGGGCACAGTGGCTCACGCCTGTAATCCCAACACTTCAGGAGGCAGAAGCAGATGGATCACCTGAGATCAGGAGTTCAAAACCAGCCCGACCAACATGGTGAAACTAAAAATACAAAAATCAGCTGGGAATGGTGGCAGGCACCTGTAGTCCCAGCTACTAGGGAGGCTAGGGCAGGAGAATCACTTGAACCCACGAAGTGGAGGTTGCAGTGAGCTGAGATTTCACCATTGCATTCGATCCTGGCAACAAGAACACAATTCCATCTCAAAAAAAAACCCCCATAAAACTAAAAAACAAAGTGAACACTCGGGGTAGAGGATTTGACTGCAAAGTGAACACTCACACAGCACTGCACTATGCAGGAACTCTCCTCAGAACTTCGTTATGTATTAACTGATTCAATTCTTACAAGCCTGTGAGGTTGGTACTATTATTATTCCCACTTTACAGATGAGGAAGCTGAGGCGACCAGAAGGCTAATGAACTTGCCTAAAGCCATGGAACTAGTAAGAGACCAAATGAAACAAATGAAAAGCAAAGAATAGCATAGTGGCTGCTGGCTGGGCTGAAGAGTAGGGAAGTGAAGCCCTGGGGGGAGGCAGGAGGCTGGGCTGGCCTCACCGTCAGTCCAGGCCTCGTGGATGGAGGCCTTCTGCCGGAACTTCTCTGCCAGGTGGTCCAGTCGCTCCAGCCTCCGGATCTCATTCAGCAACCACTCCTCATAGCCCTTCTCCACCTGCTCCAGGCAGCCCCAGGCATTGTTGATGTCCTGTGGGGATGGGAGGTACAGGGTCAGGGTCTGGCTTGGGCCTAGGCTTCAGGTCCCCTAGCCCCCTAGACCCCTGAAGGTGCCCCATGCCTTCCAGGAAGAGCCTCTTCCCTATCTCTGCCCCATATCCACCCTAGCCAGGCTGCCCCACCATACCTCCCATCTCCCACTGGTATTTTCTGGGCTCCCAGGAGCCAGGCCTCCTGGGCAAGGCATGGGACCTGCATCTACATTGGTCACCCAGCTATGGGACTTTGAGAACAGAGCCCTGTGGGGAAAGGGCCCCAGACTCTCCCTGACTAGGACTGGTTTCCCGCAGGACTCTAACCGATCACAGAGGTCACACATGTGCTAAGGCAAAGGGCCCCCGAGGTAAACAGACCAACAATGTGCAATGAGGCAAGCAGGCACTGGAGCTGCCCAGCCTCCCCACTGTCCTGGATCCATTCATGGACTCAGGCCTCTGGGCAATAACCTGGAGCCTACAGAGACCCCGGCCTGGGTGAGCCGGCCAGAATTCTGGGAGGACAGATGCTGAGTGCAAACCCACACGCCCCTTCAGACAGGGCCATGCCTCCAGTTTGTGCAACAGTGCCCAGCTGGACAGTCACTGGGGCTGCACCCTGCAAGCCACCCTCCCCACATGTCCCCAGGCCAAGCTACATCTGTCCCCCAGAAAGGGTACTTTGTCTAATTCTCATAGAGCACCCTTAGGCTAGCAGTGGCTCTGGCCACCTAAAAGCTACTGATTCAGCCTTGGAGCCCCGAAATGACTGCAATTTTCCAAACTGCATACCCACTTGCAATGTATTCTCCCTCCATGACCCCCTGGGCTGCCGTCTCCCCACGATGCTGTCTGCCTTTCACCCTCCCCTTCTAGACCTGTCATGTGCCCATGACACTCCTGTTACTTTTCACTTAAGGACAAAAAGCTGCGTCATGGCAAATTTCTTACATTTTCTTCTGTGTGTTTCTCTGGCTTATGAAATTTTTCCCTAAGTTGTGGGGACAGGGTCAAGAAGGATGAATAACAAAAATAACCTAAAAGAAGAGTATTTTATGACATGGAAAGCTGGTCAGAATATAATGTAAGATTGGGGGTTTTCCTAAAGCAGCTTATTATATAAAACAGGCTTTAGTTATCTGTCAGGGGACACTTGAGTACAGAAACCGGGAAAAAATGTTTAATTTCAAATACATATACTTTAGGATTCCCTCAAATATTTACACGAAAAAACCAAAAGGATTAAAATCATTTTTTTTAAAGTTGATACTGGGTAGTAAGATTTTCAGTAATTTCCATGTTCTGTATTTTGCTTATTTGTATCTTTGAAATATACTACCCAAAAAAACCCACAAAACTATTACTTCAATAATAATATTTTTTAACTACTTAAGATTCCATGGAAGTAGAAATCAACTTGACTGCGATTCAATTATGCCCTGTTTGGTTCAGGGTGTCAAAAGCATTGTGTTCATAGGGATGATTTTTTGTGAGAGGGAGGTCTGGAGTAGATGCTCAGGGGTCTGGAAGGGCAAGCCTGACCCAGAATGGTCTGGGCAGAGGGGGCTGCCCCACATGGCCGAGTTTGGGATTGAGCCTGGGTGGTAACTGGAAGGGGGAAGTGACTTCTGGAGCAGTGTATGTAGGTAGAAGCAAACACGCCCATCCGCACCCCCATAAAGCTGAATTTGACCACAACTAGGAGCAGCTCAGAGGTGGAGGCAGTCCAGTCTGGGGGCCCAGGCTCACCCCCAGTGCTCACCGAGACCATCCTGCCCTCAGAGGGCATGAAGGCAGGCCGGTTGCTGAGCCGCAGCTTGGTCTGCAGCGTGTTGAAGTTGATCTCCAGCTGGCACTTCTCCTGCACCTTGGGCGGCTTGTGCAGGCGCCGGTAGTCCCGGAAGTCCTCCAGCTTCTGTTGCATGGCATGCATGGTGTTCTCGGGCACCCGGTTCTCCAGCCACGGGATTGTGCGGCGGATCCACTCCAACAGCTAGGGTGGGAAGGCGGTGGGGGCAGGAGGTGAGGAGGCGGGGAGGGAGTGTGCTAGGGCCAGCCTCCCTTTCCTCCCAACAGCCCTCCCACATGGGGAAGGGGTCTCTCCTAATAGCACACTCCTTCCCAACCACTGACATTCCCAGGCCATGAAGTCAGCTTCCAGGGTGTTCCCTCTGAGAACCACAGGCTTCGTGAAGCCTGGCTACTAGGGTACATCGACTCACAGTCACGTCACTCAACCTCCCTGCTTTGCTAAGGGAAGACCCATAGACCTGGTGTGAAGTTAGTGCAACTAAAAGGCAGGAAGGAAGCCTGGGTTTTAGTACCAGGTTCTAACTGGCTGGGCCTCAGTTTCCTCATCTATACCATGGAGGGGGTTAACAGCTATTTCCAGAAGTTCTTGCCATCTGACTTCCTAAGAATCTAGAATGTGGGTCTCTGACTTAAAAGGGAAGAGGCTGGCTTCTGGGCAGAGAGCTGGCCTGGAGCACAAGCAGGCACGGCCTGGACTGTTTTCCTTGGGCCAAGGTGATGGTGGTGGAGAAGGTGGAGGGGTGCACATGACAATAGGAATACACTGAACACCTGCAGGGGGCCAGGCACATCACACACATGGACTCATCTGAATCACCACAGAAACACTACAAAGCTAAGGGCTGTGATCACCTGCATGTTACAGAGGAGACAACCGAGGCCCTACCAGGTCCTGTAACTTGCCAAGGTGACCTGGCTGGAATGGCAGAAATTTAAACCCAGGCACTTGGGCTCCAGAACCTGCGTTCTTACTATGCTGGGCAGCAGATCCACCAAGAGGCTGGGCTGAGCAGCTCAACGGGCTGAATTCTTTCAAGAAGAGGAGGCTTAACCTAAATGTAGCCAATGGCAGAACAGGAAACCCAGCACTGTGCCATCCTGTTCCCTGAACAGTAGGGGACAGCCGCTACTTTTGGTAGCTGTTATGCTAGCCTGAGCCGGCACTAATTTACCGAAAACCCTACCCTCACCCTCTTAGAACCAGATGTGCTCCTTTTCTCACTGAAGCAAAACTCACAGACTAAGAGTACACTAGGCTGGAAAGGCTTTGACATCCCCTGGCTCAACTCTCACTTGACAAGTGAAAAAAACAAGAAGACTCTGAGAGGCAAAGGGATATCCTAGGCTCATGATAACTCAGGGACTGGCCTCTGCCCCCACCTCACTACTTTCTGGGAGAGCCACAACAGAGCTCAGGCTGCCCTGGACTAGCAGTATTGGGATCAGAGACTATACAAGCCTGAGACTATGCTCCAAGGAAAGACTTGGAGGTACACGTTCTAGGGGACTGACTCTTGCTAGAGTCAGGCCAGGTGAACCCGGGGGTACCCACATCACTGGCCAGCTTCTCGTAGTCTTCCATAAGCTGCTCGTTCTCCTGGTTGACGGCCAACACCTTGCAGATGCGATTGGCTGCTGTCTCCGCCTGGCAACAAGACAGAGAGAGTCACGACCAGCCAGCCCCAGCAGCAGGGGCACCTGGTACACACCTGTGCTGACAAAGCCCCTCCCATCCCTGCAGCTCCCTGTGGTTGGAAGGGAGTTAAGAAGGCTGTGAGGTCACATTCCTCCTCTCTCCTTACCATCCTCCTTGCCAGCCCATGGCCAGGTCCCATGGGTCAAGTGAGCCTGGACAGAGGTCTTGGTGGCTGAACTGGGCCCCTGGAGAACAGCCTGAGTTTAAGGCCCAACCTGCAGGTTGGGAAGAAACTAATCCAATGACTGATATAATCAAAATACTCAGGTCAGGTGGAGAGGTGAGAAAATTCATGCCCATCCTGGAATTCCAAGTGGAGGCACTGGAACTGCAAGGCTTAGGACCTCTGGCTGGATTTTCCAGGGTCTTGGAGATGTGGGAATTCAAATCCGGGAGTCCTGGGATAAAGTGCTGACTGAGAAATCATGGGACCTCTTGGGATCCCTGCAGAATCTCCCAAGGCTCTTGGCCCAAAGCCTGAAGCACTTTAGAGAAAACTGACGGACATTCTACTGCACCCAAGTCCAGACTTCCGGATCAACCAAGTATGGGCTCAATGCCCAGCAAACCCAGCACAGGCCTCTTCCAGACAGCTAAGCACACATCATGCGCTGCGTGCTGGGCTAGCAGGGACCCAAGATGGCCTCAGCAGCAAAGGGAAGGAAAGGGGACTGAATGGCAATCCCAGGCAAAGACTAAGAAACCTTAGTGGGAGAGCGCCTTCTGCAGCTGTGGGGGCTACTGTACCCCTAACACCAGCAGGGACCCAGCATTCCTGAGTCCACTTCAAATAGGTGGTTTTAAAATCCAGCTGTGTTCTTGCATACATTCCAACCCTACACCAAGGGGGAAGTGAACTCAAAGCCTTTTGGGGGCCAGAGGGTAGAAAGGAAGACAGCCTGGGGGTGGGAGAAGATGATATCTGTGAGAAGACAGACATGCATCCTGAGACCCTGGAGAAGGGTGCCCTGCAGATGAAAAATGATCCCTGGATTAACAGGTTGAAAGACAGGACCTCACAACTGGTTGATGAACAAGACAAAACAGGTTTCAACTGCAGCAAGATGAACTGAGGCTGGTTGTAAGGAAGAGCTTCCTGAGAATGAACGTGCTTAGAATTGGAAGGAATGACTAAGATGGAAGACGGAAATGTTTTTTCCTTGAAGAACTTCTCGAATCCGCCCACCAAATCATGTGCTTTGTGGATGGATGACTATGCTGGGGTGTGTGGGGCAGGGGGTAAGGGGCAGAATGAGATCATCCTAAAGGCCTTGTCAGAAACACAGTCAAGGAGGTCAAGGGAGGCATGACCTGCAGAGCAAGGTGTCAGAATGGGTTGGGAGAACCAATAAGGAGAAGGTGGGAATGGCCAGAGGGTGGTCTAAGAGTCCCCTGAGGTGGGGACTTTGAGTCCTGGGCCTCAAGAAACTGAGACAGGGAGTCACATCCTTAGGCCCTCACCCCCTGACCCCAACTCAACCCTGTCCTGGAGATGCCATGACTGCTTCTCACCCACAACTCCTGACTGATCGCCATCTCTCTCGAGAACCAACAAGCACCCACGGGGAATCCCAAGAAGCAACGAAGAGGGAAATGCTTTTCCTGGAGCCTGTCTAGGAGACCTGGAGCCCCAGAAAGCAAGTGGGGCCATGGGAACCAGGCCAGCAGCCTCATGGGACTGACTGGGGAGCAGCTTGCCGGAAGCCCCAGACTACTTCCCTTCAAGGCTGGGGCAGGGGGCTGCAGAGAGACCCGCGTGTCCTCCTCCAGGCTGATGTTTTTGTGAGGATGTGCCACCCCGGAAGACTATGCCAGAGATGTGCCACTCAAACAGCTGAAACCCCTTGGCAGCTACTCATAACTGGCACGAAGCAACTGCGGCTGTGATTTTCATGGATAAAGCCACCTTCACCTTGTTACTCTCCTGATCCATCGGCTCGATGGTCATAAAATCTGATGTGTGCCAATTTATCAAACTGGTGGACTAAGGTCTGCATTTGTGGGATTTTACATGTGTCCTATGGGACCTCAAGAGCCTCGCCCATCCCCAAGAGCCTGCTGACTACTCCAGAGTCAGGGTCAAAAGGGCTCCCTTCTGGATGAAGTCTGGGGGAGATTCCGGGTGGGCCTCCTGGGGACTTTCCACAAAGATCCAACCGCATTCCCAAGCCAGAGTCTCAGCCACCTGCTCCCAGGATGGCCTCTCCAGAAGGAGACTGACTGAGAATACCATCCATTATAACCAGTGAACCAGCCTTCAGAAATAACACACAAGTACCACGGGAGACACAAGAGTGCTTTCTGTATGGCAGGCCAGGCTGCAGACTCCACCGGGTTCCCTTGAGAGACAGCCCAGCTCCTACATTACCTTCAGGAAGCAGGTTCCTGAAGTCCAGATTTGATTTTTCTAAAAAAACTACGGCAGAATCCTCAGAACCTCATCCTCTCCCTTTCTCTCGCAGCCTGACTCCCCCTACAGGCAGGATGCACCACAGAGAAGCCCACTGGGTGGTGAGTTGGACCTGCTTCCACGTGGTCCCTTGATGAAGGCGGCTTCATCACCCACCAGCCTCAGCCTGAGAAGTAAGATGAGGTCAGCTGGGAAGGCCAGGCTTAGGCCCACGGGACACGATCCCGGGAGCAGAAGGAAAGGCCGCTGGGGGTGACAGGCCTTCCCCATCACCGCAAACTCCTGGTTTTCTAGCTTTTTCCTCTCACAGCTACAAGAACCCCATGAACTCTGAGGGATCTAGGAGAGAGGCACCCAGAACCACCAAGTACATAAAGAATCTCAAAGACAACCCTTTAGTCCAGAAGTTCAAAGGAGAGATGTGTTCTAGGGGAGGAAAGATTCCTTCCCTGAGAACCTCAGGAACTGAAGCAGCTTCAGAAGCAACTTCAGAAGAGAACCCCGGGAGAGACCTGGCTTCAGGCTATTCCTGAAGAGGAGATGGGCTGCTCTGGCCCCAGCAAGAAGAACCAGGTGCCCTGACATGAGATAATGTAACAGATGCACAGATAATTGATGGCTTCATGAGATAATGTAACAGATGTAACAGATAATTGATGGCTTCAGAAAATATTCTCTGGAAATGAGCAAAATGTTGCTTCCAAGTGCCAAAGGAGAAGACTACTAGAAATCTGTGTTTCCTTTCCCTTAGTTTGTATTTTCATGGTTGTTTTGTTTGTTTTTTTGTTTTTTGAGACAGAATCTTGCTCTGTCACCCAGGCTGGAGTGCGATGGCACAATCTCGGCTCACTGCAACCTCTGCCTCCAAGGTTCAAGCCATCCTCCTGCCTCAGCCTCCCGAGTAGCTGGGATTACAGGTGCATGCGCCACTATGTCTGGCTAATTTCTGTATTTTCAGTAGAGATGGGATTTCACGGTGTTGGCCAAGCTGGTCTCAAATTCCTGACCTCAGGTGATCCACCAGCCTCAACTCCCAAAGTGCTGGGATTACAGGTGTGAGCCTCTGCGCCCAACCTGAATTTTCATGTTTTTTTATGACCTACTTTAAGCTGCGCTATTATACAACTTAACATATACACTTTGTTGTATATTCAAGAGTTATTTTTTAAAAGATATGAACTATTATTATCCCTGGAGTTATTTTTTAAAAGATATGAACTATTATTATCCCTGGAGTACTTAGCTATCCCAAGCCAAACTGCTACCCTAATAATCAGCATCCAATTGCCTGATACAGGCACAGTCTAGAGAGGAACTGTCCTCAAGGTGACATCAAAACACCCAAACGTGGCCAGATGATGTGCTGTGGCTCCACCACCCACAACCCACAGATTCACATGAATGCCACGAGGATCTCATCTATGTCATCTGTAGCCAAAATGTTCCCAAATCTAGCTGGACCTGCTTTTTTCTTCTTCCCACAGCTGTCCACTGCCCAGTCTTTCCCTCTGTCCGGAGTCAGCCACCAAGCCCAGGGTTCCTACTAAGAGAGCCCCAGATCAGCAGAGATCTCAGACCAGGCATCCGAGCTTCCTCACGGTGAGTGGGCCAGGGTGGGTGACCAGGCAGAGGGAAACTGGCCCCTTTCCTCAGGCAGCCCACACCTTGCCAGCTTCCTCTCCTACTGCAGGCTCCGCCTGCATACCCCGAAGCTTCTTGCACAAGCTGTGGTCACCTCCCTCCACAACACTGTCTGCCCCTTCCCAAGGCCTTGCTAAGCCTTCCCCCCACAGACCTCATGTTCAAGTTTCTGCTGCTCAAGAAAACCTTGGTGGCCGGCAGTCTTGTGACTGCACCTGCCCTGCTCAGATCTGGGGCAGAGCAGGGCACTGGTCAGACCGCAGCCACTGCCGGCTCCTTTTTTTAGGTTTTCCCAGATGGCTCATGAATTTCTCTCAGATCGAGTCCAAGCCTTCAAGTGTTCTTTCTCAGAAACAGCAGACCATGAACTCTAAAACACAAGCTACATAAACAAAATCTTAATGCTCTCCATCCATTCTAAGTCCCTGTAAGGGAAGAGGAGGGGAGAGGGAAGCAGAGAAAGAATTAGAACCAAAACCCACCTGTCAAACAGCAGTTGGTCCTCATCTAATGAGGGAAATCAGTACACAGACTTATTATACAGCACGTGCCTGTACAGGCACACGAGCTGTGCACCACACGTGCACACACACATTAGGCGCTGTTGCCTTTTCATTCCACCATACAAGGTTGGGCGACAGAAAGACAGTGGAGAGGATGGAGGGCACTGGGCACGGGTTTTGGAAGACTTTCCTCATCGGTGCCAGCCCGGAGACAGACAAGACAGGAGTGTGTGAGTCAGCAAGAGTCCTTCTCCTCCATCAGCCCCACCACACAAGGCGAGGTAGGGTTCCCCTCCCCTGCCTGCTCAGCTCAAAGCAGTCACCTTAGAAGTGGTGGGGGCAACTCTGGGTCAGACCCCTGACCAGGACATGAGAGGACGACCACCACTACCACCAACCCAGCTGTGACCTTGCCCTCAGGTGTGGACAAAAGCAGCGTGAAATGGTTGCAACAGGGATGAGTGAAAGGGAAGGGGGCATGGGGAGGTGGCATGAGATTTGGGAGGGGGAGCAGGCTGTCACCCACACGCCATCCACATCCCACACACTCCACACACCCCACACACCCCTCACACATGCCACACCCACAGCACTCCCCTTCACTCCACACACACACACCACACACGCCACACCTCACACCACACACACCCTACACCTCACACCCACAGCACACCACACACACACACATGCCACACCTCACACCACACACACCTCACACACCACACACACACCTCACACCCACAGCACACCATACCCCTCCACACCACAACCACACCACACCCACACCTCACCCTACACCTCACACCACACACACACCTCACACCCTACACCTCACACCCACAGCACACTATACCCCTCCACACCACACACCACACCCCACACACACAGCACTCCCCTTCACACACACACCCACATGCCACACCTCACACCACAAACACACCTCACACCCACAGCACACCACACCCACAGCGCACCTCACCCCTCACACCTCCTACACACCACACACACCAGTCCCCACACCCCATACACCTCATACACACACCTCACACACTACACCCTTCCACACCACATTCCCCACACCCCCCAGACACACACCTTACACACCACACTCCACATACACACACCACACTCCCCATACACACCTCACACCCACCACATCCATACCATACACACACACCTCACACACACCCCATATCTCACCCATCACATCCCCCACACACCATACATACCTCAAACCACACACTCCTCAGAACCCCCCATACCCATACATACCACACACCCACTTCATACCCACTACACCCACACGCATCTCACATTCCCTTCCAAGCTTTGTCACCAGCCAGGACACAGAGAAGGCTTCAGAGACAGGGAAGGCCAGCACCAATGGGCATGAAGCCCGGGACAGACCCCTGAAGGAGAAGGGGAGAGACTGGAAGAGAAGGAAGGAGCTTTGGGAAGAGGGGAAAAGACCATAGCAGAGAGCTCAGCCTGACCACGGACACGGGCAGGTGCACACCCGTGGCTATTGGGCCAGGAGGCCAACCAAGGCAAGGGAGAGAAGCTGTTCACACCCTGGCTGCGAGGGGCCAGGGGAGGGGCACAGGAACAGCAGCAGGAGATGTGGGAAGGACAAAGAGGAAGCAGAAGGAAGGCCAGAGGAGGGGCTGAGAGGGGCTGGGCAGGCTCGGGGGATACCTATGAGAAACAGCCTCCAGACGGGGCTGGTCTCCTGTCTCTGGCCCGCACCAATGAGCCCTGGAAGGAAGTTCCGGAGGGTCTTGGGTGCCCAACCAGGCAGGGAACAGGGCTGCTGCCAGCCCATATGGTGTCTCTGGATCATTTTTTACCTCTTCCCCAAGGGCACTTCTACTGGGAAAATGTCCTACTGATTTTGTTAGAAGACATTTTCACTGCCATCTGCAGGATCACTTTAGTAATCAATATTCAAATCTCCATTGTCCACTGCACACACGTGGCACTTGTGAGTAGTCTGCAACCTGCACAACTGTCCATGGCAGCCTGGTTGAGAAGCATCAGGCAGGGCTCTGGTCTGGACTCCCTGGAGAAGGCAGGAAGAGTTCTCCCTGCTCTGGCTGCTGGCTAAATTTGCGAGGGTGGCCTTGCTCAAGCAGGAAGGAGGGAGAGAGAGAGAGGGAAGAGGTCCTGGATGTTTAAGGAAATAGAAAGCACTGCCAAGAGCTGTGCTGCCTGGGATAAGGGCTCTTGATGCGGGGTGCAGGGAAGAAGCTGAGACCACAAGCTTCTCTCTCGCTTGTGGTATCCGCTATGCCCAGGGCATAGGGACAGAGACACAGGAGGTCATTCAGAGGCTGGGGTTCTCTGGCATCTTCAAGTGTCCTGGCCAAAGTTCAGAGTCCTGTTCCCCTGCAGGAGAAGGAGGGGCTTCTCTAGTCCCTCCTTCCATCCCAGGGCCTGCTGCTGGAGTGTCCAGGGAGGACGGAAGAGATGGGCAAGAGGGGAGAGTGGAGGAGGCCGAGGGAGAGCTCACCTTCTGCACACCCGAGAAGGCGTGGCCGTGACATGAAACATTAGGTCACACGGCCTTCCCATCCGGCCTTAGCGTGCCTACACATCTGCACAGAGAAGGAGAAGAGGTTGAGAGGAGAAAGTAGGCAGCGGCAGCAGCACAGAATAAACCCAAACAGCCATGGTGGACAGAAAGAGGACACAAGACAGACGGACAGACAGAAAAGGAGGGAATGAGCAGAAAGAGAAAAAATGAAACAGCAGGGGAGGGAGTGGGTGGGAGGTGAGCAGAGTCTGAGGCAGGGACGGCATAGGAGAGGTGGGAGAGGGCAGGGGCTCCCATCATGCATTTTTTTTTTGTTTTATGGTTTTTTTTTGTTTTTTTTTTGTTTTGTTTTGTTTTTGTTTTGTTTTTTTTTTTTTTTTGAGACAGAGTCTGACTCTGTCACCCAGGCTGGAGTGCAGTGGCACAATCTTGGCTCACTGCAACCTCCACCTCTCGGGTTCAAGCGATTCTCTGGTCTCAGCCTCCTGAATAGCTGGGATTACAGGAGGGTGCTATCACACCCGGCTAATTTTTGTATTTTTAGTAGAGACGGGGTTTCACCATGTTGGCCAGGCTGGTCTCGAACTCCTGGCCTCAAGTGATCCGCCTGCCTTGGCCTCCCAAAGTGCTGGGATTACAGGCGTGAGCCACCAGCCCGGCCTCATCATGCATTTTAAAACGGTCACTCAGATGCCATGTGGAGGGCAGGAGATCTGCATGAGACGTGAAGATTCTGTGGTCATGGTGATGTTGTGCTTCTTCTGGAGTCCTGCCTACCAGGGAGGTCTGGGGGAGGGGTGTATGCTGCCTAAGCCTGGTGATGAAAATGTTCAAATCTTCAATGTCCACAGCATGGACAGTGCCCTTTAGTCGTGGAACCCCTGTGTGGTGCAGAACCTGCACGACTGAACTTTAATCTCAGGCCTCCCGGAGCAAAACTGGGCCAGGACACTTGACGGGGCTCACAGCTGCCCACCGCCTCTCCCTTCCTCCCAGAGGTTCTGCTTATGTCTGAGAACACAGAGTGCAGCATGGCCGCATGGGAGTCCCAGGCAGGATACAGGAGAAGGCACTAGAGCCCAAGGGGCTGAGGACAGATCTGCTAAGTCATGCCCATGAGCAGGACAAAGGTGGGGCTTTATGATGCCTTTGCCAAGTGGGTAAGTGAAGACTGGAGGTGTCTCCCAGCATTGCCCTTCTAAGGGAGCTCCAGCTGCTCTATCGAGCCAGTGGCTTCAACAGACGTGGGCATGGAAGGGCTGCTCCTGTTCACCTTTCAGTAGCCTTCCAGAACCACCCCGGCTGCCTCATGCACACAGCCCTTCCTGCTTAAGCCAGTCATCTGGGTCCCAGAAAGTGAGCTGCTGCCCAATTTTCTTGTTAACAGTAGAAGATGAGAGAGAGAGGTGTGGGGTGGGACGGGAGCCAGGTAAGAACAACACGCCACTTCAGAACTAGGGACTGCCTCTGTCCGAGAGACCAGACCATCCAGATACCTGTCACCAGGAGAGGTGGAGGCGGGCAGGAGGACATGGTTTGGGGTCCAGCAGGAGGTGTGCTGGGCATGGAAGGAGCAGGGGGCCCCGGGTACCTTCTGGGCTCCAGAGAAGGCGTGGTAGAAGCTAGACACGTAAGTCATGATGGCTTTCTCATCCGGTCGGGCAGTTCCAACGATGTCTGTCAAGAAAAATCTGGAGTTAAAGCCAGCTGGTTCCAAGAACACCATACACCCCCGACGTGAGGCAGAAAGAAGCTCGCAGCACCACCAAGTCTTCTTGCCAAAATGTGGAGCCCGAATCTAACCAGCCTCTGGCGTCAACTTGCGCTTATGGGAATGTAAGTAGAGGAACAGGTGAAATGAAGCCCCAAAGGAGGCGGACAAACCCAGTATAAGGAACTTGCTACAGGACAGCGGCCCCATTTCTGCAGCAAGTTCATTGGCAGGAATAAAAGGGGTCAAAGGGAGGAGAGAAGTACTAGAGATGGGAAAAGCTGTCAGAAACACAACCGAATGCCAGTATGGACCTTGTTTGGATTCTGATTAAAACAAACCAACCCTCAAAGAAATGTCATAGGTAATTAGGGAAATTTCATTATGAACTGGGTATCACATGGAATTATCAATTTGCTAAATGTGATAACTTTATCATTGACTAAGAAAATAACTCTATTTTTAAGGATGTATTCGGAAGTATGCAGTGGTAAAATGATGTGATATCTCAGAATTGCTTTAAGATACTTCAACAAAGAAAACAAGAAAAACACAAAGTGTGGCAAGACCTCAGTAGCCATTCTATCTGGATGATGGAAATAGGAAAGGTCATCGTGCTATTCTTTCTGCTTTTGCCTGGGTTTTTATGCGTTTGAAAATTTTCCTCATGACATTTTGAAATTTTAAAAGCTACTGGTGGCTTTGGGAGGCCAAGGCAGGTGGATCACTTGAGGCCAGGAGTTCGAGACCAGCCTTGCCAACTTGGTGAAACCCCGTCTCTACTAAAAATATAAAAATTAGCCGGTGGTGGGTGCCTGTAATCCCAGCTACTTGGGAGGCTGAGGCAAGAGAATCGCTTGAACCCAGGAGGCGGAGGTTGCAGTGAGCGGAGATCGCACCACAGCACTCCAGCCTGGGTGACACAGGGAGACCCCGTCTCAAAAAAAAAAAAAAGCCACTGGTGGGGCAGAGGGGCAGGGAACAGTCTGGACCCCACCGTGGTCTTTTCCTGTCTCCATAACCCCTTTCTAGCCCTTCAGCACTGAGCAGTTGGGGCCAAGGAGAGCACACAGGGAAGGGGCTGTGGTGAGTCAGGCTCCTCCCAAGGGGCAAGCGCGGAGGTGGGACAAGACCCAGCCTGACCCCAGCCTGGAGCTGCCAGCCCTGGCTTCATAAGCCCACAGACCCCTATGCTCCCAGATGCTTCCCTTCCCCCCACAGCCCCTGCTCACCCCATCCGAGACGCTCTACACAGGGAGAGGGGCAATGGTAAGGTCAGCAGCCAGGAAGAGCTGGGTTTCCAGCCCCAGGCCCAATCTTTGGTAAGGATGTTCTAGTGTCGAACCCTGAACCTGTCCCCATCCAGGCATCCTGGCTAGCAGCATCTGGGACAGCAAGGCCTTGGTGAGGAACAGAAAAGTCAACACTCAACTTGGGCCCCCTCCTTCCTTCCCTACCCAACATGGAGCCACTGCCTCTGGCTGGGATCTTCCCAGACAGATCAGAACTGGACACTTCCACCACTGAGAAAGTCCAAGCCATAGTTCTCTAGCACCCTCCTCAGAAGATGCTAGAAGGAAGCCAGGGTTACAGATGAGAAAAACACCATGCCCAGCCAGCCCCAGTCAGAGCTGGGGCATAGAGGAGATGCTAAGCTCAGCTGTCCAGAGACCACCCAGGGCTCAGAGGGTGAGGACAGTGCACCTCTCAGCAAGGGAAACTTCCCATCCCAAACTGTGCCGGACAACAAGGGCACATTTCCCCACACCCCAGCACCCGCTATCCTGACTCCAAGGCAAAGACAAGAACCATCCTCAGGCAGTCGATGCAAGAACAGCCCCTAAGACCTTTGCAGAATCAACTAACACCTCTCTCTCCAAAGCTCAAAGAACGATGGAAGAATCCCCAAGAGGCTGTGATCCCCATGCTCCTCAAATGCGGTCCCAGAAGACCAGGCCTCCTCCCGTCCAGCCCCGGACTGCTGGGGTCCACCCCTTCTTAGCCGCTGAGTGGCAGGTGGGCGATGGGCAAGAGACACAGAAGGAAAGCGCCTTTCACCTTCGGCATCCAGCATCTTGGGGATGTCCAGGTACTTCTCTGCCACGTCAAAAGCCGTATTCAGATTTGTGAGTGGATCATCCTAGAGGGAGAAAAGGAGGAAGGGATGATAAAGTGAGAGCCACCACAAGTCACTGGCTACTCCCAATTGGGTGGCCACCCAAACTGGGGAGCAGAGCGACTTTCTCCCAGCCCCAGCTCGATCCTCAGGGGACAGCTCCAGATGTGGAAGGCTGGTCTCACCACTGGGGCTCACTGGTTGGAGGTTTAAAGCATTCTCTTTCCCCCTTCAAGCTTCAGATTGTCAGGAAAATGGGGCGAAGTAGTCTGCAGCCTGAGTCGGGGGTAGGAAGGAGTTCCTAAGAAACGTGTGCCAAGGGCAGGGCACTGGCCTAGTCACCATCCATCCTGGCTTCTGGTTTCAGCTCTGCCCTCAACCAGTGGGACTCGTGGGTAGCTAACCTGACCTCAGCTTCTCCATCCATAACTCAAGAGTTGGGGTAGGGAGCTCTAAACTCTAGACTAGTCAAGATTCGGAGCAGGAGCCCCTCTGGTGCTCACATTTCATGAAATTTGGGGGCTCCTTTAAATAGCCACAGCTTTGGACTATTCTGGCTTCTGCTACCTTCGCAAGAACACTTAGCGGGGCTTGGCAAGGATGTTGAGAAGCTGTAATCCTTGTGCGATGAATGCAACATAAACGTAGGTGGAATGTCAAATGCTGTGAGAATAGGATGGTGGTTCCTCAAAAAATTCAACATGGTATTACATGGTCCTACAATTCCACTTGCGGGGAGATACTCAAAAGAATTGAAAGCAGGTTCTCAAAGAGATCTTTATACCTCCATTGTTCATAGCAGCATTATTCACAGTAGCCAAGAGGTGGAAGCAACCCAAGTACCCATTGATGGATGAACGGATGAGCAAAACGTGGTGATACATACAATGGAATATTATTCAGCCTCAACAAGAGGGAATTTCTGACACATGCTGCAACATGGATGAACTCTTAGAATGTTATGCTCAGTGAAATAAGCCAGACACAAAAGGACACAGGCCGGGTGCAGTGGCTCACGTGTGTAATCCCAGTACTTTGGGAGGCCGAGGCAGATGGATTGTTTGAGGTCAGGAGTTCATGACTAGCGTGACCAACGTGGTGACACCCCGTGTCTGCTAAAAATACAAAAATTAGCTGGGTGTGGTGGCACGTCCCAGCTACTCGGGAGGCTGGGACAGGAGAATTGCTTGAACCCGGGAGGCAGAGGTTGCAATGAGCCAAGATCGCGCTGCTGCACTCCAGCCTGGGCAACAGAGCAAGACCTCGTCTCAAAAAAAAAAAAAAAAACAGCAAACACCATATGGCTTCACTGTTATGAGGTTCCCAGACAGAAAGCAGAATGGTAGCAGCCAGAGGCCGGGGGGGCAGGAAAGAACGGGGAACTACCGTTTAATGGGTACAGACTTTCAGTTTTGCAAGAAAAGAGTTCTGAAGATGGATGGTAGGAACAGTTGTACAATAATGTGAGTGTACGGAATACCCCTGAACAGTAAGTGTATTTAAAAATGGTTAAAGTGGTAAATTTTGTTTTGTATATTGTACCAGTTATTGTATAAGTTTTTAATGCAGAGGATAAAAAACCTTAGTGGAAGAGTTTCTGGCTGGGCCCTTCTCCTCTATTCTTGGTTCCCCAGACTAACCTAAAGCAAGCTGGTTGTGTCGGCCCAGGACTCAGTTTCCCTGTTTGCTAAAGGGAGAAGTATAGGGTAACACAAAGATAAATACATCATCCAGGATGTTTTCAGGAGGAAATTGCTCTAAACAGAGAAGGTGGGGTCCCTCTGGGAAAGTCTCCAACAGCAGCCAGGAGGATGAACACTGCCGAGTAGTCAAGGTCATTCTCATCCAGGGCCTGGAGCAGCAGCTGCCAGTGCTCAGGTCCAGGTATACACACACCCGCCCCACGTGAGTTCCAGGGACCCCAGGGCCCCATGCCCACCCATGGCTGCTGCAGGAAGGAAGAGCTTCCCAGTCGGAGCCCCTCAGCCCTCTGTCCCTATTCTTCGGCACCAGTTGGTCTCACAACCTCCTTGTTCTCTGGAAGGGTGTTCCTGGTTCACTGGGCTCAGGTGTGTGCTAGGATTTGGGCTGGATTTTACTGATGATGATACTGAATTAAAAGGAGTGGAAGCCAGGTGTGGTGGCTGTTCCTGTAATCCCAGCTACTTGGGAGGCTGAGGCAGGAGGGTCACATTGAGGCCAGAAGTTCGAGACCAGCCTCGGCAATATAGTGAGACTTCATCTCTACAAAAAAATTACAATTAAAAAACAGAAGGGGGGCTGGGCGCGGTGGCTCATGCCTGTAATCCCAGCACTTTGGGAGGCCAAGGTGAGCGAATCACCTGAGGTCAGGAGTTCGAGACCAGCCTGGCCAACATGGTGAAATCCTGTCTCTACTAAAAATACAAAAATTAGCCTGGGTGCCTGTTATCCCAGCTACTCAGGAGGCTGAGGCAGGAGAATCGCTTGAACCTGGGAGGCGGAGGTTGCAGTGAGCCAAGATCACGCCACTGCACTCCAGCCTGGGCGACACAGCAAGACTCTCTTAAAAAAAAAAAAAAAAAAAAAAAGCTGGGCATGGTGGGTCACGCCTGTAATCCCAGCACTTTGGGAGGCCAAGGCGGGTGGATCACCTGAGGTCAGCAGTTCAAGACCAGCCTGACCAACATGGTGAAATCCCGTCTCCACTAAAAATACAAAAATTAGCCAGGCGTGCTGGCGTGCGCCTGTAATCCCAGCTACTGAGGAGGCTGAGGCAGGAGAATTGCCTGAACCCAGGAGGCGGAGGTTGCAGTGAGTGGAGATCACGCCATTGCACTCCAGCCTGGGCAACAATAGTGAAACTCTGTCTCAAAAAACAAAACAAAAACAAAAACAAAAAAACACAGAAGGAGAGGCAGAGACAGCAAAACAGGGAGAAACTGGCAGAGATAAATAAAAAGACAGAGAGGGATAGTGCGTGGGAGAGTGCTAACTGGGTATCAGAAAGAACCCCTGGACTTTCACCTCCCAAATGGCTGATGCTTCCAAATCCTTCAGAATAAGGGAGGGGGCTCTAGAGCCACGGTCGGCACAGACCCCTTTAGTGGGGATGTCCAACAGCTGTGGATGAACTGGCCACTGACACCCCAGCATACCCAAGCAGGGACAGAGATAGGTGCACACCTGTCACCAAAGCCCATCAGCTGAATAGGAAGTGGTGATGCCTTCAAAAGAAAAAACTGCCACCTGTAGAATATTCCCCCTTGGCCACGTTTGATTTGGCCACACAACTTTCCAGCAGGACAGGAAGGTTCTCTTTTTTTTTTTTTCCTTGCAAAGCAGCTGAGGAGGTGGGCCAAGGATCCTCTTCCCCCAGGAGGTTAGCTGGCGAAGGGCTGGCCCCTGCTGTGGCTCCTCTCCTTCAGCAGATGGGCCCTTCCAGTGGGCAGAGGCCTCAGCCTCAAGCTTCAGGTGACGGGGCAGTGTGTATGGGGTGGGGGTGGGGCGGGGCACGGTGCAGGGAAGCGGGTAGGCATCTGCTCCTTTCCTCCCTCAAGATCCTTTTTGGCAGCTTGCTATCCACCCGCCCGAAACAAAGGGCCTGCCACCACCATGAGTTGCACAGCAGCTCCTGCCCCAGTGATATTAAACCTCTCCTGGCCACTGAGAAGCAAGACGCCCTTCCTGGAGGCCCAGGCAAGGCAAGAGCTACACTGAACACTGTGTTCTCCAGCATCAAGGTGAAGTAGAGACACACAAGTCCAGCCGCTCCTTGAAGCCTCCCTTGCCAAGAGATCTGAGCACAGATAGGCGACATTCCAACCCCAACTCCAGGTCACCAACTTGGGGCGTGGGAAGGGTCTTTCCTTGGATGGCCATGCCATGTGGCCTCTTGGCACCAAGATGGACCAAGAGGGAACCTGGAGAGTGTGGTCAGAGGGTCCAGGAGGGAACCTGGAGAGTGTGGTCAGAGGGTCCAGGACAGGCTTCTCCAAGGTCCAGGGCAGTGTCGTCCAACCAGCTCAGACATTGAGAACCACCATGAGGCTAGAAACACAGCTCCCACTCCTGCATCTGTCCCCACTCCACACACCCACTCAAGAAAAATCACTGCAGCTTCATGCTGAAGGCGGGAGTGAAACCAAAAGAAAATCCCCCAGCCAAACTTGAGCAATAAAGGAAACCAAATCCATGGGTGGGATAAGCTGCCCAGGACCGCACAGCAGGTCAAAGGACAAGGCGGGGATGAACTGTCCCTTAGAATATGCACTGTTTTCAATGATGAAAATAGTGTCTCCTCTTTACAAATCCCGGAAAAACAGAAGGGAGAAACACCATGTATCATTCCATCCCTCTGACAAAGCTGCTGTCACAGCTGTGATATTTTCCTGATGGGCTGTGTATGTGTGCAAGTACACACACACCACGCACAAGGGTAATGAAGTTGCCCTAACAGGGAAGGTGTTTTCTCTTCACTTTCAGTTGGGGCTCTGTCTGGCTATTCTAAGAGGCCAACACTGCTCAGGCTGGACCATGGACTGTCACAACAAGGGTCCTAGTCCTGCTCTTTTCCCACCCCACCTGCCAGGGACCCAAAGCGGGTGGTCAGGTGGGCACACATACCTTCCGCAGCTTCCCGTAGTCAATCAGCTCGGGCCGGTGTCGGTGGATCAAAGCACAGAAGCCGAGGCCATCCTTCCAGCTGCCCGGGGAGAGAGAAGAAGGAGCAGGCTGGTAAATGAGGCTGAACAAACGGGCAACCAGGGCAAAGCAGGGGCCTCCTAGACACCAGAGAGATGAACACATAGAGCTTTCTGGGGTAGGAGTTAGAAGACAGGATGGGAAGGGACATTTCTTCCTGCCACAAATCCCAGGCACTAGGGTCAAGACTTTGTGGGGGGGTTGACAAGTTCAGATAAACCTGCCATATCCAGCCCTACCCCCGACCAAGGCCTATGGCCCTAGTCTGCTGTTCCAGAGCCCTGGGCTGGGACTTCCTGGACAATTTCCTTGGGGGCGCTCCCAGTAGCAAAAGCATCAACCAAAGTTATATCAGGCAGCAGCCCCATCTAAGACACTGCAGGGAGAGAGACGGGGGGATTCAGAGCGATGGCGACATCCCCTTCCCAAGGAAAGCTACTTCTTCCCCCAGAGGTCTCCACTTTGTTCTAAAGCTGAGACTGACCCAGCCAAGGGGGTCTGGGAGCTCCCGGGGGAGGCAGCCTGGTTCTGTGAGAGCCCCTCAGACCCCAGCACTCACCTTATGTGGAAGTTCTGGATGTTGACATTTTTGTAAGGGGCTGTCTTTCTCTGACACCACAGGAGCAGCCCTTCCTTGGCTGAAGTCTCTATGGGGAAGGGGATGGGCAGCGAGGTCAGAGGGCTGACTCGGTGGAGGGAGGGATGCCGGCTCACAGGAGGCCCCACTGTGACCCTTTGATGCCAACCCTGCAGCTACTGAAGGAGGAGCCCTGGCCATCAAGTCTATTCCCTTGACAGAGTTTGAGAAGTTATTTGAGAAACAGAAAAAGCAAGCTGGGAAGCTGTTCAGAGCTAGTCGTGTTACACGTGTAAATTTTGAGACAACAGTTTTTCAAACTTCAAGAATTAGCTCCCCCTACTCTCTTTTATTCAAAGAAATGGTAATGATACAAAATAAGTCGGCAACCTCTATCAGGTTGGGGAGGAAGATTTGATCTGGGAAATCTACACATCTAGGGGTCTCCAGACAGGGGAATCCCACAGCCTGAGGGGTGCACACAGCTGAGTGAGAAGAAAGCATTAGGACTCCTAGACAGATTTTGTTTTTAATCTAAAAAATAAGGTTTCCTTATATTTACTGCACGGATCAATACTGCTGCCCTCTGTGTGTGAAGCAGCCACGTGTCTATGAGGTTAGGCAGGCAACTGAGGGGGCTCACGGAGCTCCCAGCACAGAAGAAAGACTGCAAACCACACTACCCCCCTGCTAGGTTTGTGCTGTGTCCCCGCCCAAATCTCATCTTGAATTGTAGCTCCCATAATTCCCACGTGTTGTGGGAGAGAGACGGTGGGAGATGATTGAGTCGTGGGCGTGGTTTCCCCCATACTGTTCTCGTGGTAGTGAATAAGTCTCACGAGGTCTGATGGTTTTCTAAGGGGAAACCCCTTTCACTTGGCTCTCATTCTCTGCCTGCTGCCATGTAAGAGGTCCCTTTGCTCTCCCTTGCTCTTCTGCAATGACTGTGAGGCCTCCCCAGCCATGTGGAACTGTGAGTCCATTAAACCTCTTTTTATTTATAAATTACCCAGTCTCGGGTATGTCCTTACCAGCAGCGTGAAAACGGACTAATACACCCTGTGTTTGTGCCTGTGAATTGGAGGTTAAGGTACTCAGTGGACTGTGTTCATGAATGATCTCATTTATTTTCAACACACAAAATGGACTTTAAAATGACATTCAAGGGTTCCTACAAAGACCATAACCACCTAAGCAAAAGCAGACAATTTAAAAATTGGAAAAGCTAATGCTTCTACTTAGCTTAAGCTCTTCGTCAGCTAAATCACAAGAGTAACACAATGATGACTGCAGAGCTGACAAGAAGTCCACCCAAAAGAATCAAAATCATCAAGAAGGCTATTTGAGAAATGGATTTACATCCACTATCATTAACAAGAACCACACCCCAGGTGACTACTATGACCCTCTTTCCAACCACTTCAACCCTAAATACCAAGTACCCATAAACCGAACTTGGAACTCTACATTGCTGCATCACAGAGTGTCACACCTAGATCTCCATCACAAAGCAATTGAATTGAATCCACGTTGTTTTCATTAAGAAATTCCTTTGATTAAAAATGTTTATGATGTCTATGCCATTAAAACAAATATTTAAAAAATAGTATCTCCATCTCATCTTGTAAAAGTTTGTTTCAGTATGTGTGTTTTATCACAGGCACAACAATACACAAATATTATTATGCAAGATAAATACAGGCATAGCAGACATAAAGCTCAAAAACTGCCCGAGTGTGGAATCAAGCGTAGAGATCACCTCTCCAGACCATGGCGGCCCTTGCAGATCTGTGAAATGGCCACTAGAGGGTGCTAGGGGAGCAAAGTGGAGGACGGGGTTAGCGCCCCTCCTGGTCCTTCCTCCCAGCCGCTATTTCCCCACCCTTTCAGATTAACAACCCAAGAGCCAGGTGGGTTTTCCAATATACTTCCCCATGGCAGCCTTGGGCTTTCCCAAAGTGGGGAGTTTCCCTGAGGCCAACATGCCTATGAGAATCAGAATGGCAAACAGTTCTTTTTTCTACATTGACTGGAGGAGAAGGCTGATGCCCAATAAATGAGCAAGAAGCCCAGGACATGGCCCCTGATCAACGTCCGTTGCCCTGGGTATGGGAGTTCTCCAGGCTAAGCCCAGGGAGGGAGACGAGATGGTGATGGCGGGATGGAACAAAGCAGAAACCCACCTTCCACGGAGATGTCCTGGATGGCAAAGCGCAGGATGATGGTCCAGATCATGCCCAGGGTCATCTTCACATTCCCATCCACGATTTCTACAGAAACAGCAGCAGCACACATCAGAAAGGGCCTCAGCGGGGACAGAATTAACACTCCCTCAGCACCCACAGCACTCCATGCCCCACGCTAGGAATCAAAAGACTCCAGAGCTCTACTTCTAGAGGGAAACAGGATTTTTGCTTGTTTTTGAGACAGGGTTTTCGCTCTGTCACCCAAGCTAGCGTGCAGTGGTGCAATCATGGCTCACTGCAGCCTCCAAATCCTGGGCTCAAGCGATCCTCCCATCTCACCTTCCTGGGTAGCTGGGACTACAGATAGGCCACCACACCCGGCTAATTTTTTCATTTTTTGTAGAGACAGGGTCTTACGATATTGCCCAGGCTGGTCTCAAACTCCTGGGTTCAAACGATCCTCCCACCTTAGCCTCCCAAAGTGCTGGAATTACAGGCATGAGCTACCATGCCTGGCCTGGATGTTTCTTAAAGTTAATGCAATAAACTGTGACAGGTGCTGGAAGAGAAGTCTATTTGGGGCACAAAAAAAGGGTGTAATCAATCCTAGTTGGAGACAGTGGGTACATCAGGGAAGGCCACAGAGAAGGGGGCATTTGAAATCCTGATCTGTGTTCCCAGCCTGATGAAGAGGGGAGGATTTCTAAGCAATCACAAATGTTCTGGCAATTCTGTGAGCTGGGGCTCTCTGGGCAATCACAGCTCTCAAAATAGCCACCCACACGTGGAAAAACAGTGGAATCAAGAGAAAGTCACAAACTTAAAGTTTTGTAAATTGCCATCTTGAACTATCCACTGACTCAATCTCACAATGCCATCAGTTTGGGTATTAAAACAGATGTTTTTTTAAAAAATCAAACAATAGCTTCAAGATCACAGCTAAGAGATAACCCAATATATTTAGTCTAAGCAGCACCTTTTAGAGTTTTAGAATCTACAAGTTCTATGAAGTAGATTTTCTCTTTTTTTCTGTACCAGGCCTAATGGCAGGGAATACAACATAAATAAGCCCTATTTTAAGGAGCCCAATACATGGAGCAATCTATGGTCTTGTGGTTGAACAAGTGATACTCAAATGTAGATTCCACACCCACTCATCACCTGCTTCCAGACCAGGAGATAGTAATCCGGCCCATGGTAAGACACGCTCAGTTAAGAGTAAGGTACCCAAAGAATATCTTTTTTTTTCCTACCTGCAACATTAATTTTAGGGGAGACCCAATAGAACCATGAGAAGGATCAATTTCTAGGCAGTTCTGACCCTACTAGGATTTGCATCCCACAAACCCCTGAAACAAGAGTGGATTTCCATTAAGGATGGTATACTCTAACATCTTAGCCCCTTTCCCAAAAGTGAGGGCAAAACTGTATGCTGTTCCATGACCAGCCGGGTGTAGTCCATGGAGCAGTGCTTGGCCACAGCCACCTCCCAGGGGAGCGGGTAACCTGCTGAGTCTGCATGGGATGCTGAGCAAAGGAACAAGTGTCCACTTTGGACTTGGAATAGGATGTAACCCTTCTTGTAAACAGGGAAGTAAAAATGCCCCTCCCAGAGCCCCAGACACCAGGCGGGGCACAGTCCCACATCCAAATGCTTGGGTTGGAGAGAAACAGAGAGCTGAGCAGCATGCAACCCCTTTTGCTACCAAGCAACACAGCCAGCCAGCATTTTGCAGTCCACATTGTGGGGAGGTAGTACTACTCATCAAGAATCAACTCATAGACCTGGCACAGTGGCTCGAGCCTGTACTCCCAACACTTTGGGAGGCCAAGACAGGTGGATTGCTTGAACCCAGGTGTTCAAGACCAGCCTGGGCAACATGACAAAACCCCATCTCTACAAAAATACAAAAATTAAACAGGCATGGTAGTGCCTGTAGTCCCAGCTACTCAGGCTTAAGTGGGAGGATTGCTTGAGCCAAGGCAGAGGCTGCAGTGAGCTGTGAATCCATCCTGGGCAACAAAGCAAGACCCTCTCTAAAAAAATGAATAAATAAAATAAAAAAGTAAAGGAATCGGCTCATAAATCTTTGATATTTTAAAAAATGCACTTTCATTTGTTATTTCCAATGGTTTAAAGAGTTCATCTCAATTGAAAAGACAATTGAAAAATACTAAACTCTCAATAAATAGGCAAAAGACAAAAAAATCATAAAACATGAAATACAAATAACCAATTCACAAGAATGTTCAATCTCACTTGTAATCAAAGAAATAAGATCACCTTCCCAGCTATTAAATTAGCAAAGTTAAAAAACAAAGTTAGGCTGGGTGAAGTAGCTCATGCCTTTAATCCTAGCACTTTGGGAGGCCAAGGTGGGAGGATCGCTTGAGCCCAGGAGTTCAAGACCAGCCGGGGCAACATAGGAGACCTTGTCTCTACAAAAAAATGAAAAAATTAGCCAGGTGCAGTGGTGCAAACTTGTAGTCCTAGCTTCTTGGGAGGCAGAGGCAGGAGGACTGGGGACTGAGCCCAGGAGCTCAAGGTTGCAGTGAGCTGTGTGATATCACCGCTGCACTCCAACCTAAGCGACAAGTTGAGACCCTGTCTCTTAAAAACAAAACAAAACAAAACAAACAAAAAAACCCAAAGTTGAAAACCACACGCCTTGATGTCAGCAAGGCCACCACACTAGAAGTGTAAATTGGTTTAAAAAACAATAATAATAATTTCTGGGAAATTAATCAATTAATCTGGGAAATAATTTGGCCACAAGGAGCACGCATTTTACAGTTGCTCAGCTTTTTGGCAGTATAATTTTATCTCCAGGAATCTATCCCTAGCCAATGAAAGGAAATGCAGAGTAAGGTTCCTGAATGAATGCACTTGCTGCAAGGCTATTTATCACACCCCGTACTTAGAAACCTCGCAAAGGTACACAGTACACAGAATGACCAAGTAAATCCCCAGACCCCATATCACCCTCTGCTAAAAAACCTCCACAGCTTCCCACCTCCCTGAGAGTCAAAGCCAGTGGCCAGAGAGGCCCTCGTGGTCTGGCCGCCTGGGCCTCTTGTTCCCCCTCCTCCCCCTGCTCCTTCTTCCCCTCCTTCTCCTCCTCCTCCTCCCCGTCCCCCCTGCTCGGGCCTCCCTGCAGCTCCCCTTCCCTAGATACCCACGTGGCCTGTCCCTGCCTCCTGCCAGTTTCACTCACACGTCCCCTTCTCATGGACACCTCCCTTGACCACCCAAGTTCCTCCCTGCTTTGGTTTTCTCCATCTGACAGGTGTACATGTGTATTTTCTCTCTTTCCCCTCTAGAATGTAAGCCCCTTGAGGGTAAGAATACTTCCTGTTTTGCATCACTGCTTAGAGTTCAGTATGAAGCCTGGCACAGGCAAAGCCCCCATCAGCATCTGCTGAGTGAACGAATGAGTGAACAAACACTAACCACAAGTGGGGGAATGGGCAGAGCTAACACAGGCCTGCCATTGGCCCCCTGAGAACACAATGGACCTCAGTCTCTTCCAGGGCAGGGCCCAGGCCTGGGACGAAGTACGACAAACAGATGATGAGGCCAGACGCAGTGGCTCACACCTGAAATCCCAGCACTTTGGGAGGCCAAGGTGGGACAGATCACTTGAGGTCAGGAGTTCAAGACCAGCCTGGACAACATGGCGAAACCCCGTCTCCACTAAAACAGAAATTAGGCAGATGTGGTGGCACATGCCTGCAATCCCAGCTACTCGTGGGGCTGAGGCAGGAGAATCGCTTGAATTCGGGAGGCGGAGGTTGCAGTAAGCTGAGATCGTGCCACTGCACTCCAGACTAAGCAAGAGAGCGAGACTCATCTCAAAAAAACAAAACAAAAAAGACAATGAACGCAGACATTAATGCTTATGAGTGCTTAATAACTTAGAAAAATTTTTTAGCATGGGAAGTGGGAAAAGCAGGTAAAAAATTTCATAAACAGTGTTTAAAATATAAGGGAAAAATTTTTTAAGCCTAGAAAAAAGCTCTGAGTGGTAATCCCATGGTTTGGCCTTCCTAGGAGTGGGGCTGCAATGCTAGCCCTCCCTTGGTCCCCCACATGCTGCCCCACTCTGTGACGGCCAAACTCCAGGGCCTCCCGCTGGCCCTGAGCTCACTGCCTGCAGATTTGCCCTCTTGGAGTCCTCCCGGAGGGACTGGGAGAGGCAGGTGGCTTCTTTTTAGGGTCTTGCCTACTTATTCCTCTTCTTCTTCCCCAGAAACTCCCCAGAGAATTTTGCTTACTGAATTCTCATTCACACCAAAGGCATAGTTTCACTCCAGAAAACAGAGGCGCCAAGCACGAGCATAGAGAGTAGGGCGTGCTTAATTAGCAGCCCATGCACGCCCAGCCCCAGTTCCCACCTGACTCCCATCCCATCCACTCTCCTTCCCCTTCCCTGGCATGGCAGGTCCTGTATACCGGGCCTCCGGCTTCTCAACGTTTGCAGCAGGGGTGCCTCATCTCTCAGGCAGCTTTATGTCAGGGACTGCTTAGAAGGCTGGCCCCAAAGGGAGGGTTCCAAGGCCACAACTGGGCTTTGTGGAAAAACCTTGGTGACAGATTAACAGCGTCTGTAATGTAGACCTTCTTGGTCTACAGCGAGCTATGAAGCTGCTCACATCCCCTGTTTACTGGGAACATGTTTCTCCCTCCTTCTCTCTCCAGGGACACCGTCATCTGTTCAGTATTCAGACGGCAGAATGAATGCTGCAGAAATTCCATGTGACAGAAACTAGAACCCCAGGGGCCACCACCTCCCAGACCAATGCTGTGGTATGGCACCCACCGCCCCCTCCATCCTAAAGATACATGCTACCTCACTGAGCCCACCTCCATGCTCACAGCACCCAAACCCTCAGGCTCCACCTGCCCAAAGACCTTAAAATACAAAATCCTTTTTGAGTTCTCTCCCCTGGTTAACTACATTCCAACCACTCACCCAGGCCAATTCCATGAAGTCTATGCATTCTAGAACCAAATATCGTAGGGGAGACCTTAAGGATCTGCTCTAACCTCCCCTTTATGTGTGGAAGCTCCTTGTCTCCAGCCTTCATGTGCACACCTTCAGGGACAGGGAACTCATAACCCTCCCAGAGCCCCGGCTCCATTTCCCAAGGCTCCCAGAGTCCACCTACCTACAGGGTACCTATTCTGGGCCTGGTTCTGCCCTTCGGAGTCAGCCAGAGGTCTTAGTCCTTGCACTGCATGATAATCCTTCAAAGACTTTGGTGGGGGGTGAGGGGTGTCCCTGCTGGGCCTGGTCTCCACAGTCACAGCCTTCAGCAGCCCAGGATGGACAACCTGCAACGTTCCCCCGCTCCCCTTCCAGGAGAGCTCATTCTATGCCATCTGCCCATCGCCTTTTATTTTATAATCGACATCAATAAACTCCATTTCACTTTTAAAAGCCCACAAAACGCCATTTGCTGCCTCATCTAGTTTCTTGGCTCAGCAGAGCGGCCATTGTGGCATAATCTTGGTGCTCAGCCTGATGGGAGTGGATGATTTCACTCCTGGAAGCCACAGCTGAAAACACTGGCTCCTCAGGGCAGGGAGAAGGTAAAGAACGTCTCACTTTAAAGGAACTTTTCGTCGGGGCGTGGTGGCTTGCGCCTGTAATCCCAGCACTTTGGGAGGCTGAGGCTGGCGGATCATTTGAAGTCAGTAGTTCAAGACCAGCCTGGCCAACATAGTGAAACCCCATCTGTACTAAAAATACAAAAATTAGCCAGGCGTGGTGGCACAAACCTGTAATCCCAGCTACTTGGAAGGCTGAAGCAGATTAAGAATCACTTGAGCCTGGGAGGTGGAGGTTGCAGTGAGCCAAGATCGTGCCATTGCACTCTAGTCTGGGTAACAGAGTGAGACCCTGTCTCAAAAAATAAAAAATAAAGGAGCCTTTTCAAAATCTTTAGAGAAGCTAGGCCTGCGTCAAAGGAAACGGGAAAACTGAGGCTGCCAGGTGAATGACCTTCCCAGCACAGCAGCAGCAGTGAGATGAGAGTTCACGCCAGTGTTCCTCTCACTCCTCACCCCTGAGGCCAGCATGGCAGGGGCAGGCTTGATCTGCCATCTCAGTACTGAAGACAATTCGATGTGAAAGTTCTGGCCGGGCGCGGTGGCTCACGCCTGTAATCCCAGCACTTTGGGAAGCTGAGGCGGGTGGATCACGAGGTCAGGAGATCGAGACCATCCTGGTTAACACGGTGAAACCCCGTCTCTACTAAAAATATTTAAAAAAAAATTAGCCAGGCGTGGTGGTGGGCGCCTGTAGTCCCAGCTACTCGGGAGGCTGAGGCAGGAGAATGGCGTCAAACTGGGAGGCGGACTTGCAGCGAGTCAAGATCGCCCCTCTACACTCCAGCCTGGGCGACAGAGTGAGACTCCGTCTCAAAAAAAAAAAAAGAAGTTTCAGATCTTAGGCCAGGCGCGGTGGCGCACACCTGTAATCTCAACACTTTGGGAGGCCGAGGCGGGCGGATCACAAGGTCAGGAGATAGAGACCATCCTGGCTAGCACAGTGAAATCCCATCTCTACTAAAAAAAAAAAAAGAAAAGAAAGTTCTGTCCTGGGCTCTGACTGGGGAGGCAGCACTGCCGACAGTAACAGGAAGAGGAAGGCCTCAGCTCTGGAGCCTACCCCTGGGTTTAACCCTGGATCTGCCACATAGAAGCAGTCTGGCTCAGAGCCTGGGCTCAACTGATGACACTCTTCCACTCTAGCAACTTTTCTGAGCCTCAGTTTCCTTAACTGTAAAACGTGGCTGGTGATACCCATCCTACGAGCCCATCATGAGTGTAGCAGGAGATGGCCCACGTAAAGCACCCTGTCTAGCAACACAGAGCGGGTACTCGGTGAGTGCTATTCTCTTCCACCTTCCCCTTCCCTGCCCTCCTCCCCTTTGGTAGAGGCTTTAAAGAGCAAACAAGTTATTTTTTTAAATTTAGTTGCCAAATTTTTCTTTTCAAAAAATCTGGATTTCTGGCTTCTTTTGAAAAACTGGAAGATCTAGCAGCACTGGATCCACACAGCAGCAACTTCTTACATCCACAAGGTGCCCATCCCGCTTAGGACATGACTCTCTAGCTTGCCACGGTCCCTACCCACCCCTGCCACTGACCCCTGAACCACTTCACAAATTCTCTACACTTCCCTGCCCCAGGGGCATCCGAGCCTGCACTAACCACCTGGGTGACTTTCTTTGGCTTCCCACGCCTGCTTAGTTATAACTTTTTCTGCCAAGTCTTGAATTGCTCCCTAATAAAGCAAACTGTTCTTTTCTTATTATAAGGCAGAGAACATCTTCCTCATCACAAAGCAGATTATACTGCTATATGTAAATCCTTTTAACATGTATTGAGCACCTACTGTGTGCATCATGCTGCTAGGAACTGGGGCCACAGGATGTAGAAACCAAGGTTTCTGCCTTTGAGAAGCTCACAGCTGGTGGGGGAGATGCTGGAATCCATAAGGCACCTTGCGTGACCACCTTGGGCACTGGCCTGAATTCCAGATAAGGCAGAGGTGAGCAAACTTTTTCTGTAGAGGGCCTGATAAGAAATGTTTCTGGCTCTATGATCCATATAAGCTCTGTAGCAACTACTCAACTCTGTCATTGCAGCACAAAGCCACTGATGATACATTAACACCGGTGTGCTGTGTTCCAATATTTCCAAAAATCCAAATCAGCCGGACTCGACCCCATGCACTGCAGTTTGCTGAGCCTGTGTTAAAGTTCTCCATTTGATAAATATCCCTCCATTTCTAGAAGAGAGGGGACTGTAAGCTTCAACCAGAGAAGAGATCTGCTCCTATGGACTTCCCAGGAGCAAGACCCCTGCCCCCTCCAAGGGAAGGCCACTCTCAGGGCATTCCTCTGGTGTCACGAAGACCTGCGTTTGAGTTCTGGCTTTGCCACTTACTGATGGCGGAACCTTGAGGAAGTCACGTAATCTCTTTAAGCATCTGTTTTCTTATGGCAAAATCAGGATAATTAATTCTTAGAGCTACCTCATAGGGTTGTTGTGAGGATTAAGTATATGCCACAGAGTGAGCAATCCATTCTCACAGCCACGATGTGTCTTGAATGAGTGAGATTCGTTCATCTTTAGGTCTCTGACATCACGCAGCAGGTGCCCCATAAATACTTGCTAAATCCATGGTCACAGGACTGAAGGGGCCTGGATAGAACATTTTCTGCCCACTCTAAACAACCCACTCTCAATTTTTCAGAGCCACCACCATGCACACAAGAAATTACACTACCTTCTTTTAATCATTAAGGAAATGCTAATAGCTTTTTTGGTAAGTGTTTCTAAGTAAAAGTTAAAGAGTTAGGAAGCTACACTGCAGGGAAATGCTATTAAAAATGTTCCTAGAGGCTTCGGGACTTCAGTCTTCCCAGGGCCCCGGGGAGTCTCGGGGCAGCCTCCAGCCTCCACCAGCCTGTGTCTGCACACCCTTTCCAGCCCATACACAAATCCTCTGCTCCAGGCAACACCGTGCAGTCAGGCCTCTGGATGGGGGAGGTGGCATGCCACACACACAGGACTCCACAGAGCAAGGACGTGGCTAAGCAGGTGCAGGCATGGGAACAGGGGTCTAAGTCCTTGGTTTTGGGCAGGGCTGAGACTAGAAGAAAAGCGCTGTTGCAATACAAAGCCTCCACAGGCGACCAGATGGAGGTGCTGGGGACCCACTGCCCAATGCCCCCAAGTGATGCATGGGCCCAGGAGGCAGCACAAAAAAGGCCAAGAGAACCAGGGGGACAAAGAAAATCAGGCTCCTTGGGGCCACCAGAGGTAGGCCTTACCTTCGGCTCCGATGGACACCAGTTTGACGCCTTTGCTGGCTATGAAATCCAGGGCCTTGTTGACGTTGGAGATCTTGTGCACTCTCATCTTGCCTCGCTCTGGCTTGGCCAAGCGTTCACCTGTTTGGATCAAGAGGGAGGAAGAGGAAGGTGAGACGCTATGAGCCAGGGGCCAGAGCTACTACCACTACACCCTCATCCAAAGCACAGCTTAGCTAGGCAGAAGCATGTGCATGTGTGCACGTGTGTGTGTGCTCACACGCTGCTCAGGGGCTGGAGAATGTCACCCTGGCAGGGAATGAGAGGGAGAATCTACCCTGCCTCTTCTTTCTTCTGCTTCTCAGGTCGAAATCTGCTTGCATCCACTCAACATTTATTTATCGAGCCCCTACCGCATGCCAGGGATTTGGCTGGGTGCTAGGAATAGGGGGGTGAACAAAACAGTTTCTTGCCTTTATGTAATTACAGTCCAGTAGGAGAGACAGACCTTAAATAGAGAAACACAAATAAATATATACAATGAACAAATACAAAGAAAGATCCATGCTCTTCAAAAGAGGAGGAGGAAGAGGAAGGAGGAACTGAGGAGTGGTCAGGAAAGGTCTGAGTCTTTGCAGCCAGGCAAACAAAGCAAGGAATGATGATCAAGGCAGAAGGAACAGTACATGCAAAGGCCCTGAACTCCTTCTAGCCTTCCCTTTGCCCTGGGAGGAGGGTATAGGTCACTCAAGTATTATGGACTTCCCTGGTGTTTAAATGGAGTTGCCTATAGCAGCCCATCCCCATCTGAGAACCACAGTTCTTGTCCTATTATGCTGCCTCCTGTGGGCACCCAGGGCTCAGCTCCAGGTCAACCCTCCACCCCCACCTCCAGATTCCACACAGTAGCTTCTGCTGCTCAGGTTTCAAGGTCAGAACCTTTGAGAAAATAAAGGTAGAGGAGCTGGCTCTCCAAATACCCCATTAACAGCACTTTTATTCCAGAACAAAGAGCATCCAGGGGCCTCCTGAAATGATCTGAGAATTTTCTAAGTGCAGCATAGAGCCATACCTAGGGAAGGGGTATATAGCTTTCAGGGTCTCTAAGGGGCCAAGGACCCCAAAAGGCTGAGAACCACCATCGCAGAGCCTGGAATTCAGGCCCCTTGTGCCTGCCCTGATATCCCGACCACACCCACTGTCTCCCCAGCAGGTCGACAATCTGGCTGCGAGGACTCCAGGGACCAGCCACGGGGATTCTGGGCCAGGCCCACCCTGTCAGAGCAGCACCTCTCCAGGTGGCCTCCCAGCAGCCTGCTAGCTTCTGGAAGACGGCAGACTTCCTGCCACAGATGGGATCTGGCTGTCAGCTCCCAGGGAAGCACAGCTGTTTTTTAAATTAAATCAAGACTTTCCACTTGGGGCCCTCCCAAGGCTCTGGCTGCAACCCAGCAAGGTACCCCAGTATTTCCTGTCCGGGGGGAGATGGCACAGAGGCTCCCTCCCCACAGGATGGATGCAGGCAGCACCACGTCCCCTCCCTGGAAGGCTGCTCCTGTTACAGCCCCAGCCCTTGGGGCCTGTCCAGCTAAGCGGAGTGCCCCAGCCATTCAGCAGCTGTGCACACTGGCTGGAAGGGGGCTTCTGCAAAGGACAGTGGAGGAGGCAAGGGTTAAACACGGGAGAATGGAAAAAGCTTCCCAGGCCTGGGCCAGTGGTTCTCAAACGTCAGTCAGCACAAAATCACCTGGAGAACTGGCTAATCTGTGGCTGTCCAGCCCCTTTCCCCCTCTCACTAAGTTTGTGATTAGGAGGACTGGGTTAAGGTTTGGAAATCTGCATTTTGACAGGCAATCCTGCCGATTCTGGTGTGGGTAGTCCAAGGACCACACTTTGAGAACCTCTGTAGGCAGCATACCCCTCCTTCTCCTCATCCTGGGGCACCCTACCCATCTCCAACGATGATCAGGAGAAAAAGGTATCCCAGCATTTCCTGTCCAGGGGAGAACAGATCATTTCACAGAACAGATCTTTCCCAACCCTGGCAAAGAGACACATGCTTCACAGAAATGCACAGGTCCCCTGGGCACACGTCAGACCTATGCAGCAGGAACACACTGGGTATCATGAGGACAAGCCCGGCTCTGGGCACTCAGTCATTCTAATGTTCCCGGAGCACCGCCTACATGTCTGGTGCTGTTCTAAGCACCTGAGACACAGAGAGAAGATGACCTGCCCCAAGGAGCTCAGTGTGGAGCAGAGAAGAAAACAAGCGAACCGAAAATGACTACACTTTGTGATAAAAGACACAGCAGAGGAATTAATGGGGTATTATAGGTGCTGGGGAGCTGGGCAGGTAGGGGGGTGGTGCGGGCAGGGCACAGTCCACTCAGATTAGGGGAGAGAGGAAGGGTGAAGCCTTCTTGAAGGACACCCTCAAGCTGCATTTTGAAGAATGATAAATTGTAAGGCCAGATTTGTTTAAAACTGGGGAAGGGTAGTGGAGGAGGTAGGAAGCAGGGACATTCTAAAAGGCAGTTAGAGGCAAGGCACGGTGGCTCACACCTGCAATCCCAGCGCTTTGGGAGGCTGAGGTGGGAGGATCACCTGAGGTCAGGAGTTCAATACCAGCCTGGCCAACATGGTGGAACCCTATCTCAAAGAAAAAAGAAAATAAATAAATAAATAACGGCAGAGGAAAACAGCACGGTGGCTCCTCAAAAAATTAAACAGAGAATTCCCATGTGACCTAGCAGTTCCACTTTGGGGAATATACAAAAAAAGAACTGAAAGAGGGATTTTAAAAATATTTTGTACAACCATGTCCTAGCATTATTCACAATACCCAAAAGGTAGAAACAACCCAAGTGACCACCGACAGGTGAATGAACAAAATGTGGGGAGCCATTTTATAGCTGTAGGTCATACATACAATGGAATACGATTCAGCCATAAAAAGGAAAGGGATGGCGGCACATGCTCCAACATGGATGAACCGTGAAGACACAGTAAGTGAAATAAACCAGTGTCACAAAAGGAGAAATACTGTATGATTCCACTCGTACAAGGTATACCTAGAGTAGTCAAATCAGAGACAAAAAGTAGAATGGTGGTTGCCAGGGGAGGGCCGGGGGGAGCGGCGAGCTAGTGTTGAACAGCTGTAGGGTGTCAGTTTGAGACGATGAAGAGCCCTGAAGGTGGACGGTGGCGATGGCTGCACAACAGTCAGTGCATGCCCTTAATACCGCTGAACTGCACCCTTTAAAATGGCTAAAATGATACATTTTCTGTTATATATTATTTTACCACACACACAGGTTTTATCTGAAAGTAGAAAAAACTACTTTTAAAAAAAAAGGGCAGTTAGAGCTTGTGCAAAGGCACAGGAAACAGAAAGTGCATGTCATCTGGGGAGAGCTGCACGTTCCCCCTGCCCCCACCCCACAACTGGCAGAGGATCGAAGGTCTGATACCTTTTTGGGAATAGTTAGTTGAAAACAAAGCAGGTGCCAGCTCATGCAGGATTCCATAAGCTATGCTAAGGAATGTGGCCTGCAGGCTCAAAGCCCTGGAGAGGCACCGCGGGCTGAGGGCTGTGAGAGGGAACAGTGTGACCATATTTGGACTGACTGTCGGACAAGCCCTCTGGCTACAGTGACAGGGGTGGACTGCCAGGAAGAGCTGGGGTAAAGGCCTTTGTGGGATCATCTAGGTGAGAGTTGACACAGGCCACACTGACACCACAACAGTAGGGGTTAAAAGAAGGACTGAGAAGAAGGAATCAGAATAAACAGAACATCAGTAACAACTTGCAAAGAAGAGCTGTCTATGATCCCAGCTTGGGTGCAGAAGAACAGGACTCTGGGAGGGAAAAGAGGTTTGCTAGGGCAGGAGTGACAAGCACAGAGTTTTGGACATGCTGAGAGGACTGTGTGGGACATTGGGGTGGAGACGCCCAGCGAGGTTCAGCATTTCAGAGGTGGCTCGAGGGAGAGGGCTGGGCTGGGATTAGGTCTAAGGCTCACCGGCATCAAGGTGAAGAGAGTAGCTAACATGGCCCAGTGTATCAACCAAGGCTAGACTCACAGGACTCCCACCCCTTAAGGGATGGTGGCAGAAAGGCATTCATAAGCAGGATGAGATGTGTGTTCCAGTAGAGCTGTCCCTCCAGACATCTGGACAAACCAGGGGCTGGGGAATGGCCTGGGTCACCTGGATACAGGTAGATAAGTAGTAATGGAGCCAAGATTTGGAGACAGTCACCCATGGTTAACATTCTTGGCCACAGAATCCTGGCACTGGGGAGGAGAAGGAACCTCAGTTCCTTCAAACCCTTTTTTTTTTTTTTTTTTTTTTTAAAACAAACAAGGATGCTGAAACAAATGTCCAAGGCACCTGGATGGCTGGCAGCAGAACCAGAACTCAGACCCACGCTCCTAGGATGAATTCATACATGTCATCCCCAACTTGTTTCAAGAGACCAAAACCAGCTGCGCTCATAGGCAGAGCAGATGCCAAGGTGTCAGGCAGCACCAATAGACAGTATCTCGTCCTGGGCCAGGTTCCGCCTCACCTGAGATGACCTCCAGCAGCAGCATGAGCTTCAGGCCATCCCGGAAGTCCTCTTCGATGTTCTCGATCTGTGTCCCCGCCTTCCGGAGGTGGGAGTTACACCATGCCGTGAATGTCTGGGCAGAGACAAGAAGGGCAAGTGGTCAGGGGGCTGGTGTTGTCACCCTCATTGGACAAGCCATTTAATGGTGCCAGGGGGTGGGAGGTGGACACCTACTCAGCAGAGCCTCTCAACACAGTTGCCCCACCATGGTCTCATTCACTGCATCAACCAAGCACTGAGCTACCCACAGGGCAGCAGCTGAGGGACCCTACACAGAGCCTGCTACATGGGTGGGAGCAAGCAGGATACATGAAGCAGCAAATTCCCTTAACATCCGCCTCCCAGCCCTCTCTCAAAGACTCATGCCCACCCACATTTGAAAATGCCACAATTCCATTCTTACAAGTTACCTCTTAAGTTATAAGACTTAGTTTCAATCTTCACAGTTTTAAGACAGAGTAACCCCGAAGGAACATATTAAGCCCTGTTGATACCTTAGGGTAAATTAGTATATTAAATCCTTTCTCACTTGGCAGCCAGCTAAGAGAAAGGAGTAGTAAGTTTTGCTGAGAACAGAATTCAGATGCAGGGTGTCAGGACAAGGGAGAAGAGTAAGCACCCCAATGTGTATCTGTGTGTGCTTTGGGTGGGGATAGGGGCACCCTAAGCTGCAAAAGCATGAAGAGTTCCAGAAAGGGAATGTAAGGAGGTCAAATCAAAGACCATCAGCTTCATAGTTACTTCTCTATTAAGCAGATTATGATCAGGTGAGGCAGCAACTAAGCCATCCTGTGCCAACAGCACCAGCTAGTGGCTCAAACAGGAAGAGGGTGTCTCAACAAACATGAGAAACAAAAGCATGCATCGCAGTTTTACATGTCCATCTAAAACAGGTGTCTCTCTCCAGCTGTCTCCACTCTGTGGCAACCAGAGAGAAGAGCTCCCTTGCTTTAGATCTAAACCATTCATTGGCAACTCCAGACTTCTCTGCACCAAATGGCACTACCAATTACATGGGGCTCACCCAACACCAGAGCCATTCAGCTCTCTTCCCACCTGCCCTGCAAAATTCAAAGGATGGGCAGTGTATCATTCATGTGACAGTAGGAGCCACACTAGAAATACTCTTCCTCATGGGAAAGGTCACAGCTTCATGCTCCCCAATCCCTTCCTCCTGCCCTGGGGAACTCTAAAGGTGAAGTGGCAATAAGTGGGTAGGAAGAGGGAAGAACATCACACCAGCGAGTATCAGGGGAAAAGAAATAGCTGCTTAGATTTAGGAGCAAAAGTTGAAGAGCCTATGAACAAGAAAGGGAACAGGGGGACAGAAGCTATCCCTCCACACAGGCGGGGAGAAAGGGACAGCATTATGATACCCTGTGACTTTGGGCTTAATTTTTCAATCATGTCTCACTAGTAACTTACCAATATGGAATACCTCTCTCTCCCTGCAAACATATCTCCACTCTGCAGGCCAGCCTACTCCCATGATGAAGAGAAACGGCGTATTGTGCTATCCCAGAGCTCTGGGAAGACTGGCACACAGATCAGGGTAGATAGGGGACATACACTGATTTCCAATGTCCTCTCTATCTTGCTTAACTAACTCACTCATCTTTCAAGACTGGGTAGAGATATCACCTCCTCCAGGAAGCCTTCCTGATAGCCACCTGCTCTGTCTGGGCTGGACACACACCCATAGCACCCTGCATTCACCCATTATGCCTAGCCACTTGTCAGCTCCACACCCCCAGCCTGGGAGCTCTTGGAGGTAGAAACTCAATGTTCACCTTTATATCCCAGAGACCCAGGGCACAGAGTCAGGGACACAGCAGTGAACTAAACAGCAAAAGTCCCTGCCTCTGTGCAGCAGACATTCTAGTGGACGTAAGAATTGGGCAGCCAGGTGAAGGAACAAGTGGGGAACTGGATGCAAAGCTGAGAGGGTCCTGGGAGATCCAACTGCACCTTGTGGGTGAGGCTGAATGCTCTCAGGGCAGGGGGTGATGGGACAAACAGTGCTCTTAGGGACCCCCTGGACACAGAAGACAGCTCGGAGGAAAGAGGACGCAGCAGGACAGGGAAGCGTATGTACCAAGCATCCTTCCTCCGCTGCTGGCACTGCAGGAGATGAGAGGGCCTTTAGCCTTTATCCTTATTTTAACTTCTTTTTATTGGTAGAAAAATATTAAAGGATTTTTAACTCTTTAAAACAAATATAATTTACTTTGGTTTTGCACATTCTCTCCCAGCTGACACTGGTCTGCCCAGTGTCTTCAAGCTGTGCGTTCACACTTGAGTGTGCGTTGACACTGGGGTGGGTGGTCTTTTCTCATTTATCACCATCTTGGCCATCCCCAGCACCCACTCCCAGTCCCCCAGCACTGAACCTTCAGCCTAAGGTTTTCTATTTCCTTGAGGGGAACTGTGTCAGCCCCAGCAACTCGAAGGGATGCTTTCAGGTCCAATGTGGCCTGAAACATCCAGGGTCCTAGCAGGCACTGCCCTGAGCCCACCCGCCCAGCTGGGGGCTATAAATTCTCACTGTTTACTACCCAGTCGTGGAGGGGGTTGGGATGAGATAAAGGAGGAAGAGGCTGCTGTCGTAAAAAGACACTGCTTTTGAAAGAGGAAAAGTGCTGTTGAAAGCAGCCAGCCCCCTTTCCTGGAAAAGCCAGGCTCAGCCCTGGGAAACAAAACACACCTATGTTTGCTCAGGTCTCCTGGACAAAGCCCTGGAACATGGCTTTACTAAAACCCCCAATCCTCAGAGGCCCCATAGATTACTGCCTTGAAGGGGGCTCTGGGCACCTCTCAAACTGGAAAGTTTCCCCAACAAGCAGCAGCCACCGCAAAGTTTAGGCTAGAGGAGGAAATGGTGGCTGTGACCCGGTGATCAACAACATGCACTTCGGGACGCATCAGAGCTGGATTCAGTTCTCAGATCCACTATTTACTGGCTGTGTGACCTTCAGATTAACCTTCCTAAACTTCAGTTCCCTTTGCAGTAAAACAGGGATAGTAACAGCGCTCCATAAAAGTTAAAAAGATTAACTCAAAAACATCTGTAAAAAACTTGCCATTTAGTAAGTGCTCAGTGAACAGTGGGGAGGAGGAAGATGACAGGACTAGCTCCCCCAAAATGATCCCGGGACCAGGTCTCAGAGGACTTGCTCTTGCTCCTCTGCACTCCCACCCCACATCCTCTCCCTGCCCCCAGCCACCAAACTCTCCTGTCGTAGGTCCCACCCCACCACGCGCTGTACTGTTTCCAAGATGACAACATGCGAGCTCTTTTTTGCACCGGTGCTGGTGTGTTCGTGGGAGAGGGCTGGAACTGTGGTGAGTTCCTGGGAGAGGGGTGGAACTGTGGTGAGTTCCTGGGAGAGGGGTGGAACTGTGGCACATTCGTGGGAGAGGGCTGGAACTGTGGCGGGTTCGTGGGAGAGGGCTGGAACTGTGGCGGGTTCGTGGGAGAGGGCTGGAACTGTGGTGCGTTCGTGGGAGAGGGCTGGAACAGTGGCGTGGGTGCAGAAAACCAGGGATTTTGACAGTGGCCTTGTGCACCTCCGCAGAGGAGGTCTGACAGCTGAACGCACACCATACAACTATATCCTCCCCTCCAGCCTGGGGCAGCCTTGGTCTTGAGGCTCAAGCTCCAGCATGAGGGGGTGGCACCTGCTCCTTAGCAGTGCTCCAGGGGTCCAGCAAGGAGAGGAAGGTCAAAGCCACAGGAGAGGCCCATGCTAGAGACCCACGGCCCCAAGACCTCCAGCCTGGACGCCCAGCGTGGTGGGGAGTGCTACCCCGGCAGGTTTGTGGCCCAGCCGCATTCAAACAAAGGGTACAGGGCCATGTTACTGCTCAGCCCGATGAAGCCCTGCCCTATCTGGCCTCCCCTCACCCCAAGAGCCATCTTCAAGTCACCTCCTTGGGCCATACTCAGGCTCACAGCCTGACAAAGGAGATCCGGGATGGCAGGTCTTCAGTGGATACACTCCGTTCCAGAAATGGCTTCAGGGATGCCGAGAGGTCCCAGGAAAAGTCCTTGGGACCAAGGACCACACTGGGATGTTCCCGCAGAGCAGCGGCAACGGCCTGTTCCCCTCTCAGCAGCCCTGTCTGCACTCCACCTGCCCCGGCCCTGCAGAGTCTCTGAGGACCCGGGACAGAGGGAGGGGCCGCAAAACAGCCTGGACCCCTGCTCAGCCTCTCAATGACCTCGAAGCCACTGCCCATGTCTAATCCAGTTTGAAGGTGGTTTGAGGAGGTGGAGAGTGCAACTGTCCAGCCCTGTAGTTCAGGGTTGCAAAGAGGGACCTGGCCAGGCGCCAACAGAGGGGCCCCAGCCCAGGCTAGGAGCCATGGAGCTGGCCATGGAGACAGAATCACATTGTCCACCTTCTGTACAGGTCTCATAGCCTTGCTCTCACAGACTCCGCTAACCTCTTTTCGTCACATCTTTCACAATTATCATGTGATATACTTCCTTTAAAATGTGTTGGAAAGGAATATGGCTTTTGAGAACGTGCCTTCCCTGCCCCCAAGCTCAGACAGACACACTGCAATGTTTCTTTAGCCACAACAGGCCTCTTTGAGCCTCAGTTTTCAAGTCTGTAAAATGGGGGACAATAGCATCTCCCAGGCATGACTGACAGGAAGTACCCTTATTCAGTAAATAATTTTAGCATAGTAATGTTGTTAATTTATGTGAATAATGACAATATAGTATCAATGTGTCTGAAATATAGTAAGTGTGCAGAAAGTGGTAGTTCCTACCGTCATCATCACTGCCTGAATTTTAGATTCTAAAAGGATGTCTGAATAATCACACTCTGCAAGGAGCTGGGGTACAGAAGATTACCCCAGAAGCATGAGTTAGGGGATGAGCTTTTACAATCAAGCATCCTTCATACCCTTGGTCATGGGGAGAGGGAGAGGTAAATCACAAGACCCTAAAGCAGGAGGGCCATGGGATTCACTCGGATCACTCTGCAGAAAAGTATCCATGGGAATGCAAGGATTTAGTCACTCTAAAGAAGACTGCAAATCCAGGCCTATCAGCTTCTAGCAGGTGGTAAACCCTGGACAAGTGACTTGACATGGCTCTGCCTTAAGGCACCATCTGTAAAATGGGGGTAGTAATAGCACCTACCCAGAGGATTATTGGAGGAGTCAATGAGACAGTCCACTTAAAACACTGAAAATTATAGCAACTGCAATAATTATCTATTGTTACTATTGCCACCACAATTGGGGGTATAATTATTATAAGTTTATGCTGTTAACACACCTCATAAAAGAATGTTAGAGCTAGAAGAGGTGTTAGGCACCATCCAAGTCAAACCTTGACTTTACGACTAAGGACACAAAAAAGAGAGGGTGAGAGGCTTTCCCCAGTCCACACGGCTGGATTATATTCACAACTCAACCTCCTGACTCCTCCAGCCCCTCACACTTTCTGCTCCACCCGAATGACGTGGATTTCAGGTGCAGGCATGGGTGGGTGCTGGAAGGGAACAGCAGAACCAAGGCTGAGATTCTCAATGGTCAAACAGGTAAGCTGAATCTCATAGGGTATCACTGAAAATGGGTCACTGTGAAGTGAAAACACCAACCAGATGAAATCCAGGGGACCGCAGCCAGCATTGGCACAGAGAGTCTGAGTTGATGGAACATCAGCAGAGTTGGCAGAAGATGGGCAGCCCCTCTGGGGCAGCCTGGCAGACAGAGGCAGAGCCCAGGGACAGACAGGTGTTGTCAAGAGGCAAGAGAGATCATTACAGATGGTAAGCAGACCAGACAGCCCTTTGAGGGGAACTTTGGGAACTGGGGCTCTATGACCAGGAGGAGAGATGAGATGGCTGAGGGATTCACTGCAAATATCTAAAGATCCTTCCATGAATGAGTGAGTAAACTTGCTGGGTACAGACCAGGCAGAATAGGCCAGTGGTGAGGAATGGTGAGGAATGTGGATTCTACGGCAAGATGGACCTGGATCCACTGAGTGACCTTGTGCATGTGACTTGACTTCTCCAAGCCTCCATCTCCACATCTGTAAAATGGGGATGGTAATAGAACCACCTCACAGGGTGGGGAAGATCGTTGCAGTAGCACGTGGAAAATGCTAAGCAGAATCACCCACACACAGGCTCCAAAAATGGGAGCTACTATTCTTAGAATGAAGGACAGAAAGTTTCAGGGAAGATTAGAGTTCAACATAATAAAGAACAGACCACAAGCTGGCTGTACAGTGTGCTACCTGCGGCTGAAGGCAGGGCTCGGCAAGGGCACTGGGGAAGGGATTCAAGCAGCCCCTCCAGTTGAGCTAAGTAAGGTCCTTTATCACTCTGACTCTATAAGAGCCTGAGGCAGCCCTTGAAAATGTTGGTTTAGAGGATTTTTTTTTCAGCCTGCCAAGTAGCTGGGACTCAAGGTGCACACTACCATGCCCAGTGTGATGTTTAATATTGATTGTCAACTTGATTGAATTAAAGGATGCAAAGTATTATTCCTGGGTGTGTCTGTGAGGGTGTTGCCAAAGGAGATTAACATCTGAATCAGTGGACTGGGAAAGGCAGACCCACCCTCAATCTGGGTGGGCACCATCTAATCAGCTGCCAGCACAGCCAGAATAAAAGCAAGCAGAAGAACGTGAAAAGACTAGACTGGCTGAGTCTCCCAGCCTCCATCTCTCTCCCGTGCTGGATGCCTCCTGCTCTCAAACATCAGACTCCAAGTTCTTCAGCTTTGGGACTCGGACTGGCTTCCTTGCTCCTCAGCTTGCAGATGGCCTACTGTGGGAGCTCGCCTTGTGAGTGTGTGAGTCAGTGCTCCTTAACAAACTCCCCTTTATATATACATCTATCTCATTAGTTCTGTCCCTCTAGAGAACCCTGACTAATACACCCAGCTTTTTTTTTTTTTTTTTTTTTTTTTTAATTTTTCTTGGAGACTGGGTCTCTCTATGTTACCCAGGCTGGTCTCAAACTTTGGGCCTCAAGTGATCCTCCCACCTCATCCTCCCAAAGTGCTGGTTACAGGCGTGAGCCACTGCACCTGGTCTAGACCTGTTAGAAGAGTTCAGTCAGACCAAGGGTCACACACGCCAAGGTCTAAGCAAGGTTTCTCAACCTCAGTACTACTGATATTTGGGGTCTGAAAAATTTTTTGGTGGGGGCAGGGAAGCTGCTGTATGCATCATAGATGTTCAGCAGCACCCCTGGACCACACCCTAGTTGCTGGTAACATCGCCCAACCCCAAGCTATGACAAGCAAAATTCACCCCTCAGTTCCTCATCTGGAGGAGACAAACACATATGCCACAGATCGTAATAACAGCAGCAGCTAATACGTATTGACCATTTGCTACACGCCAGATCCTCTCCTGAGTGCTTTACCTCCTTTAACTCATTGAATCATCACAATGACACTGTGGGACAAGTATTATTCTCCCCACTTTAGAGATGAGGAAACTAAGGCACAAGGAGGGGTCAAGTGTAGGACAAGTTAGTCCTTACCTCCTTGTATTTTTTTTATTATTATTATTATTTGCGATGTATCTCGCTCTGTCGCCCTGGCTGGAGTGCAGTGGTGCGATCTCGGCTCACTGCAACATCTGCCTCAGGGGTTCAAGCAATTCTCCTGCCTCAGCCTCCTGAGTATCTGGGATTACAGGCAAGCACCACCATACCTGGGTAATTTTTTTGTATTTTTAGTAGAGACGGGGTTTCACCGTGTTGGCCAGGCTGGTCTCAAACTCCTGACCTCAAGTGATCCGCCCGCCTCAGCCTCCCAAAGTGCTGGGATTACAGGCATGAGCCACCACGCCCGGCCACCTCCCTGTATTCTTATGCATTGTTCTTGAAACAGTGGCCCTCTTGGGCTATCCTTTGTTTTTCTACCCAGAAGAAAACATGGCTATCCTGAAATACAAGTATACTAGGGTGCATGAGAGCTACTCAATGGCAACTAGAATACGGCCTCTGTATCACGGCAGGAGGTGGCCCGGGGCAGAAGCAGCTCCTCTGTGCCTCATATGGGAACATAGGCCCTTGGCTGCCACACCTCCAATGAAGAAGAGACAGAAATCTGAACTTATGCTGGGTGTAGTGGCTTATGCCTGTAATCCCAGCACTTTGGGAGGCCAAAGTGGAAGGATCACTTGTGTCCAGGAGTTCGAGACCAGCCTGGGCAACTTCATCTCTACAGAAAAAATCAAACAAAATTTAGCCAAGCATGGTGGTACACACCTGTAGTCCCAGCTCCTCAGTAGGCTAAGGCAGGAAGATTGCTTGAGCCTGGGAGATGATGGCTACAGAGAGCCATGATTGTGTCACTACAGTCCAACCTGGGGTGACAGAGTGAGACCCTGTCTCAAGAAAAAAAAAAAAAAAAATCTAGATTTTTATGTAGACTCCCTCAGTTTTGAAATGCTGCCACAATATAAAAATAAGACATCCCACAGGCCCCCCAAAAATGTCAGCAGGCTAAATGTGAATTAAGACCCAATGGGTCTTTAGTTTCACAATGGGAAAACATGAAAGCTTTCTAAGTCTGCTAATAAAGTTACACACGTAATAATGTATGACATGCTAAAACAAGCACGCAGCAGACAGCTGTGCCTACCACAGTTAACACTCCTGACAGGTCTTGGGGACATCAGCCATCTGGGAGTCGGCAAAAGCTGGCAAGACTTCCCGTAAGGGGCAGCGGGCGCGCCTCTCCTGGGGCTGGATCAATGAGGAACCCACGTCAATACCTGTCACAAGGGCCTGTGGTTAGACATGTCACGCACATGCTGCCATGCTTGTGAATTTTCAAAAGGTGTATTTGTCACTTATTACATGTGCAAAGTAGTTTTCTGATCATTTCCACTGCTGGTGGGTTCAATGACAAAGGCACATTACTGTGGGCAGGCGATTGGTACAACTCTGATGGACAGCAACTCACCAAGGTGAACTAAGATGGGCACCAGCCCTTAGCCCAATTCTGGGCCACCATCCTGAATAAAGACTAATAATTCTAAATATAAAGCAAAGGCTGTAAGCATACAAATGTTCTTGCCAGTATTCCTTGAGAGAGAAAAATTAGAAAGAGACAGAAATTGTATTAATAAGGTATTAGGTTAAGTATATTAGGCTTCATCATCCACTTAATGAAATATTACATGGCCAAAATGATGGGTTCTGAAACTATGTTACTATGAAAAAAACTGCTTATATATAATTAACCAAAAAAAGCAGGATTCAAGACTGTATGTACTGCAAGTTTAAAACTATGTGGGCAATCACACAAACATGAAAAAAATGACTAAAAACAAAACACATCAAAATGCTAACAGGGCTTGCACTCCAGTAACTGAACTGATTAGGATTTTTTGCTGTTTTACAGTTGTCTGTAAATGTGGTTGGTTGTGGGCTTTGTTTTTGTTTTTTTTTAAGATGGAGTTTTGCTCTTGTTGCCCAGGCTGGAGTGCAATGGCACAATCTCCGCTCACTGCAACCTCCATCTCTCAGGTTCAAGCTATTCTCCTGCCTTACCCTCCCCCGACTAGCTGGGATTACAGGCATGTGCCACCACACCCAACTAATTTTGTATTTTTAGTAGAGATGGGGTTTCTCCATATTGGTCAGGCTGGTCTCGAACTCCTGAGCTCAGGTGATCCACCTGCCTCTGCCTCCCAAAATGCTGGGATTACAGGCATGAGCTACTGTGCCTGGCAATGTGGTTGGTTTTTATGATGATCTGCTCCCTCTCCCTTCTCCTGTCAGAGAGCTCTCTGTTCATTTTTTTTTTTTTTTTTTTTTTTTTTGAGAGGAGTCTGCCCAGGCTGGAGTGCAGTGGTGCAATCTCAGCTCACTGCAACCTCCACCTCTCAGGTTCAAGCAATTCTCCTGCCTCAGCCTCCTGAGTTGCTGGGACTACAGGCGCGTGCCACCACGCCCGGCTAAGTTTTGTATTTTTAGTAGAGACGGGGTTTTGCTATGTTGGCCTGGCTGGTCTCAAACTCCTGACCTCAAGCGATCTGTCCACCTTGGCTTCCCAAAGTGCTGGGATTACAGGCATGAGCCACCACACCCGGCTAGAGCGCTCTATTCTGATGTTTAAGCCTCAACACACAATCCAGGCCATCCACTCTGGCTGACCTCCCCAGAGAAGCCTCCATTGACAAAGGTGCTTTTTCCATTTGTTGCACAGTGGAATAAACAAGATAACCCACCTGCAGCCAAACAAGACTAGCTGGGCAGTGGTGGGACAGCCCAGGCTCCAAACTCACGTGCTGGCCACACCTCTTCCAAGCACATCCTCCCACTCTCCCGGAATCAAAAATACCAGCCACCATTCAGGCCAGGGGAGTTAAGTGTTCAGAGGATGGGATCAGGAAACCTGGGACCTGCCCTGGCTCAGCCAGGCGTGTGACCTCAGATAAGTCACTTCAATCCCTTCCAGCTCTGCTAGCGCAAACAAGTCCCTCCTACCTTGCAGGCTGGAGCCCAGAAACTTTTCCCATCAGAACACGCCTAATGAGAAGACACAACCAAACAGCACCCGGCAACAATCTTTTGTTCCTGTGTAGGGTTTATTCTGATTGGTGGGCTCTCAAAGAAAGCCAAAAAATTTCCCAGGGACAATTTCATCTCCATGAACTCAAAACATACTCAGTGTTTCTGTCTCAAGACAGCCAGCTCCTAACCCTTCTCAGCAAGCAGAATCCTGACGTTAGTGTCCCGGACAGCATCTAAAAGCTTTATGCTAGAACATTCCTAGCAGGACACAGAAGGACCAGGATCATCGGCTGCCTCCAGGGAGAGAAATGGGAAGGCAGGGGGTAGAGAACACTTGCTTTTCACAGAATATGCTTTTGTTTGAGTTTTGTACCAAAATGTGCTGTCATTACCTTTTTTTTTTTTTTAAGTATGCAAATAAAAGAACAGTCTGTCTAGGGGGTGGCGGGAGGAACTGTTACGGGAATTGAAGCTGCCGATTAGGCCTAATCAAGATGACAACCTTCCAAAAGCACCGAGAGTTCGTGGCAGAGCCCATGGGGGAAGAGCCAGTGGGGAGCCTGGCCGGGTGAAGTCCTGGGCAAGAAGCCGGAGGAAAGGGGCTTTGACAAAGCCTATGTTGTCCTTGGCCAGTTTCTGGTGCTGAAGAAAACTGAAGACCTCTTCCAGGAATGGCTGAAGGACACTTGTGGTGCCAACGCCAAGCAATCCCAGAACTGCTTCTGATGCCTTTAAGAGTGGTAGGACAACTTCTTGTGATGCTCTCTGGGAAGCCCTCAATCCCCAGCCCTCATCCAGAGTTTGCAGCCATGAAGGGACTCCTCCCCTGTCCTCTACAGAGGAAAAGATTGCTATTGTACTCACCTCTGATGTACTCCAGGGTCTTTTGAGAGTTTTCTCCCCTAACCATTTCAACTTTTTTGGATTCTCGCTCTTGTATGCCTCCTCCTTCCTTTTTCCCTTGCCAATTCCCTGGTGACAGTTATCAGCTTTCCTGCATGGATTCCTGGCCCCGTCTCTCACCCCCACCCTCACTTGCAGTCCATTTGATACCATTTGGCTCCTTTTTTGGCAGAACAGTCACTGTCCTTGTAAAGTTTTTTAGATCAATAAAGTTAGTGGTTTTCAAAAAAAAAAGAAAAAAGAAAAGTCTGTCTGGGAATATATACATTTAATTGTTATGTCAGACCTCTAGGATAGGATAGAGAGGACTTCCCATTTCTCTGGGATTATTTGGCAAGGGTGGGACAAGGCTCAGGTATTATGGAGGAGGAAAAAGGATGTTTCCAAAATAAAGATAAAAAATGAAAAAATTATCCCATCTATTTAAAAGAATGAGTTTGAGAATAAAATAAGATATAATATAGGGAAAAGGCTCTGAAGAACTTTAAAGTGCCTTATCAGTGTAAAATCTTAAAGAAAGTCATAATTAGGGAGCAGGACATGAGGATACACCAGCAATCACACACATCTCCCCAATAATTAAGACAGCAAACTGCTAACTGGGTAAGATAAAGGGCTGTGCTCTGGCCAAGTGACCCCAGGAAATCACCCAAATGAGCTTCTACACTTCCTGAAAATGGTACACAGCTTCCTATACAAGCCAGCTTCTCGTCTGATGGTCGTTCTTCTCCCTGAGTAGAGCACCCAGGACTCTGGTCTAGGCTCATCGAGTCAAAAACAAACTCACCAGCCTCCCCAGGCAAGCACCCTGCCAGCCCAAGCCAGCCCCCTGCTGTGTGGGCGGGGTGTGTGAACCAGCAGGGTCCTTGGAGAAGGCCAGGCCAGCACCTGTGCTCAGCGTTGAGTCCTCTGCAGCATCCACTGATGTTGAAGACGTTACTGAGGTGCAGCCAGGGGGCGTGCTGGAATCCCTCTGACCCCCATACAAGTATGGCCAGTCTGGCCAGGGCGTGGGCCCTGGGTGGTTTGTCTAAGCAAAGACCTGCCCAGAAGTGATCTCAGATGCCCAGTGTTCTGGCATGGTAAATAGGAGTATCTGGCTAACTTATCAGGGGCTGACTGCCAGCCCTTCAAAGCCAGCCGTCAGCTGGTTCATGCGCTGATGAAAAGCAGAGTCTTCGGGAACATCTCCACCCAGATCTGCCCACTTCCCACCCACCTGGGAGTGGCTGCTGAAAAAGCTGACAACCACCAGGCCTCTGCTGAGACCTGGCACTGCTCTAACAGCCTGTCCCCAGGACATGTGAGTGCTGGGGTCCTGGAGATTCAGAGTAGGGGGGACTGGGGGTGCACCTTGGACTTTGGAACAAGACAGACCTAGGCTCCAGTGCCAGCCCACACCTCACATTACATCTGTCTGCTTGGACAGGAGATTTAATCCTAGCCTCAGGATCCCTATCTGTAAAATGGGGATAACAAGGCCTACAATGGCACAGAATGAAAGACGACCAAATTAGACCCTATGTCCTGAAAGACTTAGCCTGGTGCTGTGTCCACAACAGACACTTAAACAATGTTAACCCAGCAGGTCCTCACCACTCACTGGCTGTGTGGCTTTAGTTAAACTGTCTAGGTGTCAATTGCCTCACCTTACAATGGGGATAAAGAACATCACCACTTTGTGAAGATTATGACAATGGAAGCAAAACAGCCAGCAAGATACCCTGGACACATCAGGAGCCCAGTCAATGTCAGCGGTCAGCATGCTCTCACTTCCCATCCACTGTCTATTTAATCAAAGTTAATCATTCACAGAGCAAGAAAGAAGTCCTGTTGTTTTTTTTCCCCACTGATGAGAGAACTCTGAGACGGGCCTCTGGCCAAGAGGAGGAGATGGGGAGGGGGGAGTGGAGCCTGCATTTCCTGGTTTACACCCATCTACAGCCCATTTCAAAAGACATAGCACCAGACACCCAGAGGGTCACCAGGGCCAAGAAGCAGGGGGCCTGCAGCTTTTTCTGGGAGGCCTAACAAAGGCACCGTGCTTGAGAGGGCTCCTGGGCCACCATGAGACTCTGATCTGGCCTCCCTGCCATCCAAGGCCCCCCAGAAGGCAGACTGCCCAGCTCCTTCTTGCCTGGTACAGGTGGAACCTATGGGCTCCCAGGAGAAATCAGAGCCACTTTAAAACAGGTGGACACACGATCCTAGTGAAGAAACAGGTCTGTCCTCTTAGCTCCTCGCCAATGAGAGTCAACTGCCTCAGCCAATCTGTCACCATCCACAGCCTCACCCCTCCCAGGGACCCAAGAGCCCACCCCAACTGCCAGCCACCAGCTAGCTCTGTCCAGTACTTGCGACTGGGCCTCCCGGAGCCTTGGTTCTCACATCAGTAAAGACTTCTGTGGGCCAGAATGATGATGGTGAAAATAGTAATAATAAAATAAAGATAAAATGAGCCTGCAGCCCATAAAGTAGTCACGAGGGAGGGCTATGTGAGCTAGTGCAAAGGGCTCAGTCTGCTACCAGACGCAGACCAAGCACTCACTAGATGTTAAAACACAAAAGCACCTAGGAAGACCGAAAGCGGCTTGATTAGTGGTTTCTTAGGGCTGGGAACGGAGGAGTTGGGGGAGGTGATAGCTAAGGGGTACAGAATATCTTTCTAAGGTGATAAAAATGTTCAAAACTGATGGCAAAAATAGCTGCCCATTTATGTGACTATCCTAAAAACCATGAAGTTGTATAAATGGGTTAATTGTATGGGTATGTGAATGACATCTCAATAAAGCTGTTATTTCTCTTTTAAACTAAAATGTTCCAGGACCCCGCTAAGCCTTTTATATCAAGACGTGGTTTTGTTTTTAACCCATTTGGCCCATTGGAAAGAAACCAGGCTCAAAGACAGGCCCTGGACCAGAGCCCTCTCGGGGGACTGATGTAATTGAGCTAGTTCAGCTACTGAACAGTGGCTGGTAAGCCTGCTGAGATGAGGATTACTAAATGGGCGGAGCTGGTCTTCGAAGCAGAGTGGCACCCGCTCCGGGAGGCCAGTGTGAGAACAGCCTCCTCCCCGGTCCTCCGGGGTTACAGTTTGGTCCTGCTGTAACCCCTCCCCCATGTCTGGAGTCTGATTCTGGCCCTTGCAGGTCTGAGAGCACACAGGCCTCAGCAGGCTGTAGCTCCCAGCAGTGGCCAGCACATTCCTTCCCCAAAGAAGGAAAAGCCACCAAAAGTGAGGTCATTTGGTTTTTTTGGCACAGATGCTGAGAGCTCTGGGTCACTCAATTCCATAGAGAACTCCCCCAGCTGACAGGGATTTGGCCCAGCCTGCTACTCATACAATATGGGAACCCGGGGTCTGGCAGACTCTGGCCCCTAACTTGACCCCTCCATGTAGTTGAGGTATGACCCTCAGTCTTCCAGCTTGAAACCTCCATGGTCTTATCTGTGGAATGGGATGATGAAATCCACCCCTCCTGGGGTTGGGCTAAGAATTAAATAGCACAAAACTAGACTTACGGTAGGGGCTCAAAAATTAAATAAGGCTGGCTCTGGTATCTCACACCAGCAATCCCAGCACTTTGGGAGGCTGAGGCAGGAGGATTGCCTGAGGCCAGGAGATCAAGGCCAGCCTGGGCAACATAGCAAGACCCTGTCTCTACTTAAAAAAAAAAAAAAAAAATTAGCTTCTATCCTCTCCCCAGGGTCATTTCTCCTGAATGTGCCTTGTTGACCAGAAACAAGGACCTGCCTAGATTCCAAACCCCTGTGTGGAAGCTCCTCTCCAAAGGTCAAACCACTTATCATTACAAATTTGCAAGAAAGAAAGAGATCCTGCTTGGACAAGGAAGTTTTCCAAGTCTCCTTTCTGTGCCCCTAAAATAATCTCCCAGCAGGAGCTTCTGTCCTGGTCTGTCCCACAGTCCACCCCTGGGTCACCCGGACCCCTCAAAGCACCTCCTTGGGCATAGTGACTGGGAACTCTGACCCCCATGGTGGTTCCGGTCACCAGGCTGTCAGCTGGAGCATCAGTTCTGTCAACTGCTTTTGGGGACTTGGGAGGGGTTCCTGTGGAGGCCCCAGAGGACGAATTACTGCACCTCTTTAAAAGGGGCATGAAGCCCCTGAAGAGCAGCCAGGGTTCAAAGTCTGGGCTCACAGTGACTGGCCCAATGACAAAAGGGGAGAAGCCAGGCAGAAAAAATAGAAAAAAGAACAGCAGGATAATTCAGTGCGGTGGTTCTCAAACTTGAATATGTAAACTTGAACATTTACCAGAATCACCTGGAGGGCTTGTTAAAATACAGATTGCTGGGCCCCACCGCCAGTTTCTGATTCCAAAGTTCTAGGCCGGCAGAGAAACTGCATTTCTAACAAGTATCCAGGTGATGCTGATGCTGCCGGTCCAGAGACCACACTCTGAGGACCAAGGCTTAGTGGCTAAGAACGGATTTGGGCACAGAAGAGCTGGGTTCAATATGGGTCTGCCACTTACTAACCTTGGAACCTAAGCAAGTTCTTGACCTTTCTGAGCCTCAGTTTCCTCATCTGTAAAACAGGGATAATACCTTTCTCAACTGGTTTGGTAAGGAGTTTCAATGAGATAATCTATGCAAAAAGCCCAGCACACCCTAAGTAGTTAATAGTGTCTAGAGTTCATTACTAAAGTACAAGAAAGACAAGAGAAAGGGTGCTCATGGAAAGGCATGAGACAAAAAGAACGACTCCAGGACCCATGGAATTGCCCTTGTCTACTAAACGGTCCCAGGTAGCATCAAGGGATCATGGGGGACACCTTGGCACCCAGTGTGTTCCTTCATCTGGGCTAGCAGGATCCAGCAGGCACTGCACCCCAACCTCTCTGACTCAGTCAAAACTTGATCAATAGGACCTCAGCACTGATCCAGCCCAAACTCCAAGCCAATGCCACAGCGCCACCCACCTCCTCCCTGAGGGACAACCACCCGGCAGCAGCCACATGACTTTGCAAAGGAATTCTCAAAGCTCCAGGAAACCCAAGCCCGCAGGATGCCAGAGATACCAGGGGATGAGGCAACAAGTTCAGCAACTGTGGAAGCATCACAAGCCACCACAAGTCACAGCAGTGATTTGCACCCCCGGGGTGGGACTGGAGCAGACACTCCCAGGGAGCAGAACTTCCTGCAGGAACCTACGCAACAGGCAAAAAACTCTGTCTCTACAAAAAATTTAAAAATGTTAGCCAGGCATGATGGTGCACCCCTATAGTTCCAGCTACCCAGGAGGCTGAGGTGGGAGGATCACCCCAGCCCAGGGAGGTCGAGGCTGCAGTGAGCCATAATCATACCACTGCATTCCAACCTGGGAGACAGTGAGACCCCAGCTCAAAAAAAAAAGAACTTCCTGCAGGGACTGAGGCATTAACGGGCTGTATCTATAAACTGCCACTCCTTACAGAGGAGAGGTTTTCTGCAGAGCATCACCATGATTCTCAACACCACCCAGGAGGAAGTTTCTGGTTCCAAGAGAGCTGACTGGAGGAGGGGAGCAGTCTTGGCACTTGGAGGAGAGTTCCTCTTCAGCTGCAGCTCAAAACTAAAATGCATCTCTTTACACCTAATAGACAGGCAAACAATTAGAAAGTTGATTACGCCGAATGTTGGTGGGGTTGAGGGATCCGGAAGCCCTCGTGCCCGGCTGGTGGAGAGTAGACTGTACAGCCATTTTAGGGGGTAACTCAGCAGCGTATCAGGAAATTCCCTGCAACCCAGCAATTCCCTGCTCAATGCAATCCTCACACAGCTGCACTGGGATGTATGGGAGAATGTTCATCGTTGCCTCATTTGTGTCAGCAGGAGAGCAGCTGGGGACAATCTGCATATCCATCACAGGAGATTGTAGGATAAAATGTGACGGACACACAGAGGCCTTGCATGGCCCCGAGATGACACTGGGCCATGACGGAGGAGCCTAACGACCTCAATTCTCTTCACCTGAGGTTCCGCAACACAAAGTTTCTTCTCCCAAAACACAAACACACAGATCAGCACATTAAAAAGCAGCACAGAAACCCTCACCCAGGCCCAGGACAATGTGACCCAGTGCCATCACTGCCTTCCTGGCCTGTCCACTAGGCCGGCGGTGGTCTGGGGTGTCAACAGCTCAGCAGGCTGAGCAGCTCGCCAACACCTTGGTATGGCCAGCCCGGTTTGAGGGACAGGGCGGCAAGGTATCAGCAAGCAGGGAGCAGCAAGCTGAGGAACAGGAATGTGTCTGTGGGAACTTCCATTTCCAGAAGCGTGGGAAGAAGGGCAGCTGCAAGCAGATCTGTCCACCTCTGCTGAGAAGCCCAGGGACCTCTGGGTAGTGCAGGGCAGGACGGGACAAGGGGCTTCCGCCTGTGGTCAGTGTATTCACAGTCCTCTTCAAAGATCAGAGAGATCCACGCCTGCTGTTGCCCACCAGCACCGGGGCTCCTAGGCTTCACTTCAGACACTGCAGCAAGGGCAGCCCTGGGGTGCTTTCGGCTCCCCAGCCCCCTCCCCCCAACCTTGAAAGGAAAGATCAGCGTTCCATCCTCAGTTTCAAGATGGGGACACTGATGGCAACGTGGACTTCAGGGAGCCCCAAGGGGAGGTGAGGGAAGGAGAGGGAATCATATCCTAGGGTTGCTCAAAGATGTTGGCTACCATTATAACCCTCAGTGAGTGCTCACTCACTGTTATCATCACCCACGAGGCATGCGCCATCTCAGCAAGTCCACTCAACAATTCTAGGTTAAAGGAACAAAGGAACAGGACACCAAGGGCCAGTTCCCCACAGTCACACAGCTGGCAAGAGGCAGAACTGAGGTGTGAACTAGGTCGGTCAAAGCCTGAGCCTGCTCCACTCTGCTGGGAGGCTAAACTCTTCCAGGCCAGCCTTCAGACTCCGTTCAGGCTGGGGAATGATGGGGACTCATCCAGCTCTGCCCACCAGCCTGCACCAGTCCCTGCTCAGTCTCAAGCCACACGGGCACCCACTCAGCTGTGCCCAGGCAGTCCCTGAGCCCAGTGGACTGGGGAGGAGAGCCACAGGGCAGCCCAGGACACTTCAACGCTTAAAGCCAGCCACGAGAGGAGGCTGTGGACCTGCTGGCCCCCTGGGGATGCAGAATGGGCCAGCAGGTTTTTCTTCCAGGTCTCAGTTTTAGGGAGATGGAAAGAGGGTTTGAATTCTGTCTTGGGTTTCTGAACACAAAGGCCATTGAGAAAGACCGATGAATAATTAAAGGGGCCACCAAGCCGATGATGTGTGCCAGAGTGTGGGCAACTGGCTTGCTAGGGCTTGGACTGGCCCGATGTTGGCAGCCTCCCTCACGCAGGCCACTGCAGATTCTACAGACTCGCCCAGGCTCCAGGCCTCCCCTGCCAGACAGCTGCAGCCAGATTCATTCATTCCTTCCTTCCATAAATTCTTACTGAGCACTCATTCTGTATCAGGGACTAGGGTTACATCGTGGGCAAATACAGGCACTGTCCTAAGTCATGGAGCCTGCAGTCTAATGGAGAAGACAAACAATAAGCAAAGATTTTATCAATGCGTGTATTTTTGTACACTAAGATCCAGTGCCTATAGGAAAGGTCCTGGAAGGCATAAGGCTAAAACAGGACCCTGAACTGATCCTGGGGGGCTGTAGGGGGGCAGTGTGTCTGATCACTGCCCCAAGGGAGTCAGTGAATCTATAAGGCTGGGGAGTATTAGATGAAAAGTTCGTAAATGTGAAGGGGGCCCACATAACCTGTCATCCAAACCAAGGCACCAGGGGGTCTACTAATAATTACACCAGCATAACAGGTATAGGCAGAGCTGTAGGTCACCCTACACGTGTGTGGGGCGGGTAGCTGTAGGTCACCCTATGCGTGTGTGGGTCAGGTAGCTGTAGGTCACCCTATGCGTGTGTGGAGCAGGTAGCTGTAGGTCACCCTACGCGTGTGTGGGGCTGGGCAACATGGTGAAACCCTGTCTCTACTAAAAATACAAAATTAGCTGGGTGTGGTGGCACGTGCCCATAATCCCAGCTACTCAAAAGGCTAAGGTAGGAGAATCGCTTGAACCCAGGAGGCGGAGGTTGCAGTGAGCCTATTGCACCACTACACTCCAGCCTGGGCAACAGAGTAAGACTCCGGTTCAAAAAAAAAAAAAAGAAAGAAAGAAAGAAAGAAAAGAAGAAGAAGAAGAAAACAAACAAACAGCAAAGGCCCCAGAGAAAAGAGAGTAAGGTCTGTTCAAAAAACTGAAAAAAAAAAAGTCACAGTGCAGGAGGGAAGAAGAGGGTGCCAGAGACTGGAGATCAACTAGCCACATGGGTGTTCGGGTTCCTGCAGCTGTTGTTTCTCCTGAGAGCAGTGGAAGTCACCGAAGACATTTTATTTTAGCTGAAAGAAACAAATGGGGCTGTGGCGGGCTGAGTTGGGCTGGGAGTGCCAATCAGATGCTGGTTACATAATTCCACCTGCATCTTAGAAAGAGACCTCTAAATGCCATGGGAAGGGCAGATCAGAGATGGAAAAGAGTGGCTGAAAAGAGACCAAGCACAAGATCACGAAAAGGTCCCAGCCAGAGACAAAGGGAGCCAGTCCAGGGTGGCAGTGTAGGAGAGGGAGAAGCAGGTGGATACAAGAGATACTCAGGAGAGACGGGGAGGAGGGGCAGAGGCCACACCCAGATTTTCAGACCTGAGCCAACAGAAGGAGGAACAGGCAGAGAGGCCACAGCTTTGCACCCATACTCCCTGCCTGCCCAGACACCTGGGGCAGCTCGCTGTTCACAGCAGTCCCCAAAGGTCCAAAGTCCTGAGGCTGCAGATCTAATTGAAAGGTCTGAGTGGAAGAGCTTCAGAGATCAGGATGTCACTCCCAACCCACTGCCCCAAGTGTTCTACCAGTGTCAACCCAATCAATCTTAACCACCCCAGAAGGCATCTCATTTTACAGATGAGAAAACCGAGGCCAAGAGCTCACAGCCACTCAAGGTCACAGCGAACAGTAGATGCAGGAGCCAGAATTCCACCCGCGGTGGCAGTCACACACTTTCAACCACAGGCTCAGTCAGCGTGACTCTCCCCAGGGCCTGGCAGCAGGTCACCGTGCCCCGGCCACACTCTCACAACTGTCCGTAACAGGGCCCCTCCGCTCACAGCCCACCAGCCCACCAGCCCACCTCACCACCACCAATCAAGTCACCCTCTGGGGGTGGGGCCCAGCAGAGGTTGAAATCCTCCTTAAGGGCCTCTTAAGGGTAAACTGGAAAGGATGACATAGTAAGGACCTAAAAGGGGTTTTCTCTAATGGACCAGGCCAACTTTGAGAAGGAGGAAGCAGACAAGGCAGTGGGACCCCAGTTCCTGGCATCATCAGCTGACCCTGGAAATACCTATTCCTCAACTTCCCTATCTGAACAAGGGAGCCAGCCCTGCCTGTGCTTCTAGAAAACTTCCCAGCCCAATAAAAAAGGCAGAGGAAGAGGGGAGAAGTGGCAGAAGTCCTACCCACAGGACTTCCAGGACTCCACCAGCAGCCCTGAGGAGGAGTCCCAGCCCCTCCCGCTGGGTCCATGCTGCCTAAGACCGCGCCTACGCTCTGACACCTGTGGATTCCCAGTGGTTCTAAGAAGCCCAAGGCCCCACATGCTCACTGGGGCCCTGGTTTTCAGAAGGCACACCTGGGGAAGCATCCTAGTGGGGCTCAGGGCTCTGTCCCACCATCCATCCCCCACTTAGTCTCTGCAGGTTCCCAAGGCCATCATGGAGGCCCTCAGCCCTCACCTCCTTCCTGTCACTCCATCTCTCTCCATCCCCACCTTCACCTTTTCCATGCTTTAGTGGAATGTTTGCAGGCACAATGGACACACATCACTGGGAGATCTCAGTTCTAAATCTGCTTCCACCACAAGGAGCTCAGGGCCTCAGGCCAGCCCCTTCAAGCTTCAGTCTCACCTGCAAAGTCTCCCACTTTCCAAGGGGCCATACTTGTCTCATTCCAATGGGCCCCCGTGAAGATGGAATGACACAGCAACTGGCAGAGCAATCTGAGGGAAACGGCATTTCCCAGACTGGCCCGATTATAAAAAAGGTTAAAAGTAGAGACCCCTCACCCCAACAACCACCATTCTGGTTCAGGAGTTCTGGGATGGGACTCACAGATTGGTATTTTAACAAGTAACAAGTACTCCATGTGAATCCTATAATCAGGCAAGTTTGGGCAACTCTGGGCTACAGAAATGTATATAGGAAGTCTGTCTCACCACACCTCTGTGTGGAGAAGAATGGTTCGCTAAAAGCACCCCTTGGCCCATCCACACACAAAATAACAACACACTTAGGGAGCCTACCAGGTATGGGATGCCAGCTTGGGTGGTTTACATCCATCATCTCATTTAGTCTCGGCAACAACTCTGCAAGACAGATTGTCTTTTTACAGAGGAAGAAACTGAGGCTCAGAATAAGGACCAGCTCAAGGACACAGCAAGTCAGACAGCAGAGCTTGCCTCCACACCAGTGCTGCTGGCTCCAAAGCTGGGTTCTCCCTAACACTCTGCAGTCTCTGCAAGGTGAAGTCTTCTGCAGGGAGGGGCCGAACACAGAATGCAGCTCCAAGCAGGGTTCCCGTTCCTATTCCCTCCCCCAAGCCTGGACAGGCCGGTCCCAATCATCCCACAGGAGAAAGGGGCATCCTACTGCATGGAAAGAGAAGCTCTTATTTTCTGTCCCCAAATATGAGGAATATGGAGGTCCTGGAGCCTATCATCTAAAAAGGGAAGTAGGACCCACCTATGAAACTGTCAAATAGCAATCCGGAGCAGTGGGAGTTCTGAGCCACAATGCCTGGTGCTGGAGTGAGGGGCTCCAAGGAAGGGAGTGCGAGGTCAGAGAACACGGTGTATCTGGAATGAAGCCCAAGGCACCGCCCTCATCACACACGCACATAATCCCTGCTTAGAGCACACAGCCGGCCCAAGCCAGAGTTTAGCAACTCCCATCTCCCTGGGGAGGAAGCAGTTTCCTTCTGCAGGGGAAGCTGCTGCCACCCAACCAGACAACCTCACACGCAGCCTCTCCCAGGGGAGTAGGGCTTGGATGGACAGAAAGCACACAGAGGTCCTAGGAAGTTGGCCTTCTGCAGGGAGTCCCCCCCAGGCCCTTCCACTTAGCAGAGGCACAACGGTGACAAAAGCTGACATTCACTGACACTTACCTACGCACTTTATAACAATGACCCCATTTACTCTTCACAACAAGCTTATTAAGAAGTAGGGTTTTCTGGCTGGGTGCGGTGGGCTCACGCCTATAATCCCAGCACTTTGGAAGGCCAAGGTGGGTGGATCACCTGAGGTCAGGAGTCCAAGACCAGCCTGACCAACATGGTGGAACCCCCGTCTCTACTAAAAATACAAAAATTAGCCGGGCATGGTGGCGAGCGCCTGTAATCCCAGCTACTTGGGAGGCTGAGGCAGGAGAATGGCTTGAACCCGGGAGGCAGAGGTTGCAGTGAGCCGAGATTGCACCGCTGCACTCCAGCCTGGGCAAAACAGCAAGACTCCATCTTAAAAAAAAAAGAAGTAAGGTTTTCTGATCCCTATTTTAGAGACGGAAAAACAGGCTCGAGAGGGTTAAGTAAGCCGGCTAGCAAAGAGCAGGCCCCAAACCAAAAGCCAGGAGTTCTCCAATGCCAAATCCCAAATTATTTTCATGGCCTCTCTTTCTCTGTAACTGGGCATCCAGGAAGTACAGGCTACCAGACCAGCCACTACCAGGCCACAAAGAAAAACAACCAGCAGCTCTGCTCTCAGAGAGCTGTGATCTAGCTGACAGAACAGACACACTGCCTCCTGAGGCGCACGGGGCACCCAAAAGACAGCCACGTGCAGATCTCTGCCAGGGGGTCAAAGCAGCTCATAATGAAGCTCGAACCAGTGAGCCCACAGAGACCAGTCAGCTGTGCACAGGGCTCTAGCGAGGAGCTGCTCTGGGGCCCAACTTGGTGAAAGCAGGCATCAGGACAGGAGCTCCTGCTCTGTTAGCAAGAAATAGAATTTTCCTCCAAAGGAAGCTAGGAAGTTTTGCATTAGTCTCTGTAATTAACGGGCCAAAAATCTTTTTCACACTAACCCTCTGGGAGAGCCTCGGAGAGAAAAACAGCCCAGGACAGGAAGAACTGGAGGCAGGGGTGGGGGAGGTCATAAGAAGAATGGGCCTCTAGGTCCCAAAGTAAGCTCGGGGTCCCCGTGCCTCCCCAGGGCTCCCAGAAGCTGCATCCCCCTTCCCCAAGTCCAAAACACGAGGAGGTCAGGAGGAAGGAAGGGTGGGGACCTGGCCCAAAAAGGCCCTTCTGCACCACAAGATTCCAAAACTTTTCATTAGCTCTGCAGCTCCACAGTGTGCCCTCGGGGACCCAAATGGCCAGGCCAGCCCTAGCCTCTGCAGACAGCTACTGTGGCAGGCCTGGCGCTGGCAGGGGGAAGGGGTGGTATCCAAAGCCCTCTGCTGACCTGTCAACACTGCCCAGGGGACCCAAGGTGCCTGAGAAGCACAACCAGTAACAGCATAAAATATAGCAGTACTACTTTCTGAGCATATACACAAAAAAATTAAATGCAAGGACTCAAACAGGTATTTGTACACCCACATTCACAGCAGCACTGTTCACAACGGCCAAAAGGGGGGAACAACCCAAATGTCCATCAACAGATGAACGGAGAAACCAAACATGGTCATACATACAATGGACTATGATTCAGCCTTAAAAAGGGAGGAAATTCTGACACATGCTGCAACATGGACCAACCTTCAAGACATTCTGCTAAGTGAAAATAACCCAGACACAAAAGAATAAATGCTATATGATTCCACTTACATGGGGCCCCTAGAGTAGTCAAATTCATAGAGGCAGAAAGTAGAATGGAATTATCAGGACTGGGGGTCAGGAATTGTTCATGGGTACAGAGTTTCAGTTTTACAAGATGAAAAGAGTTCAGAAGATGGGGCTGGGCGCTGCGGCTCACACCTGTAATCCCAGCACTTTGGGAGGCTGAGGTGGGCGGATCACAAGGTCAGGAGTTCGAGACCAGCCTAGCCAACATAATGAAACCCCGTTTCTACTGAAAATACAAAAACTAGCCAGGCATAGTGGCAGGTGCCTGTAATCCCAGCTACTGGGGAGGCTGAGGCAGAAGAATCACTTGAACCCGAGAGGAGGAGGTTGCAGTAAGCTGAGATTGTGCCACTGTACTCCCAGTCTGGGTGACAGAGTGAGTTGTTGTCTCAAAAAAAAAAAAAAAAAAAAAAAAAAGAGTTCAGGAGATGGATGCTGGTGATGGTTACGCAACAACATACATGTACTTAATGCTGCTGAACTGTACGTACACTTCAAAATGGCTAAAATGGTAAATATCATATTATGTATCTTTTACCATAATATATATGCGTGTGTGTATATATATATATATAAATCAAACATATAAAATCTGTGGTATAGAAAAATAACAGTGTTACCTGTGGGGAGTTGTTTTTTATTTTACCACAAGCATGTCAAACTTTTTTTTTTTTTTGAGACGGAGTCTCACTCTGTCGCCCAGTCTGGAATGCAGTGGTATGATCTCGGCTCACTGCAAGCTCCGCCTCCCTGGTTCACACCATTCTCCTGCCTCAGCCTCCCAAGTAGCTGGGACTACAAGCACCCGCCACCACGCCTGGCTAATTTTTTGTATTTTTAGTAGAGACATGGTTTCACTGTGTTAGCCAGGATGGTCTGGATCTACTGACCTTGTGATCTGGCTGCCTTGGCCTCCCAAAGTGCTGGGATTACAGGCATGAGCCACCACGTCCGGCCCTAAGCATGTCAAACTTTTATCATAAAACAAAACAGATATTGAAGACTTGTAAATCAAAAACATTTCAAATTGTGATTCAGGAGGGTGTTTAAGACCTCCAGTTAGAGGGGGGCAATGTTATCACCTGCCTGCCCTCCTTGCCACCAGCACCAGCCTGCCTGCAGAAGGCCAAGAAACTCTCCCAAGAAGCGACGAAGGCAGACGAACGGCAGGGCAGCTGGATAGCACAGGCCTTCCCTGGCCCCCCGCCCTTTGAGAAACAGTGGCAGGGAAGCGCCACCCATGGCCAGAGGCAACGGGGTGACGGGCAGGCTCCTCCCTGGGCCCTGACTCCAGGGTGACTCAGGCGCTGGTTTCCCCGGAAGGAAGTGAGCCAGCCGACTCTCTTTTTCCCTTTCTAGGAAGACACAAGGGAATGACTTGGCCCAATCCCAGGGGCCCAGCCTTTTTACTCAGACTGTTATGGAGAAACCACCCCACCGTCCTCCACTACAGGAGAGGAAGCCAGAGTGAGGAGGGAGAGAAAGAGGAAACAGCTCATCCCACAGAGGAAGATACAGAAAAGGGGAGGCACAATGGACAAGACAGGGCCTTCTCTTTCTAACCTCAACTCCCAACATAAATGCCCAAGGAGGGATGCATGGAAGCTCTGCAACCCCACAGACTTGGGCTCTGGTCCTGACGTTCCCGCTGACTAGCTGTGTGCCCTTGACTCCGTTTCCCCAACTCTAACGTGAAGGTGATGCAACATTTGATATCCAAGGCCCCTTTCAGCTCTGAAACTCCAGGCTCCTGTAAAAGCCGGGTGATGGGCTGGGACTGAGGAAGGCCTGGAGAAGACTGGACGTGGTCTTGGAACAGGGAGAGCTTTGGGTGTGGAGACTCGTGCCTGGTACCCCTCCCAGAAGTAATGGCTCTAAGTGCAGCACCAGTGTCCCCACCCTCAGGCCAAGTAACCCCATCATTCATTCACTCATTCATTCGTTCGTTCATTCATTCAAGATTTTCTAAACTCTTACCCTGTGCCAGGTACTATACTAATGCTGGCAAACAGCAGTGAACAAGCGCAGCCTTGTGAACTTCCCATTGGGTCTGAAGATCTTTCACCCTACTCCCTGTCCCCAGGGCCGGCCCTTTAAGGGAGTAGAGCATGGAAGAGCAAAACAAACAGTAGCCAAAAGGGAAGCCACATGAAGCTGGCAAAAGAGCAGTGAGCCAAGCTGAGAGCTGAGGGAGGTCTGGTTCAGTCTCCAGCTTTCCGGGCCTCAGTTTCTTTATCTGACAGAGGGGGCTGGCTCTGGTTTCTGTGGGACCTTCCAGCGCTGGTAGTCTAGACATCCTAGGGATTGACTCAACTTCTCAATCCTGGGATCGCCAGAGGGAGGCCTGCTGGAGGCCAGCCCTGGGCAGCTTCTGACAGGCCCCAGCTTGGACTCCGCAGCAGCAATGACCCACCCGGGACCCTGCGGGCTGCAGACAGGTCGAAGTGACAGGCGGCCAACGGCAGGGAGTTCTGGGGCACAAAGAATACAGCTTCAGCCTGGCAAAGTCCAGCTGCTGGAGGCTGCCTGAAAGCAAACATCTGGCTTTAACTGCAGAGATAAAATGGATGTCACATGCAGTTTTCTCCAAGTTGTAACTGTCGGGCTTGGGATGGGGTCAAAGAATGAGAAGGAAGGTAGATATGTGCCCTGTCCCTGTGCCGCAATGCCTAGTAGGGGAAAGCGGCATCCCGCCCACCCCCCATCCCTGCTGGATTTTAACCATAAACACAGCCCTTTTCTGAAGGCACAGGCTTAACACAAACCAGATGCGGTAGGGACTTTCCCCCACCCCCTACCTTGGCCCTAAAATTAAACGTTCAGTATCTTCTCTGCCAAACCTCACTTGAAGGCCGAGCCTTAAAGAGCCAGAGCCTCCGGTTCTCACCCTCACACACTCTCAATCACATCTCCACTTAAACAAAATGTCAAAGTCCCCCAAATGGAAAGTGTGGATGGAGCAGCCCCCAGGAGGGCCTGACACCCAAGCAGGGCACGGGCAGATTTGAAAGGAGAAGGAATGCTGATCCTCCACCACCAGTGACGCCACCAACCCAGAAGGGATGGAAAGGGTTTCCTGAGAGGGTCGGGGGGATGATTTCCCATCCCTAGGGGCATCTGCCACTGGAACGCAGCCAACCCACAGGGAGTCAGCCTGCGCACCCACCCCTGTCCCCAGGGGACTCTGGAGATTCCTGGAAGAGCTTATTTCCTGGACTTCAGTTTCCAATCTCTAGAAAACAGGGTGAATAACAGACATCTTATTTAACTCTGAGCTCACTCACAGCTGTGATGATCTGAAAATCCCTCTTAGGCAAACTCAACTCTCCTGGTCTTCCTAGGTTTCCCCAATGCCGGGCTGGTTGTTTCCCTGTCCTGAAAGCTCTCCTGGTCCTTCTTCCAGCCCCAGCTAAAGGCCCAAACCACTCCACCCACTCCCTACCCTCAGCCTCCATGTCCCCCACTCCATGCCTGAGCCATGCATCAGCCTCAGCACTAATCAGCGTGCCCAGCACAGGGACATCTTATCTCCCCAGCAAAGACACATATCCTCTGCCCTTAAGCTCAGAGGACCACATCTTACACTGTGCGTACTCCGCAGAGCCTGGCAGTGCACAACACACACTAAAGATGCTCAAAGTGGGTCATTCAATCTCACCCAGTTGCCATGACTCCTTAAGAAAAGGGACAAGTGACCAGGCACGGTGGCTCACGCCTGTAATCCCAGCACTTTGGGAGGCCGAGGCAGGCAGATCATGAGGTCAGGAGTTCCAGACCAGCCTGGCCAATATGGTGAAACCCCATCTCTACTAAAAATACAAAAAAAAAAAAAAATTAGCTAGGCGTGGTGGCATGCGCCTGTACTCCCAGCTACTCGGGAGGCTGAGGCAGAAGAATCACCTAAACCCAGGAGGTGGAGTTGCAGTGAGCCAAGATCGCGCCACTGCACTCCAGCCTGGGCGACACAGCAAGACTCTGTCTCAAAAAAAAAAAAAAGAAAAGGGACAAGTGATAGTAGAAAAATATTTGAAGAGGAATGATGCTTCAGATAGAAATTCTCTGACTTGCCATAAAATTTAAATACTAATTTTTTAAAATAATGAATCCTCTAGCCTTAACATAGCCATTTGTATTTTTACATATTATCTTCCTTATTTACACTACTTACTACACTATCTTCCTTATTTACAGTACGATCAATTATAATGTATTACTCTTTAGTGTTCTCCGACTTTCAACAGTCTGTTGAATATTTTATTCCTGTATAATCTTCCTAATTATCATTTTTAAAGGCTGCAAAAATACTACACCACCATGATGTATCAGGATGGATAGTTTGTTAAATTCCTTCCCCAGGGTTAGTTAGATATGGAAGCACTTTTTTCCCCCAGTTTTGCTGTTACACACAGAGAATTTATTTATTTATTTATTTATTTATTCTGAAATGGAGTTTCACTCTTTTCACCCAAGCTGGAGTGCAGTGGTGCAATCTTGGCTCACTGCAACCTCCGCCTTCCAGTTTCAAGAGGTTCTCCTGCCTCAGCCTCCCGAGTAGCTGGGATTACAGGCACCCGCCACCGAACCGAGCTAATTTTTGTATTTTTAGTATAGACGGGGTTTCACCATGTTAGCCAGACTGGTCTCGAACTCCTGACCTCATGATCCGCCCACCTTGGCCTCCCAAAGTGCTGGGATTACAGGCATGAGCCACCACACCCGGCCCATACAGAGAATATTTTTAAGCATGTCTTTCTTTCAGCTGGACAGTTTCCTTAGGACACACTCCTGGGGGGTGAAATTACAGGGCTAAAGGGTCTGAGCATTTTCATAGCTTTTGCTGCATCAACAGCCATGATGCTAACCTGAAGGCTGTGCCAATGTGCAACACCTTAAGAAATGAACACATCACTCGCTCTATTAGAACCTTGCCCTGGTCAGACTTTTTTTCTTTTTAAAAATTGTTCCTCAGCTAAGTTGCTTTGACTGGAAGATTTTGCCTTCTCTGGGCCTCCAGATGAAGTGTCCTGGAGATCCTTTTTCTTAAATCTTAGCTTCAAGTCCCAGCTCCTCTTTACTAATCCTTCTCGTCAACCTAGTCCACTCTGATGCAAGCAGACCTGTAACAGCTCCCCTGGCAGCCTCCATGCCACACTCAATTCTGCTCCCCCATCATCAGCCTCCCTCTATTTCTGAGCTTCCTGGTCCCCATATACACTGTGGCCTCCACATCTACCCTATGAAGCTCCCACAGGGAAAAAGAGGGAAGCAGCCAGAGGGTTTCTTGACCTAGAGCCTCCAAAATGAACCCCAGGTGTGGAGTCAGTAGGAGATTGCATGTAAACTGAGTCCTGCAGGCCTCCTAGGCTTCCCATTGCCTGGGAATGTCTCAAGGGAGCTGTCTGAGTCTATCCCAGCAAAACACACAACTGCTGGCAGACCCCCAGGCTGAAATGATCCAGTCTCATGACAATGACTAGGCGCTCACCGTGTCTAGAGCCAACCCAAACCCCTACTGTCACGCGGTTTGAAAGAAAGCTAGAACCCAGACAACAGTCCACAGTCAGAATTTGGCTCAACTGAGACTAGAGGATCAGAGGTCACTCCGGTGGGCCAACCAGGGAAGCAGGGCGAGGCAGGAAGCAGAAAGTTAAAAAGCCCTCTCTCCGCAGGAAACCAAACAGAGTTGGGCAGGTCATTGAAGGACACAGATGTTTGCGCTCGGTGGCAGGGGAGGACCTGCTGAGCAGGGTGAGAGGGATCAGTGGGCAGGGTGGGCCACCTGCCTGATATGGATGGCCCCTCAGAATCCCTGGGATGAATCACTGATCAGCAGGGCCTCCACTGCTAGCACTGCAGTGTTGCTTTAAAGCAGCCTTGCAGAGAGCCAACCAGACCACGTGCTCCAAATCCAAAAGCAGTTTACAACCAGGAAAGCAATAACAGATTGCCTTTCCTTTCTTCACTTTTGCTCTAAGTCATGGGGGTTTGGCGTCCAGAAGAAATACTTGATTCACATTTGGGGGTGGCTAGTGAATTTACGGTCTAAGCCACAAGGAGACAAAGCTTCATTAAGAAGGTCCTGGAGGAAGAGTAAATAAGAGTGAAGCAGCTGGAGCCAGGCACAGTGGCGCACACACTATAGTCCCAGCTACTGAAGAGTCTGAAGCAGGAAGACTGCTTGAGACCAGGGGTCCAAGGCTGTCGTGAGCTATGATCATGCCACTGTACTCCAGCCTGGGTTACAGAACGATGAAGACCCTGTCTCAAAAACAAAAAAAAAGAGGCTGCACAGTGGGTTACTTCTGTATTCCTAGCACTCTGGGAAGCAGAGGGAGGGGGATCGCTTAAGTCCAGGAGTTTGAGACCCACCTGGGCAACATGGTGAGACCCTGTCTCCATTTTCATAAAAAGTGAAAAACATTAAAGGGGGAAAAAATGTAAAGGAATTGAGTTCATTTAGCTAAACTCTTTCCATTCAGACTGAAGCAATAATATTCCTCCAGATAATCCTTCATAGGGTTATCTAGCTTTATCTAAAAATTAAGTAGGGCGCTTGCTGGAAATGCAGATTTCTGGGCTCTAACAGAGCATTTGGTTCAGGAGGTCTGGAAAAGGCCCAGGAAGCTACAGTTTTACACAAACCTAGGTGGTCCACGGGCCATCCTATAAGGAATATAGCCTTGGAGTGAACCTCTCCACTTGGGTAGCAGAGGGTGGACATACCCAGGGGAGCTAGAATATCTACAAGGAAGTTGTGGTCACCTGCAGCGAATGATCACTGAATACAGCTTAGGCAGGAGGCCCCTCATTGCATGACCCACCTCCAATCCTCATCGCAAAGGAACCTCTCCTTCACAGACCAAAGCACAAGTCACTCTTGTCTCCTCAAGTCCCTCTCTCTCTCTCTCCCAGTTACCATGAATCTTAGTTGGACCAGCCTTTAGAGTTCATTGTGGTTTTCTGGGTGGGGAGAGACAAAGCGGGTAGAGTGTCTAACAAACCAGACAGAACAAATCAATCCCAGCCCATCCACATGGCCACAAGCTGGAGGCATCACGAGATCCCAACAGGGAGCTCTTCACCCAAACAACACAAACAGCAGCTGAGACATTCCAGTGGCTTCCCCCTTCTCTGCCCCAAGGAAACATCCCCAAACCAAGATTCTCTCTGGTGAATCCCATGGTTCCAAAGTTCTAATCATCCACAGCCCCTGGAAATTGGAAAACTGAAAGCTGTTTGCAACTATGTGTCAGATGGGCTGGCCGGAGGATACACAGCTCTAAGAACATCGAGCATCTATCTTGAAGGCACATCTCTAACAGAGTCTGTCTGAGAGTTCCATGCATGGTAAGAGGGGTTTGGATAAGATGCCATCATTTAGGCATTCATCCCCTCTTCCCCCAAGAGACACCTGTGACCTCCAGCTGTGGTCCCTGCCCAGATCCCACCCAACTCAATGAAACTGCTAGAGTGGCAGGAGAGGGGGCCTTCTGTGCATCAGCTCCTATATGCTGAACAATGACTCGGCCATCAGGTGTGCCACTGCTGTGTGCACAGTGCCCAGCACACCTGCCATGCCCATTCTGGCATTTAAAGCCATCCGGGAACTCTTTGATCAGTCATTACAGTTCCTAAGGACTGAAGCCTCGCTCTCTATTTGAGGTCAAGTAATTCCACGAATGGACCATCTTCTTCCTGCCCCATATTCTGGGAAATTCAGTCTGACATGTAACTGCTTAGGTGATGGTGGAGCTACCCAGTAACAGAAGCAACTCTGTGGGTTGCAGGGGGTCAGCAACCCTCAGCCCACAACCAGTACCCTGGTCAAGAGTTCAGCAAGGCATCTGGCCAGCATGGGAAGGGGTCTCCCTGCCCTGGAAGCTTCCTCCTAATGACAGGGGAGTAGAGGGGCGTGTCTACCTGGCCCAGAGAATGTCTGGTTCAGCGAAGTGAAGAGAGGGAAGTGAGAGACGGCAGGTTTAGGTTCTCATTTATGATCGCTCGCACTTCCCTTCCATTTTACCAAACACCCTGGCTCTCCAGACAAGCCTCAGAGCCAGACAGGAACTTGAGGAACGTGGTCAGGAGTCAGATCTGGGCAAAACTTTCCCAGGCGATTCCACCACTTCTCACACCGAAGCGCATCAGCCCGGGGTCCCGACCTCTTGGGTTTCACGCCTGGCAGGTGGTAGCTGTTGAGGAATCTACTAAGAAGCCAATCAGTGATAATTTAACATTTCCTCCCAAACATTTAGACATTTAAAAGTTTTCTAAACCGCTTTCTATGATTAACAGATTAATAGGTTAACAGGGCCTTCAAAACCTTAGAAATGTATGCTCAGAGGCAGACAAATTAGTGGCTGAGAAGACCGTTTGAGGCAGAGGAAAATCAGGTGCCCCATGCACCTAGACAGACTACTAGCAGGGGACTGTCCGAGGCTCAAACCCCTGCCTGACAAGAGACGAGTTCACTGCAGCAGTGAACCAGGTGTGTGCACCAGGCCACACACCTCTGTGCTCTCAGGGTGGTAGAATTTCTGCTAATTCTTATTTTCTTCTTTGTAGTTTGCTGTAGTTTCCAAATTTTCCACAATAAATATTACTTTCCTTTTCAATTAAAAAAAAAAACAGGTGGCACATTAAGCTGGTCAGTCTTTTGAAAGCAATTGATTCACATGGAAAAGGACTCAGAAATGATCCTTTCCGAGTATGATCAAAAAACCCAGCTCCTGGATATTATCCAAAAATGCAGGAAAACATCCACATGAAAGGAATATTTATAGAGGCATTATCTACGATAGGCCAAAACTGGAAACCACGGAAGTGTCCAATAATGGAAGAATTATTAGCAGAGGACATGCCAGCAGCCAGGGCGTGAGGCAGCTGGTAAGGGGGACTTGCCCAGGCCCAGCCCCGACTGACCACACTGTTTCCTTCCTGAAGGGCCTCATCCCAGTTCTGTGGGCAGATCCCAAACTGCTTCTAGAAGACAACTTTGGCCTCGACAGCCATCCTTCTGGAAAGGGAGAGTGGGCCAGGCTCTCATTTTCATAATAAAAAAGCAGCTTTGCCCTTCACATGCTTAGCACCCAAAACAAATATTCAGGTTGGTGCAAAATTCCCATTACATTTAATGGCAAAACCCGCGATTACTTTTGCACCAACCTATTAGCTCTCTTTTCTGTGAAGACCTCAGAAAACCTCTGAACTCAGAGCCAGGAGTCCACACAGCCTGCTCTCCAGCTCCTGTCAAACAACTGCCACGACAGAGTCTCCAAGAAGTGCTCAAGAGTATCTCAAAGGACTTGTGCCTCTCTGAGGTTAAACCTCTGGAAACAGTGGAGCTCGAGTTCATTGCCTCAGCTCCCCACAGAAATGCCTTCCTACAAGTGTGATTTAACACCATACCTGTGGCTTTCAATGGGAGCTGATTTAAGAAACAAGTATACAAAAAGTTTCTGTGTGTTCCATGAAACTAATACTGACAGCACTGTTTACTGCACCACTCTCCTAAAATGGTAAAACTCAGCTTTTAGTGCTTACAAAAAGTGCCCCTTTCTCGTGAACTGGTATACTTTCTTTTACTAAGAAATAAACACTTGATACTTCCAAGTTCTCTTTTTGCTTCGGCTGCCAGGAAGCTCAGAACCAGGGTCAGGGTTGACTTACAAAAACTAACCTCTTTTAATATTAGGCTAGGCGAAATAAGCAAGACATAGCAAATACTGCATAATCTAACTTGTACATGGAATCTAAAAAAATCAAACTCATAGAAGCAGAGAGTAGAATGGTGGTTACTAGAGCCAGGGGGGTTGAACGAAATGGGGAAATGTTGGTCAAAGGGTACAAACCTTCCATCAGGATAGTTACTATTTCTAATAATCCTACAGTTGAGTCCCCAGAACATGTGGGTAAGAGGCAACGACCCTCACACTCCCACTATGCAGTAGAAAATCCACATATAACTGACTCCCCAAAAACTTAACTGTTGTAGCCCAGTGTTGACTATAAGCCTTACCTATAACATAAACATTTGATTAAAAACACATCGACATCCATGTTGTATGTTACATACTGCATTCTTAAAATAAGGTAAGCTACAGAAAAAAATGTTATTAAGAAAATCATAAGGAAGAGAAACTATATTTGCTATTCAGTAAGTGGAAGTGGATCATCATGAAAGTTTTCATCCTGGTTGTCTCCACATTGAGTAGGCTGAGGAGGAGGAGAAGAAGGAGGACAGCTACTGCTGTCTCGGGGTGGCAGAGGCAGAAGAGGTGGAGGAGGAGGAAGGGGAGGCAGGAGAGGCAGGCACAGTCGGTATAACTTTTATGAAAAAAAATCTTGTAAGTGAACCTGCACAGTTCAAACCTGTGATGTTCAAGGGTCGGTTGTATATTGTTTATTTGAAATTTGCTAAGACAGCAGATCTTAGTATCCTCATCACATATACATACATACAAACAATGACAACTATGTGAGGTGATGGATGTGTTAATTAACTTGATTGTGGTAATCATGTCACAGTGTACATGTCTATCAAATCATCACATTGCATAACTGAAATATATATAATTTAAAATTTTCAATTTTACCTCAATAAAGCTGGGGGAATTACATTAAAATTTCTTAAAAACTAACCTCTTTTAACATTGTTTTCTTAACAATTGTCTCACCTCCACTATGACATAGCTCTGGATCTTCTAACTTTAATTTAAAACTCTGGCCCAGGCACAGTGGCTCCTACCTGTCAACCCAGCATTTTGGGAAGCCAGGCGGGGAGGATCACTTAAGGCCAGGAGTTTGAGAGCAGTCCTGGTGACTTGACAAGAACCTATCTCTATTAAAAAAAAAAAAAAAAATTAAACAACAAAAAACTTCTGAAGGAAGGGGGTGTGGTGGCTCACATTGGTAATCCTGGCACTTTGGAAGGCCGAGGTCAGATGACTTCTTGAGACCAGGAGTTCGAAACCAGCCTGATCAACATAGCAAGACCCTACAAAAGAATGTAAAAATTAGCCAGGCATGGTGGCATGCACCTGTAGTCCCAGCTACTCAGAGGAGGCTTAGGTGGGAGGATCCCTTGAGCCCAAAAGTTTGAGGCTGCAGTGAGCTATGACAGCACCACTGCACGCCAGCCTGGGTAACAGAGTGAGACCCTGTCTCTAAAACGAAATAACAAAAAACCCTGTTATACACGAGACTTTTAATATATCCACCTCAAATGCTTTTTGGAAAGAGGCAGGAAAGTACAAATAAACATGTATTTATGAAACAATCTCTATACTTGGATCTCACTTTCTCCAGGCAAGGAACATAAAGGCTGTGTAACTATATAAGAAAAAGTGTTTTTGATAAAATGCCAAGTGGGGAAATAAAAAAGCAGAGCTAATTTTTATGTACACTATGATTACCGCTATCAGAATAATGCAGGCATGAAGATTAAAAATAAAAATAGGTTTCTGAAAATATAAATGGTTATGTTTAGGAGAAAGGGTCTAAGATGGTCATTTTTCTCCCCTAACTTATCTATCTTCTCAAATGGAAACAGAGGCCCATGTGGGTGAAGCAAGTAAGGCAAGCAGAGGCTAGAAACGCAGTGTTCCCCTGGGTGTTCTGATGCATCTCACAGGCCGCCACACGGGGCACAGGGCGCGGGGGCACGGGGGTGGGCTATAGGCCCTATGTGGATCCTGAGGGACCAGCCCCCAGTGGGTGGTGCCATGGATTTCACAGGGTCTTGGATAAAAATGGCTTGTACACTCAAGTCACAGCTGTTTGAGATTCTTGCAATACCCCCGACATGTTCTGATCACTCCCTCACAACTGGGCATCTGGGGAGGGGCACAGAAGGAGGAGGCAGGAGCCATGACCCTGGCTGGCCTCAGATGCCTAGGACTTGGTGGGCAAACTAGTTGCTCCTCATCCCTCCAGCACCAGATCAGAAGCCACTCCCCACGGGAAGCATTCCTCATCCACCTCCAGAAACTACCCCCACGCCCGACCGACAGGCATTCACACCCACCCAGCCTGTACTTCTCCTTCACAAGACACCCTGAAAGCTTGCCCTCGGCACCCATCTACCCCCTGGACCACAAGCCCTGGCCCAGTACAGCTGTGGCTGGTGTGCAGCCCACATCAGCTGAGTGGCCGGCAGAGAGAATGGCTCACCCTCTGCAACACAGCCAAGGTTTAGCCAACTAGGCTAGCAGCTTCCCCGAGTCAGGATCCCCACTGATGCCAGAATGGCTGGCAGCTGCCTTTATTGCCCTGCATCTTTTACGACAAGAGCCCACATCCAGGGCACGGGCGCCTGGGTGGTCTGAGGAGGGGGTAGAGGCAGGGTCCACTGCTCAAATTCCCGCCTAGCCTTGGCGAGCAAGCAGGAGAGGCAGGGCTGACTCACCAGCTCGCAGGTGGAGTGAGCTCATTCCCTTCCAGGGCATCCTTGGAACTGGAAACCCACGGCAGTGATGGTTCCCATGGCAACGGGCCAGCACCTCCTCCACAGCCGCCTTCCCAGGAGCACCATTTGCCTGTGCCCACAGGTCACTTACCCACCCTCCCCAGCCTAAATCTCAGAACTCAGAGTAAGGAGAGGCCTTGAAGGCCAGGCAATGCAGAGCCCTCCTCCCTCCACACCCCAGCCCTGCCTGCTTCCAACCTGAGACTACTTCAACACATTTAAGACCATGAAACTCTCGCCCAACCATGCATCCCTTCTTTGGAAGGCTGTTAGAAATTCTATTCTGAGCCAGATTCCATGTCCACACAACTCTCACCAAGTCCTACTTCTCCCCATTGGGTCAACCCAACACATCCCCTCTTTCAAATGACAGCCTGGAGCCTGCTCTAAGCAGCCCAGGTCAATCAAATAGTCCTGATACAGTTTCTGCCCTTCCGCACCCGCTGTGTGGGTTTCTTTGCATGGGATTATATTGGTCTATAATCCTCTCAATGTGTGGAGTCTAATTCAGGCAGCCACGCACTGAGCAGGTCTCAGGACAAGCCTGGTGCCTGCTACTGCCCTAAAGATGCCCAGAGCTTGTCCCTCACTGATTCACCAGTCCTCACTGTTGCCCACTCCCAAATATCTTTCACTCCAGCTGCACCCAGCCCACTCCTCACTCACCTCCTGCCCCTCCCTCCCCAGAACTTTGCACTCCCTTTTTCTTACCTTTGGTTACACCCTTTGCAGGCCCACCTCCCCTTGACCCTGCCCCCGCACCCGCTTGGCCTGACTCACATATTCCAGATTTGATTTTTAGCTCACATGATCACCTCCTCCAGGAAGTCCTACCTGTCTCCTCCAGGATGGGCTGGAGCCTTCCTTGGAACTCCATTCTCTATACCAGATGTGATATCTTTGTATATGACAAGGAAATTGCCCGTCCCTGGGTCTCTCACTCACAGGCCTCCTTAGAGACAGAGACCATGCATCTGTCCCTCATCTGGAAAGAATGTCTGCTTTATGTTTGTTAAGTCTGGGTGGCAAGCAGGTAGATATTCATTTTATGATTCTCAATGCTTTTTCTTATGTTTGAAATGTCAACTTTAAAAAAAGATGATCCACAGTAAACATGAGTTGAGTAGATGAACTAGGGCTGGCTGCAGTGCCTTCTGCCCCAGTGTGTGTTTGAGAATCTCACGTATCCAGCTGAACTCACCCTTCAGAAACTTTCCTCCCACCTGGGGCTGGAACCCAACACCACCTGGCCAGTTATCCAGAGCAGTTAGTTCAAACCCTCCGGTGAGCACCTGCAACTTGCCTAGCATGGCAGCACCACAAAGATGAGTTTTTATTCATACTATGATATCATTTCTTCTCCGCTTGTCCTTTCTCACTTGAGAAGTTCCTAGCAGTTCACACTAGCACACTAATCTCAGTGCCAATAAAATAGCCCAGATGATTAAATATTACAGGCAATTCTGTTGCTAATTGCTGAAGCTGAGTAATGGGTATATGGGAAATCACTATACTATTCTCTCTACTCCTGTGTGTGAATTTTCCATAAGTTTTAAAAAAATTCATTCATTTATTCATGCAACTAGCATGCATCATGGATAAAGAGAGAAATCAGAATCATCTCCCCAAGAATTTGTAATTTTATTAAATTCTAAATTGCTTGCTACCTTATGCCACCCCAGGAATTAAATATCTATTGGCATTTGTAACATAAAGGTTATGCTGACCCATCAAAGGATGAACAGCAAATAAGGGGCTCCAGCACTGCCTCTCCTGGACTGTGGGGAGAAAAGAGCCTTTCCAACCCTGCCTATTCCACCTACACTTGAAGGCCCCCATGCACAGGGGCGTCATCAAAAGGCAGCAAGCAGCTGCAGGAAGCCAACAGCATCCCTCCAACTTAAAGGCAACTTTCCCTCAAAAAACAGGAGTCAAGTACCCTCCATTCTACCTGAGCCACCCCCACCTCCACTGCTCAACACAGCACGGGGACTTCAGTCTCCACGACCAGAGAGGGGCCACTTCCCTGGTGCACAGGAATGTACGGGTCAGGAGAGAAGTGTATGGGGCCCGGGAGGGTGGAGACTCAGCTCCATCTCTCATGAGGGGCCTCCCTTCTCCAGTCAGGGCTGACAGCTGGTGCTTGCTACCAGAAGGAATGAGCTAGCAGAGAGGAAGCAACTAGGACAGGGGTTAGCAGTGTGGACTCTGGCCAGGCAGCCCTGAAATCAAAGCCCAACTGCCCCACTAAAAGCTGTGAGTTGGGAGAAAATATTTAATCTCTCTAAGCCTCAGTTCCTTCTGTAAAGTGGGACTAAAAATGTCACAGTACCTTTTCCTCATAGGGCGGCTATGATGATTCCTTGGTATAATGCACGTAATGGACTTAGCACAGTGCTGGACATGCGGTAATAAGTGCTGGCTGTTAACACCAAGATCACCGCCGCCACCAGGCTGCCTCTCTCCTGCAGGCTCATCTCTCCATTCCCTCCTCAACTGCAAACGCAAGAGCCAGTCCCAGGAACATCAGAGTGTAAGGGCCCGCATGTGGATCACTACCTCCAACTTGGCAGGGTGCAGCTGCCTGCATGTGTGAAATTCATCTGAAATTGACCACCCACACACTAGCCAGAACCCCAGCAGCTTCATCTGCCTTCAGAATACAGAGGCCCGCCCCATGTGCATCTATCTGCAGGTGTTCTGGAGCCCACCTGCAAGGATAACTTCAGAAGATGGCTTACGTGTACCCAGAATAAAGAATCCTTACCAAATCTAGCCCCACAAGGAATGAACTCATGGCAGACTGTCCTTGGACAAATCAGATCACCACTATGGACCTCATCCCTTTATCTGAGGGAGAAGAGGGGTAGGTGACAGTGCAGGTCCCTTCTGGCTTGGGCATTCTATTGATTTCTTCAAACTGCTGCAAAGGAGAGAAGGGCCAGAGCTGGGCTCTGCAAATAAACAAGTGAAAGACAAGGCCACCTATTGACACCAGTCCCTTGGGCAGATTCCAGGCTGAAAGCCTTGCTCCCTGGCTCCAGCCAGTGTTTCAGACCCACTGAGCCCACAGGCAAGCAGCCTCCTCACACCAGGCCTGTGGGTCAGCCAAGTCTACACAAAGGACCAATTATGATCAGTCCACCTTGCAATTCTCCTGAGCCACCTCCAGCATCCCCACCCCCAGACACACCTGGAGCACCCAGACTAGAAGGCAGAGCTAAGTTACCCTTCACCAACACCAAACAAGGGAGAGTGCCTCCCTGATTCTCCCCTCCCCAGGCACCTGGCCTCCCACTCAGGACCACACCCTAAGCAGGTATTTCCAGAGCCAGAGTGAATGCAGAGCCCAGGACACACAAGAGCACTGGCTTCTGGGTCTGTCTATAAAGGAAGCACATTCACCTGGCCCCACTTGCATCCTCCCTAGAGGGTGAGAACAAACTCCTCAAAGCTGAAGACACAGAGGGCTCCTAAAGAAGCTGTGTTCGCCGAATAGTTAACTTCAGGGCCAGGCTACAAAGCCCAGGAGTCAACTGCAAGGTCACCTTTAGAAGTGCCTGACTCGGATGAGTATGGTGGTTCATGCCTGTAATCCCAGCACTTTGGGAGGCCGAGGCAGGAGATCGTTTAAGCCCAGGAGTTTGAGACCAGCCTGGGTAACACAGCAAGACCCTGTCCCTACAAAAAAAATAAAATTATCTGGGCATGACGACACACTCCTGTGGGCCCACCTACTTGGGAAACTGAGGTGGGAGACTCAATTGAGCCCAGGAGGTAGAAGCTGCAGTAAGCTGAGATCATGCCACTGCACTCCAGCCTGGGTGACAGAGCGAGACCCTGTCTCAAAAAATAAAAAAGTAACTAATTTTGTTTTTAAAAAAAGAAGTGCTTAACTCTGCTGAGTGTCCAAGAGGGCAGAAACACAGAATGTTGGCATCACCGCAGACCCCAGAGATCATCTGCATGTGATAATCCAAGTACAGCCTTTAGAACAGAGCCCCACCACCATCCTACCATCCAATTTCTCGGTTTATAGGTGGTTTCAGGTGTGACTTATCCAGCATCACAAAGTGGCCACAGGCAGCACTAGGACAAGACCTCGGGTCTCCTGAGGCCCCGGTACCTAACACACAACCATTCTTCCTGTTCCTGGGGGACAAGATAGGTTTCTGCCAAACAACTCTCTGGCCTAATAAATCAAAGAAGACAGTCTTTTCACACCTATCCCCACTCCCAAATGCCACTCCCAAAGTCCCAACAGAAAGGGAGCAGGAGGCAGGTGAAAGCTTTGCTGAGGCCCCACAGTTATCTAGATCCACACCCCTCGGGATACTGTGGCTAAAGACAGTGGGCTGCTGACGTCCAACACTCCAGAGAGAACCCTCAGCAGAGGGACTGGAAGGAGAAGGAAAACCAAGACCCAGGTTTTACTTCCTTTAAGGTCCACAAACCCACACAAAAGGACCAGAAATTCCCTGTGATTTTCTGAAGCAGGGCTCAGCCAAATGCAATAACCCCACCCTCCAGAGAGGAAGGGGCAGGATGAAGAGGGACATGTCAGTATGGCCAGCACCTTGGAATCTGATGGGCTGTTAGCCAAAGAAAAAACGCAGCTAGGCTGGCTGGTAGGGAGCTGGGAGGTCTGTGCCAGTTCCAACCAGCCTACCATTGGACGCACCAGCTCAGAGAGGGGCGCTGAGCAGCATGGCAGGGGCTGAGGTCATCCTAGGCTATGACCCCATCCCAATGACAAGGCCAGCTTCCCTGGCCCCTGTCCTCCTTCTGATTCCAGGACACACCTCTTAGTCCTGAGGAGCCAACTGGGCCTCTGCCCTGGTCCCAGCAATCAACCTCATCTCTGGGGTGGTCCTTGGTGACTCAGACTACCACCACCCAGGCCCTCAGCATCTGTCAGTTGTCTCCTGCAGGACTACAGCTGCCACACTCCTGTCCAAAGGCCCTCACCACCACTGTTCATCAACACTGGATACTCGGTGAATACCTAGTATGTGCAAGCTTGATTCGTGCTTACCTGCTCTTTGGGGTGCTGGGATGAGCTCATCAGGGAGCTCCTGAAAGTCCATTACTAGGGGGACCCCAGGAGACTCCACAAATCCACCTTTGATCATCCAAGGAGCCTCAGATCAGTTACAGATCAGTGACATCCCCTGAGAATCCTCTAAATGTCTTTAGAGAGGAGTTTCACAACAGTGCCCCAAGAAAGTGTAATGAAGGCAGGCAGGCTGCCACATATCTGTCCTTTCTGACTCTCCTAGCCCAGGTACTAACTGGGCAAGGCAATGGCCGAGTGGCTGAGAGCCAGAAGATAAGAAGGCAAGAGGAGGGAAATCAGACAGGGACAAAGGCCACTCAACTGGGACCCCACTTGTTGTCCTTGAAGCCTAGGAATGGTCCTGGCGGAGTGGGGCTCATCGTGGCTCCCCACATCTGGCCTCTTCCAAAACTCTACATGCAGCCCAAGCCTCATATCCAGAGCAGTCTCTTGTCTTGCAGAGCACAGCCAGCTTCCAAATGGCACAAGAGGCTGCTGAGCCATAAAATATAAACTCATTTAGAAGCATTCCCAAATTCACGCACCTTTTCGTCATGACACATTTGCTTTATCAAGAAGTAATAAAAGCACAACTACTACCCTGGGAGGTGAAAAAAATGGCAACGTGGCATAGGTCCCTAGGAACCTGAATCTCAAGCCCAGGAAAAGAGGGCAGCAGGCAAGGGACCAGGGACCCATAGGTACGGACACCAGATGCCACACACACGTGTGGGTGGAAAGAGAGTAAGATACTGAGACTGACGTCTCCTGCCCTCCCTCATCAAACATCAGCAAGTCTTTGAACACTGGCGGGGTGCAGGGTGGCAGGTGTAACATACGAACGCCACCGCAGAGGCAGGAAGCCGGGTTCAGTCCCACCTGCCACCTACAAGTTGCTGTGTGACCTGGGCAAGTGCTTTGGAACTCAGCAGTCTCAGCCACAAAACAGGGATGGCAGAGCTCCCACAGGTCTACCTTTACAGCTCCAGGGCAAAGGAGATGTGGGAGCAAAAGGAGCAATGAACAGAGTGATGCATTGGGTATGACCCCATCTACACAAAGTTTTAAAACAGGCACAAAGATACAGACAGCTATATAGGCAAGAAATGTATAGGAACAAAAACACCAAACTTGGAACAGCGGTTAACTCCGGTGAGGGAAGGTTACGGGATCAGGGAGAACACTGCGGTCGCAACTCTACAAGGTACTCTTTCCTGAAAATAAAAATCTGAAGCCAACATGGTCTTTGTGAACTGGCTTCAAGGTCAGAAAATCTAGAAATACTTGCTGTAACCACCTGAACCTTTCAGGTCTTTCCAAATACCCTCAAATGGCCTTTACCTCCTACTAAGCCATCCATATGGGTATTGTGAGGATTACATTAATAGCTGCAAAGCACTTAGACATGTGCCTGGCCCAAAGCACAGTACCAGGGCTGGCTGCTGCTGGGGGCAGGGCAGCGGGACGCAGGGATGCTCAGCTCCATATTCCCAGAACAGTCCCAGGGCCAGCAATGTGGGCCTATGCTGAGCTTGCTTCCGAACCAGTGGCTTCTGGGGAAAAGGCATCAGGTACAGGCCCCCCAGCCAGGCACCTTTGGGTGCTACTGTGGCCTCCTTGCCCATGCCAAGCAGACTCAGTGAGGGGGTGGCACACGGGCCCACTATATAACTGAGACCCCAATGTGGCATTCCTTAAAGAAACTATACACAATGAACCTCTAAATATAAGAAAAGAGAGAAAGAGGAAAAAGAAGAAGAGAAAAAGAAAGCTACAAAGCAAAACTTCATTTGGAGCTAAAGTTGGGAAAATATGCAGATTTCTAATAAGAGGCCTCAGGACTTCATGCATGCAAAAACACCTCCATGCAGCCCCAGCCACCAGTATCCGAGATGAAGGACAGGAAACCAGGGGTCTGGCCCCATTTCCCTGCCTCCAGGAAAACACAATTCATAAGCCACCTCCTGCATCTCCCAGCTCCCAGGGCCAAGTCTGGAAAAGCACTTTGGGTTCCTGGAAAGAAAGGCCCTTACAAAATATCGGGAACTCGACTGGAAAGCGCCATTATCTATTATCTGGAGGATGTCTGCGGAGTTTAAAAGGGAGCCACTCCTCTGCCAAGGTCAAGGAGGTGGCCAAAAACAACAGAGGGGCTTCTTGGAGCCAGAGAGACACATGCAGCCAAACGCTGACAGACAGGCACCCCTGCTCACAGACCCGACAGACACAAGTGTTAAGACAGAGGACCTCGGTGGAGGCTGCCCTCTTTTTCCTGGACCAAGACCCCATATTGGGGGTGTCGAGACTTGACTCAGAAGAATTAAAAGCTCCACTTCTCTATCCCCAAACTACAGGCTGTTATGCGTTGGACATCTCCACATCAGACATAAGGAGAAAAGATAGAGTCTGATTTTAAGAACCCCTCCCACCCACATGCAAGGCTTGGTGCCTCTTCCAGCCTGGAAAGCCAAGTTCCATTAGGGGACCGGCCTGAAGGAGCCCACCCACCTTGAAGTTGCCTCCCCTCCCGTCATTTCACCTACAGATGATTTGAAAATAGAGCTCAGATGCTGTCTCACTCCCATCAATTATAATCAGCTTTGCAGATGGCTTTTAAAAAATAAATCTTCAGGCCCATAAAAATGCTCCCCTACAAGCCCTGGCCTGGCCTCAAATCACAGGCCTTGTGACCATGCTTTCAACAGCCCCACGATCACCCACCACCAAGAAACAGGAAAAACAAGGTAACAGAGAGGAGGCTCCCTTCCCCCAGCCGACTGCTCTTTGGCCTGGAGCTGAACATTTGGGGCCTCTGATTTAGGCCTGGAAGGTTCAAAGCTGGGGGTCAGGAAATGGCACTGCCCCCCACTTGGTGCTGATCTCTGACCTGGCACAAAAACTCCCCAGCCCTGTAACACCAAAAGCCAACCTAAGTCCCCCACTCCCTCATCAACTTTCTAAATCGTCTCAAGGCTTAAACAAGAACCTCAAACGTTACGGGTTTCACGTGCACAGGCTTTTAAAATCAAAATAAACCTGAGCCTCGGCTGCCTGGTTCAAAGCCTGTTTGGTTCCCGTGGTGACCACAAAGGAAGAGACTCTCTAAACAAAGGGAAGGACAGACAGAACAGGTGAAACTGAAGGAACCAAAACAAGAGAGAAGGGGAGGGTGCTGCTGAATCTTAAAGCAGGGGAAGCTAGCTCCCAAAAGCTGGGGTCAGCACCAGAAGAGGCCACCAGGAACGTGGGACTGGGGAGGCCTCCAGGTTCAGGGGATTTGAGTCTATTCCTGACAGTTACTGCTTCAACTGAAAAACACAGAGAAATACAACTTGCATCCTTCACTACCTTTAAAACCAAGAAAAGTACCTTCACTGAGGCCTATGTCCATCCCCTTAAACCTCACAGACCCTCCCGTCAAAGACCTGGATTGAAAACCAACTCTACTTCCAGGCTACGGAAAGCCTGGTAAAGTCGCTTAACCTTTCTGAGCCTTACTTTCCCTGCATGTAAAATGGGGATAAGACCTCACAAGTTTGCTCACCATGATTACTGAAGAGAAAGCCACACATGGAAGCACAAATGTTAAAAATGCGCCACAATGAGTTGTTCTCTTATTTCAATTCCATATAAGCCTTGCCTCCCAATTCAAACATAAACTCCTTAATAGCAAAGAGTGTGTCTGTACTTCTGGTTAAAAGCCGAGTTCTGAGGTCAATCTGCCTAATCTTGGTCAAGTTTCTTAACCTCTCTGGGCTTCCATTTCCCTGTCTGTACCAAGAAAACTAACAGTCCCTTCCCCAAAGAGTTGTTTGACATGTGGAGGTACTCCAAACCATTCAGCATTTAATCAGTGTGAACTATTCGTCTTTGTACTTACTTGGAAAACCAAGACATAGTTAATAAGTACTGGTTGGTTGGTTGGTTGGATGGTTGATATAAAACAGGTAACACACCTTTCCAGCCTTCCCTCTCTCATCTTCTGTTCCCTTCCCAGGAGGTGGACAGTGTTTACATTTACCTCCGAGTACCTTGGGCTTGTGAAATGCTTTGAAGCAAAATGAATGGCTCCCTTTAAGAGTCAAGGGTGCCAGCACCTTCATTTCCAGGCCTCTCTCGCTGTGCGGCTGTGAACATGTTGTTCTCTATCTCTAAACTCAGGATCTTCATCTATGAAGTGTCATCATCCCACATATCTTACAAGGCTGTTGTCAACGTTAAATGAAGCCACTGACAAACGCATCTGACATACACTCCATGTGCAAGAAGGGTTTCCCTAGGTCCCCCAGCCCTGACCTGTGGGTGGCAGGCCTAGGGAAGACCCCACTCCCTCTTAATGGAGAACAGATCCCCACCCCAGAAGTAGCCTGCTGTAGCCAAGGACCAAGGAGGCAGTTTCCAGGGGAACAGCCTCCTCTGCAATGTACGCCCGATTTCCATCTTTGGCTGCCTTTTATTCTCCTCCCGCTTCTGTAGTGGGCTAGGTCACCTTTCCCCACGATTGCTAGGCAACCTCCAAGAGTGGTACAGCTGCCTCCTTTGGGGGGCACCCTGGCCCTGCCCTCCCCTTCCCCTGCCTACAACCCTAAGGAAAGCTGCCTCACTTGGACTCCCACCCTGCCAACCCTGGGGAGAGCACACGGAGAGAAGCAATCCCAGGCCAAGAGGGTTTATAGACAGAGGTTAGGGAGAAATTTTCCCCAAGGACTGAGACTTGGAAAATGAAGGCCACCCTCTCCCCAACCCACCCAGTCTTCTGTTTGCCTGTGCATATCTATGATCTATTCCTGGTCAGTTTCCAAGGAAAGAGCCACATCCTTCATCCCGCTTTCTACAAAAGCTCCCGCCCTTATCTTCCTCTTCTAAACTCCTCTCACTCATCATAAACCTGGACCCCAGCTCTAAAAAGTGGGCATGACAGAGAAGGGGACACACAAACAGGGGAAGAGGGACAAGGATGGCAGAAGCCATCAGAAATCCTGTGAATGCTTGTTTACCTCTGGGAGGTGGGATGACAGGCAATTGTCATTTTCTTCTTTATATTAGTTAATAATTTCTTAGGTTTTTAAAAATTGAGATAAAATTCCATGCCATAAAGTCACCATTTTAAAATGTACAATCTAGTGGTTTCACGTATATTTGTGAGGTTGTGAAACCACCACTACTATCCAATTCCAGAACATTTCCATCACCGGGGTTTTGTTTGTATATGTTTGTCTTGGGTTAAATGTTCTACCCACGCAAGCATTTGTTGTATAAGCGGCAGAGCAAAGTTGAGAAGGAGTGCAAATGCTGGAGCCCGACTGCCTGGCTTCAGATCCCAGCTCCACCATTTGCTGGCTGCGTGGGCCTGGAGGAGTTCCGCAGCTGCTCCGAGCCAGCTCTCTCATCTGCAAAATGGGATAACAGGAGGACCCATCTCACAGGGTTAGATGTGCTCATGCATGTAGAGTCCTTAGGACAATTGCTGATAATTACCATGTGCTCAAAAAGGGCGAGCCACTATAATTATTATGAGAAAAGGAATCTTGTTAACTTTATGGCAGAATGGTGCATGCGGAAGGGGCCAGTTGGGGTCATGAACGTTGCCACACACAGCTTTGGGGCCTGCCCATCACTAGACCAGACTCACCATGCCCAGATAACCAGACTTGCCCGCCAGATAACCCCCTGGTACGACATGAAAGGAGGGAAAGCAGGAGAGGCAGAGAAGGGGGAGCCTGGGCAACCCTCTCCATGCGTTTCCCCCCATCTGCTGAGAAGAGAAGGATTCCTGGGAGCCTGGACTTGATGCCCAGCCTGGGGATAGGTGGGAAACTGATAGGGTTTGGCTGTGTCCCCACCCAAACGTCATCTTGAATTGTAGTTCCCATAATCCCCACATGTCGTGGGAGGGACCCGGTGGGAGGTAATTGAATCATGGGGGTGGTTACCCACATGCTGTTCTCGTGAGAGTGAGTTCTCACAAGATACAATGGTTTTATATGGGGCTTTTCCCCACCTTCGCTCTGCACTTCTCCATCCTGCAGCCATGTGAAGAAGGACATGTTTGCTTCCCCTTCCGCCATGATTTTAAGTTTCCTGAGGCCTCCATGCTGAACTGTGAGTCAATTAAACTTCTTTGCTTCATAAATTACCCAGTCTTGGGTATGTCTTTATTAGAAGCATGAGAATGGACAAATACAGAAACCTTGGTCATGCATGAAGAGGGAGGAAGAAGGGGTTCCAGGGTGGCTCTGAGCCCTAGTTTGCTGTGTCTCCTGTCCCTACTACTCCTAAGGCTCCTTGTCTCAGTCAGAGCCAGGTTTGGCCAAACAGTACTTAGGAGGCCACTGGCACCGGCACTGTGGGAGATGGAGCCAGAACCCCGGGCTAAATTGAATCCTGAGTCCTGTGGGGGCTGACCCATCTGCCAGAACTAAGGAAGCAGGCTCAGCGGGTTTCCTCTGTGCCTGGCCTCTCTGCCATGACCTCTCTGGGGAGGTGCAGACTAGAACCGCCCAAACCATCTCAGCTGGTGGGTTCCAGGACCCCACCACTGTCCATGGCGAGTAACTCAGCCCAACCCACAGGCCCCTCTAGCAGAGACATGGGCCTACCAACATCTCTCTATGCACTCTAAAGAGGGCATAAAAGCAGGGCCAGTGGGGAAGGTACCCTTTGGCTCCATACCAAGTCCAGGAAAACCACAGGTGGGTTACACATGGAGGCAGCTCAGGTGGGGTTAACTGGCTGGGATGATCCCAACAATATCTGTAGAGAGGTGTGGACTTGAGAATCTGGTCTGTGACCTGTCCAGATGGCCTGGCCGTCTCTCGCAGAAAGGTGAGAGGTCAGCTCTGGGAGGGGCAAAACAAATGGAAAAGAACAATGAAGCTAGGCATAGTGGCTCATGCCTGTAATCCCAGCACTTTGGGAGGCTGGGGCAGGAGGATCACTTGAGGCCAAGAGCCTGGGCAACATAGCAAAACCCCCATCTCTATAAAACATAAATTTAAAAATTTTAAACTATAATAGAAGAATGATAAGGGAGAATGGGAGGGGGTGCTCCCCAGCATGGATAGTCACTGTTGCTCTGCTCTGCCCTTTCAGGCATCTCCCCTCTCCCCACCTCTGTCCTACAACATCACACACACACACACACACACACGTGGCTGAAATGCCAGGGAAAGGTAAGGCTCCCAGCAGAACCGCCTTCCTTTGAGATGCACCTCCAATTCCACCAGCTCCTGCCAATGGCCATTATTGGCAGAGCCTGTTGCAACTCTGCATCTTTCTGGTTCCCTCTCTACCTAAACCTTCATTTCCACACTCTACACAGCAAGCAGAGCATCTGATACCTAACAGGGGTTTAATGAACATCTACTGATTGCCTTCATGAGAAGGAACTGTCTACATTCTCACCCTGTTAAGGGCTGGGCTCTTTCCTAGAGACCCGACATAGCACATCTGTGACTAGGCCACATCTCAGGCTCCAGCTGCCCCACCCTGGCTCCAGGCCCCCAGGTCTTGTGTGACAAGTCTTTGAGCCAGACTGATGGTTTATGGCCCCCAGCCAGGTGCCCAGCCCCATGCCTTCCTCGAGAAGATGAAAAGGGGTGTCCAAGTCCGACACAGCCTGCAGATTTTCCTCTCTCTGTAGTCCTCCACCTTGACTGGTGGCCTTGGCTATAGCTCCTGCAATGGCCTTGCTGTCCAGAAGGAAGTGCAAACAATGTGTCCCCTCTTCCTGTGACCTAGCCTCACCTGTCTGCAGAATCGGGATGTGGGCCTTATTCACAACCACCTCTATGCACTTGCCAACGCTGCCTCTCTGTTTCAACATCCATTCGCTCAACAAGTATTGATTAAGTTCCTACATGTAAAAGGCCACAGGCTGGCACCTGTGGAAACACACATTAAACCATAATCTCTAGGACTTCAGAAGGAAGAGAGAAAATAAAATTTAACAGCAGAAGCTGCCATTTTACATATCTGCTCGCATCAAGCCAGCAAGGTAGGTATTAGCTCTTTTTTATAAGTAGGGAATTGGAGACTCAGAGAGGAACTTGCCCAAGGTCACAAGCCTGAAAATAATAGAGCCAGGATCCTACACCAAGCTGATGCTCTCTCCAGCTTGACCTACCTCCAGCTTGACTGGGTACACACATACACCTAAGAATGTGAGCGAAATTACATAAGGGAGAAAACTGGGGGCTGCAGTCACCCTGAAAATAACAGCAACTCCTAGGAAAAGTGACTTCAGAGCCCAGCCTCAAAGATCAGGAAGGTTATGAAACCTGGAAAAGTAGAGGAAATGCCTCTAATCCACGTGCTCTGTCTGGAAGATAACTGCATTTTGTGTCTGGAGGCATGGCGACCAGCCCATGAACTCCGTACCGAAGCATTCTTTGAAAGAGGGACAAGCCTCGGCCAAGCCAGTGCAGCTTCTTGAGTCATGCCTCCTGCCTGCACAGACTTCTCCCTGCCTCCACATCAGGCCATACTTTCACCAAGGAAGCACTTCTCAATGCATCATTTAACCTGATTCCCCAGAAGAGTCCTGAGGGCTCCACGGGCAGAAATGTGTCCCATTTACAGAGGAGGAAACCTAATGGAAATGCCACAAGAACGGGAACTTGGTCTGTCTTGCTCAGTGCCCCATCCCTAATACCTGGAACTGTGTCTGACCCAGAATGAGTGCTCACAAAGTATTTGCTGAATGACCTAATAAAAGCTCGATGAAATGGAAAGACTTGCCCAAAGTCTCAGAAATAGCTATGGCTGCACCAAAGCTAAAAAGAGGGTCTTCTGCCTTCTACCGGGTGACCTTTGTATCCCTCTACACTGTGTCCTCCTCTTCCCCTCCTCACACTCACTCCCCTGCCTCCCTCTGGAACCATCAGCCTCTGTCCACTTGTGGACTCTGGTCCCACACAAACCCCGCCTCCCAGTCAGTAGAAAGAGTGTCAAAAGCAACACGTTTACCTTACGTCTTATCCCTCACCTGTAATACCACCTCCTTAATATCACCCTACTGAGAACTAGGCAGGCCAGAAATTCTGCAGACTGAGGCCCACGAAAGATAATCTAGAGAATTAACAGGAAACAAACAAACAAAAAATGTGGATCTGAATCTTCAGAGTCAGGCCCAGAGCTCCTTCTGCCATGGCCCCTCCATCAACCCCGCCCAAAGCACGTGTCGGCTCTCCTGGTTCCCAGATGCTCTGGCTCTGGCTGCGAGGCCCAGCTTTCCTGCCTCCCTTGCCAAGGAGGGACAAGTGAGGGGAAGCTGCCAGTCCCAAACATGGCTGCATCCCAGCCCCACCAAACACAGTCTGGACTTGGAGCTGGTTACTTCCCCTCTCTGGCCCTGGTTTCCTAGTCCTTGTTCGTGCCTGGCACATATCAGCAAATGCCAGTTCTTGGCACTGTTGAGTTTGCCTCCAGGATAACCCAGTTTCCCAGACCACCTCTTCCTACCTGGCTGCCCAAAGGCCTGGGGCACACCCACTGCCACCCAGGTCAGAGCCCTGGGAATCTATATTCTTCTCCCCACTGCGTTTAATATATTCATTCATTCAGAAATATTAAATACGATGTTCAGGCCGGTGCTCAGTGTCTGTCCCCTAGGAACTTGGTCTCACAGTCCTTTCAGGGGCCTAGTTCCTAGGCAGCTCTGTTACTCCTGCCCCTCCCAGGCACAAAGCAGGTGCTCCCTAAGCAGGGATTTCTCCTTCGATTCTAACCCCCAGGGAAGACCCCAATCCACCACCCTAATCTCACTTCTAATTTAAAATCCATTCTCAAGAAGGCTTCACCCTGAAATTATTAAAGAGCCTTCTGCCTGGTGCCCCATAGGGATCTCCAAATTACTCACTCACTTTTCAGTTCCACCCACAGCACCCATGGTCCCAGGAAATAAGCCAAGTGAGTGGGGGACTGTCTGCAGCCCCCAGTCTTCAGCTCTTACTAGGAAGATGACAGGAAGAGGGGGAGTTTAAGCAACTGGCACATTACAAAGAAGTCAGTTCGAAGTCAGGGGACCTTCCCATGTCCGATGTAGATGACCGATGTCGCTGTATAGGGCCCAGCCCTGCATAGGCCTTGGGCACCGCGGCCCAGGTCATCCTGCTTTGAGGAAGCCCATTGTGTGTGTTTTAGATTACCTCTGCCTGTCTGATGAAGTGAGTAAAAGGGCTCCGTTTCAGGGCCTAGGATTCCTGAGTGAGCTAATACAGGATGCCTTTGGCTGAAAAAAAAAACTTCAGTCGGCTCTATAAACTACCCCCCTTTTAAGTTTAAAAAAGGGAATGAATGTTACCATTTTTGGACATGAGCGTTCTCCCTCAAGCCCAGCCCTAACCGCACTATCCAAAGGGACGCGCCATCCTGTCCCCCCCCCACCCAAAACCCCATTCCCAGATCAGCCTGGGGGTGGGGAGGGTATGAAACGGGGAGGGACCGGATGGAAGTGGGCAGCCGGGAGGAGGGGGAGGGAAAGGGGTATTCAGGGTACGTGGCCGCCTGGGGGCACAGGCTCACCGCGCAGGCAGGAAGCAGCGGTAGGGTTGAGGCGCCCTCCCCCCACCACCACGAGTGGTTTCTGACCTCTTCCTGCCACTGGCCACTGTGCCCGGGTCCCATCGCCAGCTCCGAGCCCAGCTCCCGTGGCGGGGCGCGCACCCGGCACACCGCGCCTGCCTGGGATGCAGCTCCGTGGCTAAGTAGGGATCCCCAGTGACTGGCCCCAAATATCCCCTAAGACTGACCCTCGTTCTGCAGCCCCTCAACTCGAACCGAGCTGCCCACCTTTCCCGGGGGTCGGAGGGGCAGGACGTAGCGCAAGCCCATGTCGGGGTTACAGCTTCCAACCCACTGAGTTAAGCAATAAAACGGTCTGCTGTCCTGACCCCGCCCCCACAGGGCCCGCGGGGGAGCCCGCGTACGCCCCCCAGTTTTCTCGTCCCCAGCCGCACTCCAGCTGGTCCTTCTCCAGGCAGATCCGGAGGCGGCCGCCGATCTCTCCGGCGCTCTCCCCTCCGCCTAAGGGGCAGCAGGGTCCCGGGAGGCCCGCCGCTCAGGTTGAACCCAGGGCGGCCCAGGAAGCGGCGCTGCCACCGCACGCCATATGGAGAGGTGGCCAGGGGCGGAAGAAAAGGGAAAATCGATCCGGAGCAAGCAGCCCCGAGCCGGGGTCTCAGCCCCAGCCTGAAGACCACCGCCCCCGAGCACAGCCCACGCGGGGATGGTTGCAACAGCCGCAGGGTGGCCTGGACCACGGACCCCCAAGGAGACCTGCCCGCCAGCGGCGCCACCTCCCCGCGCTCCGGCCCGGCGTTCCCGGGCTCCGGGGCAGGGGCGCTCCCGCTTCCGCCAGGCGCCTGTAACCCAACACCCCACCTCGCAACGGCCGCACCGCCCCCGCCCCCTCCCGTGCGCGCCCGGAACCGGTTCAGAGCCCGGAGCCGAGAGCCCGGCAGGCAGAGCGGGTCGGGGCTGGGGGCTGGGGGCTGGGGGCTGCAGCGGGCGGGGGCGGCTGCTAACCTTTCTCTGCTGCTTCTCCCAGGCCGGGTCCAGGAGCAGGTCCCGGTCCCAGTCCTCTTCTGGCTGCATGTAATCGTTGGTTTGCTGAGAATCATAATGGTCCATGATGGTGCGCGCGTGCTAGGGTCTGGATTTCTTCCTCCACCTTCTCTCTGAGCAACGGCTGCTGCCCTGGCGTGGGGAGGGAGTAGGGCTGGGCTGGGCTGGGCTGGCGGGGCCGGGCTCGCTCCCCTGCGCCCGGTTCCGCCGCGGCGCTGCTGGCGAAGGCTGCTACTGGCGGCGACAGCGGCGGCTGGGCTCGCGGACTGCCTGCCTCTGGGCGGGCGCTTGGACCTAATCTCCACGCACACTGAACTAGGCGGACACACTAGCGCTGCGGGAGCCGAGGCGGGCGGGGGCGGGGGGAAGGGGCAGAGCCCTCCCGAGGCTCTCCATTGGCCAGGCCGAGTTGCCCAAACTTCCCCCCATCGCCTCTCATTGGGAATTCCTGGCATCCGTCAGCCGGGCTGCGGCGCATATAGGTGGACTGGGCGGCCCCCTCCCGGCGCGCACACCCCCGCCCACTCCCGCGGTGCCCGTTCCCCCGCGGCTCATGTGACGCCAGCTTAAGCTGAACGGGACCGAAGCCGGGAGACGCCTCCCCGAGCTCGGGGACTGAGTGGCAGCGCGCTTGGGAACCCCAGGAGCCGCCGGGATTGGACCCGTTCCCCGCCACCGTTATTGCGCTCCCACGCGCGCTCCAAACCCCGGGGTGGGAGGGGGCTGGAGAAAGGACGCGAGGAAACCCGAAGAACATTCATTTTCTCTTTCCCAGGGAACCTGGGTCTGGGCAGGTCGGCACCCTAGGAAAGGGGGCGGAGTGGGGCAATGGAAAGGAATTTCTTGGGAATTTCACGACTCCACCGCCGCCCCCCCCGGCCCCGCCCCACCCCACCCCACCCTACAAGGCGCGACCCGGCTGATCCCTGCCCTGCAGGAACCCGGTTTCTCGCCAGCGAACTGCTCTCAGAGGCTACCGAGCGTTCCCGCCTCGCCGCAGGAACTCTTCTAGCTCGCCCTCGGGCTCTGGGGACCGCTCCACAGCGGGGCCTCCCGGAATTCCCTGCCGGTCTCCGCGGGCACACTTGGCTGGCTGCTGCGACCAAAACTACCTTCGCGTGGCAGGGTCCTCCCTCCTCCTCACAGACACCCCGACATCACCCTCAAAACTGGAAGGGACAACCCCGAGTGATCTAGGTAAATCTACTCCGTACCCCCCTCCCACATACACACGCCTGACAGATGGGGAAACTGAGGCTCAAAGAGCCGAGCGCGGAAAGAGCTTCTGGACTTCACAGGCCAATCCGGTAACCTTATGCCTGACAAACAAAACCTTATTGTCATTGGAGGAGGATGGAGGGCGGGAGTGACTAAATAGCTCTAACTTCTGCTTGCCACCTGCCAGGACTCCTTTCCCTGGGCTTAGTAAGAGGAGAGTCTAAACGCGCTAATGCCCGGGAAGGAGCAGGCCTCGCGTTCTGGCAGGCTCCTCTATGGGATCCCGGTTCCGAAGAACAGTAGCAAATAAACCTCTCCTAGGTTATGCACTGTCTTGTGAACAACAGATGTGCCAGTCTTCCACCCCAGCACCCAGCACATAGTAGAGCTTAATTTATGGATTTGAGGCTGGCCACGGTGGCGGTGGCTCACACCTGTAATCCCAGCACTTTGAGAGGCTGAGGCGGGCAGATCGCTTGAGCCCAGGAGTTGGAGACCAGCCTGGCCAACGTGGCAAAACCCCGTCCTTACTAAAAATACAAAAATCAGCCGGGCATGGTGGTACACGCCTGTAGTCCCAGCTACTTGGGAAGCTGAGGCGGGAGACTCCCTTGAGCCTGGGAGGTCGAGGTTGCAGTGAGGTGCATTTTCACCATTGCACTCCGGCCTGGGTGACAAAACAAGACTGTCTCAAAATATATACATACATATATGCATTTGGCCCTTTATATCCACAGGCTTCAGAACCCGCAGATACCCAGGCTGACTGTGAGGGACTTGAGCATCCTCAGATTTTGGTATCCATGGGGATGCTGAAACCAATACCCTGCCAATACTAAGGGAGGACTGTATTTGTAGGATGAATGGCTGCATCAACTGCAAAAATTTAAATTTAAATTTAAATTTAAAATGCAAATATGTCAATTCAGAAGTGAGTGAAGGAGTTAGAAGAAGAAGTTCACTGACAGGAAGGGCCCTGAATTATGGGCTGGATTTTGTCCTCTACCTTCTCTCCAGGCGATGGTGGATACCTGAAAGCCACCCATGGAAAAGGTGAAGAAAGTGCCCCCTGGTTCTCAGAAGAGCCACTGCTGCTGTTGTGAGCAGATATCGGATGGTGTCTCTGGCTGCATCATTCGTCAACCACACATATTCATATGAGTGTTACCCTCCAGCACTGTGCCTTCCAAAAGCCCCTGGCTGAGGAAGCACTGCTTCTGAGCCACAGAGACAGCTGATTTATGGACCATTTTATCACCGCTTCTAAACTGTGGCTCTAAACCTAACACAGAGGGTAATGGTAGTGCTGTATCCATTCATTCACCCAATAAATATTTGCTGAGCACCATCTGCATATCAGGGAATGTACTAGATGTATACAGAGATGAAAAAGCCATAGTCCCTGTCGCACACAGCCCAGCAGACAGACACAGAAACAAAAATATGATGTCATGAGTTAGACGCAAGGAGAGAGATCTGACAAGTGTACTGTTGGAACAGATGAGGGGCACTGAACCCCGTGGGAAAGGAGGCTCCAGGCTTAACTTTTTGGAGGAGGTGAAACTTAAGTGAACGTTAAAGAATGAGAGTCAGCCAGATAAAGAGTGTGGGAAGTTACTCCAGAAGGAAGGACCAGCACAAGCTAATGCACAAGGACAGGAAACTGCATGGTATACAAAGGAATGTCTAGCATCTCAACGTGGCTGGACTAGAAATCCAAGGCCGGGAGGGGCAAGAGACGGGGCTAGAGAGGTGCAAAGCAGCCAGACCATGAAGGCCTCATGTGCCAGGTGGAGTGTGGATCTAAGGGGAGCAAGGCTGGCTGGAAGCTTTGACACCAGTTGCAAAGCTGTTGCAATAATCCAGGTCGAAATGGAAAAGTGTGGATAGACCAGAAATACTTAGGGGATAAAACTGAAAGACCTAGGAGTCTGGAGAAAAGATAAGTGTTTTTGTTGAGAGATCCCATGCACTTTACCTATATTAAGTTCCTCCTATGAGGTGTTTCTCTGTCTTACAGAGAAAACAAACTGAGGCTCAGAGAGGTAGTAACTAGTCCAAAATGGCACCAGTACATGTGACTCCCAGACCTGTGCCTTTAACCCCAGTGGTTCTCAACTCTAGGATATTTTAACAGCTCCCCCTCACAAGGGATATTTGTTGATGTCTGGAGTCATTTTGGGTTATCACAGCTGGTGGGTTCCTACTGGCATCCAGTGGATGCAGGTTGGGAATGCTGCTAAACGTTCTACAATGGATAGGACAGCATCCCCACAACAAAGAATTATCCAGGCCAGGCATGATGGCTCATGCCTGTAATCCCAACACTTTGGGAAGCTGAGGCAGGTGGATCGCTTGAGGTCAGGGGTTCGAGACCAGCCTGGGCAAGGTGGCGAAAACCCGTCTTTACCAAAAATACAAAAATTAGCTGGCCATGGTGGTGTGAATCTGTATTCTCAGCTACTTGGGGGGCTGAGGCAGGAGGATTGCTTGAGCCCAGGAGGTCAGGGCTGCAGTGAGCCATGATTGCACCATTGCATTCCAGCCTGGGTGACAGAGCAACACTCTGTCCAGAAAAAAAAAAAAGAAAGAAAGAAAGAATTAACCAGCCAAATATGAAAGAAAGAAAGAATTAACCAGCCCAAAATATCAAGAGTGCTGAGGTTGAGCAATCCTGCTTTAATCATGAGTTTATAGTTTAGATGATCTGGGGAATGGTGGCACTATGACCAATTAAGATAGAACAGAAAAGGAAAATATTTAGGAACAGAATCATGGATTGAGTTTGAACACATTGAATTTGGAGTGCTCTTAGAATGTCCAGATTCCATAGACCAGCAGGCAGTTTGACTGCATAGCCCTGACCTCAGGCAAAACAGAGTTGAGAGTCATCTGCATATGGATGATATTAACACCAGGAGACCACCCATGAAGAATGCCCAGGTGGACATGAGAAGAGGGCAGAACCCTGGAGAACAACACTTAGAAAGGGACAGCAAAGAACAAGAACCCCTGAAGGAGACAAAGAAAATGGTCATCCAGGAACGAGGAGGGCCTGGAGTATATGACGTTGAGGAGGTCAAAGGAGTAAGGTTTCAAAGTAAGAGGAATTGGCAATATCAGATATATTCAAAAAGTCTGGAAAATAAGGCCTAAACAGTGTTCTTGGATATGACAGTTGAAAATTCACTGGTGACCTTGGCCAATGGAATTTTGGCAGAGTGGCAAAAGCTGTAAGTTTAAAGAGACATTAGGAGTGAATAAATGGAGACTGAATATAGAGGGGAAAAAGAAGTAGCTAAAGGGGCAATAGCTAGACGCAAGTACTGAGATCAAAGGAAGATTTCTTTTAAAACTGGAAAATGTGAGCTGTTTGAAAAGAAGAATTCAGTTAAGAGGAAAAAGTTGAAAATGTAAGCTAAAGAAAGTTAAGGGAGCCAGGTGGAGTGGCTCACGCCTGTAATCCCAGAACTTTGGACGGCCAAGGCAGGTGGATCGCTTGAACTCAGGAGTTCGAAACCAGCCTGGGTGACATGGTAAAAACCTATCTCTACCAAAAATACTAAAAATTAGCCGGGCGTGGTGGAGTGCACCTGTGGTCCCAGCTACTTGGAAGACTGAGGTGGGAAGATTGCTAGAGCCTGGGAAGTCTAGGCTGCAATGAGCCACGATTGGGCCACTGCACTCCAGCCTGGGTGACAGAGCCAGACACTGTCTAGAAAAAAAAAAGGAAAGTTGAGGGATAGCACAAAGTTCTTGAGGAGATAGGACCATATGGGTTCAAGGACACAGGCTAAGGGATGGGCCATTGAACAAGAAGAAAGACCCTCATCTGGCTGGGTGAGGTGGCTCATGCCTGTAATCCCAGCATTTTGGACGGCCAAGGCAAGCGGATCACTTGAGCCCAGGAGTTCAAAACCAGCCTGGCCAACATGGTGAAACCCCATCTCTACTAAAAATACAAAAATTAGCCAGATATGGTGGTTTACACCTGTTGTCTCAGCTACTTGGGAGGTTGAGGTGGCAGATCGCTTGAGCCCAGGAGGCAGAGGTTGCAGTGAGCTGAGATCGTACCACTGCACCCCAGCCTGGGTGACAGAGCGAGACTCGGTCTCAAAAAAAAAAGAAAAGAAAAAAAAAAAAAGAAAAGAAAGACCCTCATCTGAGCCTGAGGAAAGAAAAGGGGGAGTTATGATGCGTGAGGATGCCCACAGTGTGTGGGAAGACGGTAAGGAAGTAAGTTGAAACAATAACTGATGAACTTATCTTCTCAATAAGGGAGGTCCTGAGATGGACCAAGGTAACAGACTGACCCATCTTCTCACTCATGGCCACCACCCTGTGAAATGATACTGGGGACTTTAGTCTCAGTATAAGACAACCTTTACTAAATACAAAAAATTAGCCAAGCATGGTGGCGCATGCCTGTAATCCCAGCTACTCGGGAGGCTGAAGCAGGAAAATCACTTGAACCCAGGAGGTGGAGGTTGTGGTGAGCTGAGATCACACCATTGCACTCCAGCCTGGGCAACAAGAGTGAAACTCCATCTCAAAAAAAAAAAAAAAAAGAACTGGATTGACACATGAGGTGACATAAAGAAGGGAGAGTGCCAGCCCCATGCCTGGCATGCAGCAGGCCACCTCAATGCTCATGAATTTCTTTTCCACCCTGCTATGGGTGACTGACCATGTGAGGCCCTGTGGGGAGACATAGACACGTAGGATCTGCAAGATTCTGGAAACTAAAAGCACTATGGACCTCCCACCTAGATATCTGGCCATTGCCTTCCTTGTATCCTGAGTTCTTCTCTAACCTTACAGCCTAATGGTGATAGGCTCCTATGAGCTCTTCCTAAGAGCCCAGGGCATGGTAGTCATTAGAGTGTTTGTAGAATGCTAGAAGGAGGTAGGAAATAAATCACTATAGTTTTTTGGGTTTTGGGCTTGGGAAATCAGAAACCTCAGTTTTGTCCCCAGTCCCAGTAGCAATATAGTTAATAGACTCCTCTTCCCCAAACGCCCATAGCATACCATTTGTAACTAAGAGAGTATACTTTGCTTTATTTTAGTCCTTTGTCCATTTTTTCTCTCACACTGCCTTTATGAAGCCTCAACCCTGTTCTTTCCCCCACTCAGTGTAACACAGGGCCTAGGACACAATAAGTGTTCCAGTTCAATATTCATGAAATGAAAAATGGCATTAGCCAAATTCCATCTCACTGCCTGTTTCTCCATCAATCCATGGGAGGCTTGGGGAGGCCAGTCCTTTGCCATGGTCCACACAAGCATTTCCCAAATTCTTGGGCCTCCTGAGAAGCTCATGAAGCCCATGGTGGTGAAATTGAGTTGGCTGTCCCTACTCCGATGCCCCAGCCAGCAGCACTCAGCCATCACCCACCAGGATGAATTCCTCCACACCAGCTTCTGCTTCACTGGAACAGTTTGCCCTAGGGTCAATTCCTCTCTCTCCCACCAGAGACCAGTGAGGCAGGGCAGGAGACACTCAGCAGTTTCCCTCGTGCGGGATCTCTAATAAGAGGCTGGCAGAAAAGTTCCTGTGCTTCCCATCCTCTGCCCAGCTCTAGGGTCTCAGGTGAGAGAATATCTGGCCTGTCTGGTTCACTCTTTTTTTTTTTTTTTTTTTTGATAGAGTTTCACTCTTGTTGCCCATGCTGGAGTGCAATGGCATGATCTCAGCTCACTGCAACCTCTGCCTCAAGCAATTCTCCTGTCTCAGCCTCCCAAATAGCTGGGATTACAGGCATGTGCCACCACACCAGCTAATTTCTTTCTTTTTTTTTTTTTAAGTAGAGATGGGGTTTCACCATATTGGTCAGGCTGGTCTCGAACTCCTGACTTCAGGTGATACACCCTCCTCGGCCTCCCAAAGTGCTGGGATTACAAGCACACACCACCGCGCCAGGCCAGGTACACTCTTTTCCCTAGTGATCAGGCATATTTATCTCCCCCAGATACCCAGGGTAAACCAACCTGGACCATCAGAAATCTCTACCTTAGATGGCTACCTTGAGGTCAGCTCTGGGAGCAGAGCTAGTCAGGCTTGAGAGCTGCCCAGCCTGGGCCCTCCAAGGAGGGCTGGGAGCTCTTCCCCATCTGTCTCTTGTTCCCAGCAAAAATCAGAGCAACACACCCAAATCACAGCTGAGAATGTGAAGACCTAAATAAACGGAAAGCTGATTTATTATGTTCACAGATTGGAAGAATCAGTAACCCCCAATTTGATGCCTAACCCTCCACCTCCCCCACAACACAGCATTGGCCTTACCAATTACAGCAGCCACTAGCTGAAAAGCCACTCTGTCCAGATCATTTCCATGGAAATGATGGGATAGCTTTCAGGGGCAGATATCCTTATGTGAGAAGCAGGACAAGGCAAGGAGACCTGAGCTCGCTGGGCTTCAGTTTACTTATCTGCAAAATGACAGGGCTGGATTCACCAGACAGTCTTTAAGCTCCTGGTAATAAAGTTCTGAGCACTGTTCTAAGAATGTCTTTCTGCAACTCCTCCTTTTTATCTCCAGTGAGAGGATGATTTGAATCTTCTGAAACAATGTTTCTCTATCTTGAATACTAAGCAAGTTCCTTTTGAAAGGATACAAATCCTCACAAAGTTACTTAATTTTTATTTTAATGTTCCTTAAATGTGTATGAACATAAAACTAGGCACAACACTTCTTAACATTTGGGGTTTACAATCAACTACAAAATGAAAACAAGCTTACAAATTCTATTTAAAAGAAACTATAAAACCAGTAAGATTCAAATTAGCCACACTAATTTAAATGTAACTGTTGCTATTTGCTGAAACAAAATTGCTACTCCCAGCATGATTTAATTCTGACTGTGATCAAGCAGGTGGTTCTTTCTGCGTTGGGGATGCCTATATCACCACGTGCCAGGCAATGACTCAATTCTCCTACCACTTTCTCTATTTGAACTACTGCATCAGGGCATCATTTAACCTTCACTTGATTGGAACACACTGTAATGAATCAAGTTCCCTCTGCTGTTTTCTCATTAGCACTGAACAATTAAAGTTAAAAAAAAATTTTTTTTTGATCTTTGTACCAACAGGATCCTTTGCTCAAATTTCAATGTCCTTATCTATAACACAGAGAGAATCACCTCCATCCCACCTACCTCACAGGATGGCTGTGCACATTCATTCATTCAGTCAACTATTTTTTATTGAGTATCTACTATGTGCCAGACACTGTTTTGCCACAGATGATGTAGCAGTGACCAGAATGGATACAAGTCCCTACCTCATGGAACTTACATTTCAACTGGGAGAGCCTGGTAAGAAAATAAAGAAGTAAAATAATATGATAGTGTTAAGCTCTAAGGAAAGAATGTATATATAAAGCAGAGAAGGGGAATTGAGAATTTGGGGAGAGGTAGAGGGAGGTTACATATTTTAAATGGGGTGTTCAGGGAAGGTTTGTTGAGTAGGTAACATTGAAGACCTAAAGGGGTGAGAAAACATGAGCATTCCAGGAGCAGCCAAGAGGTCACAGTAGCTAGCAAGAAATAATGCACATGAGACACACACTGAAAAGTACAATGCAAATGTGGGTCTAATAGATAACTGCTGTTTTGCTGCCCAGCAACCATTTCCCCCTCCTGGCAACCATACCTTGATATTCCTCTGGGAGGGCACTTCCCCTGCTCCAATCCCTGGGCTTCAGGGAGAGTTGACCCCACCCCTAGTCAACAGGGCTGGGCAAATGACAGGCCTAGCCAATCAGAGCACACGATTGGCTTAGGGCATGGGACCCAGTCTGAATGAAGGACACACAATGAAACTTTTTTTTTTCCTTTGAGGCAGGGTCTCTGTCTTGTCTTTGAGGGTCTGTCACCCAAGCTGGAGTGCAGTGGTGCTATTATGGCTCACTGCAGCCTTGACTCCCTGGGCTCAAACAATCCTACCACCTCAGCCTCCCGAGTAGCTGGGATTACAGGCATGCACCACCATGCCCAGCTTATTTATTTATTTATTTATTTGTTTGTTTGTTTAGAGACAGAGTCTCACTCCGACACCCAGGTTAGAGTGCAGTTGTGCCATCTCAGCTCACTGCAACCTCCACCTCCTGAATTCAAGCGATTCTCCTGCCTCAGCCTCTGAGTAGCTGGGATTACAGACATGTACCAACATGCCCAGCTAATTTTTTGTGTGTTTTTAGTAGAGACAGGGTTTCACCATGTTGGCCAGACTGGTCTCAAACTCTTTATTATTATTAATTTTTTTTTTTTTGAGACTTTTCTCCTCCAAGATCCTCCCTCTCTTCATGTAAGGTGAAGGGGTGGAATTGCTACAGTCCTACCAAGCAATGCTCAGTGAGATCTGAGATGACTCTAGACAGGAAAGGGCAGTCCAAACTCCTGTGGGGCCTAGTAACTGTTCAGGAGCCCAGAGCCCAGGGCCCCACTCCACCTGGCATGCTGCATGCTTGGTGACCAAGGCAGGCCTCTGCCCTGAACTGAGTGAGTGCCTACTCTCTGTGGCTGGTCCAGCCTCTCAGGGTGGAGAGTCCTGCACTCAAAAAGATGCTGAGATGAGCTTTTACACCATGGGACTTACCCTGCACATATTCAAGTTAAATTTCAGCTGCCATCCTTGCCTGAGTCCCAGAGGAGATCAGTTTCATCTGGAGTTTCTCATAGGCCGCCCCCCACACCTTGGCCTTGGCCAGCTGAAAAGTGTTTAGATCAATAGCAAGCCTCATCAACTCTTTTCCACCCCCAACCCTTACTAAGTGCATCAGACAACAGAAGCCCCAGGGCTGACCTTTGCAGCATCCATTGTCATAGCAGTTATTACAGACACAAATAATAGGTAGTATAATAATCTGTGGTTAAATGTCCTTTAACCAGAGGGCTCAGAGCACTCTGGGAACATTACCTCATGCCCCTCCTGACACTCCTGCCCACATGCCTTTTCTTCAAGACCCTCAAGTCCCTCTTCCAGCCTCCTGCCTTCTGGAAAGCCCTCCTCCACATTTCCTCTAACTCCATCTCAGCACAGCTTAACAGCATGGTTCCCAGGTCTTACCCAGGAGCTGCCCTGAGTGACAGCCTCATGGAGGAAGTTGTTCAGGTCTCAAAGATCTTCTTATCTCCCACCATGGCCTATAATCCTGAGCATGTCCCATCACTGACCTATTTTCTATATGCTCAGAAGCAAGAATTATTAACAGTGGATGTGTTGAAGTGTTTTCAACTACTAAAAATGGGGGAAATAAGATAAATATAATTTTGAAGCTGGTAAGGGGCTTGCTGCAGTTGTCGGTCCTCCCCATTTCTGGTTGGCCACAGGTGCAATTTGCAGACATCATCTGCAAATAAAAGCTTTCTTACAAAATTCTTTCCCTTAAGGTACATGTAAACTTGGTTTGTTGGATGCTGCTATTCGTTTCTTTCTTGCTTTCTTTCTTCTGCTTCTTTCTTCCTTTCTTTCCTTCCTCCCTTTTTTCCATCATCTAAAAATCAGAATTCCTTTGAGCTGGAGCTGAAAAAAAAGAATGAATGAATGAATAAATAAATAAGAAAAAAGAAAGAAAAATCAGATTACATTTGCTGTCATACCAGAACTACCCAGTCTATGGCCAAGAAAAAGTTAACCTATCCCCCCACTGGGAAACTCTAAAACATTTTAGGAGCCACAGAAGATCACAATGTGTGGACCCATCAAACAGCTTTTCTTGAATTGCTTTGGAAATAAACCTGCAGGGAGGAGGCAATTATCTGGAATGAGAAAGGAATGTACAAGGAGGTGGGGAGAGAAATGGAGATTAAAAAGACCTAGTCTTTTTCATATCCAGAGGCACCTGACTTAGAAAAAAAAATAAGTCAAAATAAAAAATAAAAAAAAGACCTAGTCTTTTTCATATACAGCCTTCTCTCTGAAACAATGGTTGTGGCTTGACAGCAAAATGGAAATAATGTGGGTTCTGAAATATTTTCAACTCTTTAAAAAGGAAAGGACTGGCCAGGTGCAGTGGCTCACGCCTGTAATCCCAGCACTTTGGGAGGCCGAGGTGGGCAGATCACCTGAGGTCAGGAATTCGAGACCAGCCTGGCCAACATGGCGAAACCCTGTCTCTACTGAAAATACAAAAATTAGCTGGGTTTGGTGGCACGCATCTGTAACCCCAGCTACTCAGGAGCCTGAGGCAGGAGAATCGCTTGAACCGGGGAGGCAGAAGTTGCAGTAAGCTGAGATCGTGCCACTGCACTTCAGCCTGGGAGACAGAGTGAGACTCCATCTCAAAAAAATAATAATAAAAATAAATAAATAAGGAAAGGACTGTAGAACAGGGAAGGCCAGTGCCTGTGTTTAACTCATCTGTGAATATCCATTTGCGTAGCTCCCTGTGAAAGAATCAGAGATTGTAGATCCAGGCATATACTGGACGAGGTGGGGAGGGGGCTGAAGTGGGAGCTCTACCTGGACAAGATGAGCTGCAGAATGCACGAAACATGGGGAGAATGGAGCGGGCAAGGAGAGCAGAGCGAGAATGAGCAAAATCCAGGTGCTGCTGTTAGAGAGGTAAAGGCAGTGCACACCTGAGTCATGTCAATGGCCCATCATCAGGAGAGCACGCTTTAATCCAAAGCTAAATTGGGAAGAACCTAGAGCCCAGAAGAGAAACACTCTGTTTTTTCAGGCTTCTCAGGGGCTGGAGACAGCTAATCATGAGTCTAGGAGTAGCCCCTTGAGGGTTGGGTTCTCAAGGAGGGTCCTGTGCTTGAGAAAGGGAGTTCCCAGAAAAGGCTATATAATTTAATAAATTAAACTCACTTTCAAGTCTTGCTCTACCAAGGACACTGACACTGACCTTGAACAAGCCATAGAACTTTTTTCAGGGCTGGCCACATATGCAGTGGCTTTGACGTGAACATTTTCTTATCTGTAAAATGGGAAGATTAGCAATATCTGTGAGACAAGGTGTATTAGGGTGCTTCTGAGAAACAGAACCAATGGGATGTGTGAGGGAGAGATTTCTTTTCTTTTCTTTTCTTTTTTTCTTTTTTGAGACAGAGTCTCACTCTGTCTCCCAGGCTGGAGTGCGGTGGTAAGATCTCAGCTCACTGCAACCTCTGCCTCCCAGGTTCCAGCGATTCTCCTGCCTCAACCTCCCAAGTAGCTGGGATTACAGGTTCGTGCCACCACACCTGGCTAATTTTTGTATTTTTAGTAGAGACAGGGTTTCGCCACGTTGCCCAGGCTGGTCTCGAACTCCTGACCTCAGGTGATCCACCCGCCTCGGCCTCCCAAAGTGCTGGGATAACAGGCATGAGCCACTGCATCTGGCCACATCTCTGTGTTTTCTAATTTGCTGCTTCTAGTCTGCCCAGTTTGGTAACCAGATAACCAGGCTTGTTAGGAAGGCGTGGAAGAAAGGGAGAGGTATTAAATCGACCAATTCAATGTACCTCCAAATTCAAATTGGAGCCCCGGAGGCAAATTACAAGGAGGCAGATTTTGGCTCAGGCTAAGAACTGAGGCCATGTCTTCATGACCAGCCTATGTACCACACACGATGAGCAGTTTGTGTAAATTTTTATTGAGTATGCCTAATTTTGCCCACCTCGAGGACTTACCTAGTTTAGTTGACTTTGCTACAAATAGTTTTTGGCTGTTTCCAGAAGTCAAATCCATTCCCAAGAGTTATCTCAGTGCCACTTCCTATAATAGCAAGTTCCCTAACCTCTCTGAGTTACCCAGCTTCCTGCCTATGAAGGTCTTGGTGATCACTCATTTGCCACACTGTGGAGAGATTTCAATGAAATAATGAAAGAGTGTGACAGCTCTGGATTGCACTGGCTGAAACTGATCAAAGCTATACCCTTACGACGGCAGTGAGATCTTAAAGGACTGCGTTCATTCCCGGCTCTGAAAGTCATTCTAACCCTGGTTTTGAAGTCAGATGACCTGAGTTCAGCCTTATCACCCAGTAGCGATGTGACTCTCTGAACCTCAGTTTCCTCATCTGTTATTGAGGCTGTGAAGGTCAAATGGGCTAATACCCATAGGCCCCTTAGCACAGAGCCTAACATTTGGCAGACGCTCCATAAATGTTGATACCTTTGTTAATTACCCTTGAAATAAACCTATAGCCTACGTAGGTGATGATTTTGAAGGGAATGCTTATTTGGATATGTAAGTCTGGAGCATTTGTTATGAAACCAGCCCACCAGTCTGTGGTCATAGCTCACCCATAGGTTCTTTGACTTCCATTCAAGTCCAGGTCCCGGGCTCTGGGAGTTCTGCTCCTGCAGAGCTTGTCTGGATGTGAGAACAGAAGCCAAGGGAAGTATTTGCTTTGCAACAAAATAAAACAGGGGACAAGGATGCATTTCTGGAGGCGCTCACCATTTTACAGAAAGGAGTCATCTGTTTCTCATAAGGTGGGGTGTGGGAAGTGGAATCTATTCTCCTGGCCTGTCTGGAGTAGCTCCTTACTAGTCTGGCCACAGCTCCTGCAGGTCAGGACCAGGCCCCACCACAGCCAGGGCTACACTTTGAAAACGGACTTGAATTTCTTTTGGGTCTTCAAAGGTTAGGCTGGAAGCCTCTCCAGTTGCTCCCATCCTCTCCTCCATAACTGAATGGATATGTGTGCGCCTGGATGTGTGAAAGCACGGAAGAGTGGGAGGACATTGTGGGGGAAGGTGTCCAGGTGAGGCCTCAGTTCCTGGCTCTGGAAAAGACTACATTCACCCTGAATTAACTTTCTAAAGGCTTTTTAAGCTCTCCAGTTCCTCTCTGTGGGACTCAAGAAATCACTTTCCTGATTCAGCTGAAAGGACCAGCCTGGTTGCAGAAGCACCCACGCAGAACCACATCTTGGACCATTATTAAAAAGGAAAAGGTGGCTGGGCATGGTGGCTCACAGCTGTAATCTCAGCACTTTGAGGGCCTGAGGCAGGCATATTGCTTGAGCCCAGGAGTTTGTGACCAGTCTTGGCAACATAGCAAAACCTCATTTCTAAAAAAATTAGCTGGGCATGGTGGTGTGCACCCGTAGTCCCAGCTACTCAGGAGGCTGAGATAGGAGGATCGCTTGAGCCCAGGAAACAGAGGTTGTAGTGAGCCGAGATCACAACATTGCACCCAAGCCTGGGTGACAGAACAAGCCCTGCCTCAAAAAAGAAAAAGGTGGGAGGTGGGGAAAGGTGCTTTTCTATAGAAGTTTTGTTTCTACCTTTTGAGGCTTCGAGTTTATGATTTGTTCCTAGCATATCACCATTTCATTCAATTTCACTTCAAAAAACAAAAAAGGCACCCACAGTTTAGAGTTTTTATTTTCTTCCTTTATTTATTATTTTGCATTTATTTTGTTTTTTATTGAGTCAAGGCATGGACTAAGCGAGGTTCAGAAGCCCTACTGAATGCTGATGTTCCCAAATGCTTCCCTTAGGCTTCTTGATGCTGAGGGGGACAGATCATGGTAAGTGAGGCAGGAAAGCCCCCTCCCCACCCACCACCCACTCCCCAGCCATTCAGTCCCCACCCCTACCCCCAGTAGAAGGGAAGCCAGCTGGTGGAGGTGGGGTGGGGAAAGTGGAGTTGCCACAGCTTGTTGCAAATGGAAGATGGATGTCAGCGGCTGTCAGTACCACATCTCTCAGCAGCCTCAAATTACTGCCCCAGGATTTATATGAAAAGAGATGGGAAGTGTGGAGAGACAGAACTCATAATACTTGCAGGTTAATAAGGATTGTGTGTCTGCTTCCCTGAGGAACTCCTGACCTCATTGTTATGCCTCGGAGGGCCAAGGGAAGGTCTGGTCAGGTGGGCTTATCTGCCTTTGCCAAGAATGCACTACCCTCCCAGAAGAGGACAGGAATCTAACATTTCATGAGCTCGTCCCATGAGCCAACATTGAGCTAAGAGCATCACACATTCTCTCATTAAATATTCACCACAAACATGTGCAATACGTGTTATTATCCCAGAGGAGGGGCACCTGAGACTCAGGCTGTACATTGGACAGAATAGGTTAGGTTGTGCTGCAGTAACAAACAGTTCTAAGAATCTCAGTGGTTTTACACAACTGGTGTGTATTTCCCCTTCACACAGCCACCTTCCAAGCAGGGACTCAGTGATCCTGGTTGCTGTGATCTTTGGGTCTCCCAGTGTCAACACAAGGCCTCCTCTACAATTGCCATGAGAGGGGAAGAGAGAGAATGGAGAATCATGCATGAGTGTGTTTCACTAGCCTGGAAGTGAACTTCATCTATCATTTCATTGGTCAGAACTAGTCCACATGGCTCTACTCAACAGCAAGGGAGCTGAGAGGTACAGTCTCCCATGTGCTGGGAAGGGGAGGAGGTCTATTGGTGAACCAAGTTCTGCCTAAAGCCAAAGCCCGAGGTCTGTCCATGACACTCAGGGCCAATGAGAGGAATCCCTTCCTTCCAGCCTCAGCCAGCAAGCATTGTGTGAGAGTGTCCCTTGAGTGACTTTGCTGGGCACACTTGAAGTCATCACATTACAGCTGTAGGCCCTTGTTGTTCCACAAAACCCCACCATCTTCAAAGCTTTTTAATTGTACATTGGTTCACCAAATCCCCAAAACACCACAAGGAAGTGGGCAGGGCAGTTATTCATAGGCCCCCTTTTCTAGCTCAAGAAACTGAAATCAGGAAGGTTACGAGACTTGACATGCTCAGGGCTAGCAATTGAAACACCCAGACTATAACCTACGTCTTTGAAAGCTTCCCAATACATCCAACTTTCTGTAATTTTAGAATCTGAAAAGACCACTCTTTCCCTCAAAAAATATCTCTTTGACCACCTTGCTAATGCCTAAAATTCCACCATTGAAATGCCATGCCTTCGGTGGACCCTCCTCTACAGGAAATGAAAGTAAGAGGGAAGTCATCATTAATGTGCATTAAACAATTAAACTATAAAATCAAATAACCTTAAGTTCAAAAACATTTGAGATAGAATTTAGAGAATGTGCTGTTTTATGATAACCTCAAAAAGAAAAAGAAAAAAAAGAATTTAGAGGCCGGGCACCGTGGCTCGCACCTGTAATCCCAGCACTTTGGGAGCCTGAGGCAGGTGGATCACAAAGTCAAGAGATCGAGACCATCTTGGCTAACATGGTGAAACCCTGTCTCTACTAAAAATACAAAAATTAGCTTGGCGTGGTGGCAGGCACCTGTAATCCCAGCTACTCAGGAGGCTGAGGCAGGAGAATCGCTTCAACCCAGGAGGTGGAGGTTGCAGTGAGCCGAGATTGCACCACTGCACTCCAGCCTGACGACAGAGTAAGACTCCATCTCAAAAAAAAAGAAAAGAAAAGGAAAGAAAGGAAAGAAAGAATTTAGAGAACAGAGAGATCAGAGTGAAAGGTCCAGTCAAGGCAGGCTCTATTGAGAATCTGCTGGCCCTGGTGAGATGTGGATGGAAGATGGAAACTCTAAAGTCCCTTTTCTCATCCTTTTGACCCCTGCATCCCACTCCTCAGGGATAATGACTGCTAACAGTTGGTCACATGATATATATTCATTTTGGAAAGGGAAACTCCATTCCAGATGACAATTCCCTCCCAATTCTCTTTCCTCTATTCTATCCTATTGCATTCAAAAATCTGCAGAGTGCCTTTCTGTTTACTATTTTGTTTAATTCTGTGAGCAATTCTACTAGGAAATTGAGAGGTTGGGTGGATCTCTCTTCCTGTATGACAAAAAACTGAAACCTACCGAGGCTAAAGTAACTTATCTAATATCAGAGCAAACCAGTGACTGAACTTGAATAAAGAAGCAAAAATGTCAAAGAGTAATAATCATCAATCTTCATGAGCATGTGGTGAAGCTGCCACATTTATAGCTACCTGATGATGTAAAAATTAGTAAATTTTGCCAGGCGCGGTGGCTCACGCCTGTAATCCCAGCACTTTGGGAGGCTGAGGAGGGCGGATCACAAGGTCAGGAGATTGAGACCATCCTGGCTAACACAGTGAAACCCATCTCTACTAAAAATACAAAAAAAAAAATTAGCCGGGCGTGGTGGCGGACGCCTGTAGTCCCAGCTACTCAGGAGGCTGAGGCAGGAGAATGGCGTGAACCTGGGAGGCGGGGCTTGCAGTGAGCCGAGATTGCGCCACTGTGCTCCAGCCTGCGTGACAGAGCAAGACTCCGTCTCAAAAAAAAAAAAGAAAAAGAAAAAGAAAAATTAGTAAATTGTGTAAAACCCACAGCTGGCCAAGTGTGGTGGCTCACGCCTGTAATCCTAGCATTTTGGGAGGCTGAATCCAGAGGATCACTTGAGCCCAGGAGTTCCAGACCAGCCCGGGCAATGTGACAAGACCTCATCTCTACAAAAAATACAAAAATTAGTCTAGCGAGGTGGCGCGTGTCTGTGGTCCCAGCTACTTAGGGGGCCGAGGTGGGAGAATCACCTGAACCTGGGAGGTCAAGGCTGCAGGGATCTGTGATCATGCCACTGCACTCCAGCCTGGGCAACAGAGTGAGTCACACACACACACAAACACACACACACACACACACACAATAAAAATAAAAAATCCAAGGCTTTATTATAAAATATTTAGTATATATAACATAATTTGTGTAATGCATATATAGTATTTAGAATAATAAAACAACATTATTTACCACCCTGCTTATTACCAATGTCCTAAAATGCTACGTCTCTTTAAGTTATAAAAATAATATGTGGCCAGGCGCAGTGGCTCACGCCTGTAATCCCAGCACTTTGGGAGGCTGGGGGGAGGCAGGGAGTGCAGATCACTTGAGATCAGGAGTTTAAGACCAGCCTAGCCAACATGGCAAAACCCCATCTCTACTAAAAATACAAAAATTAGCTGGGCATGGTGGTGCACGTCTATAATCCCAGCTACTCGGGAGGCTGAGGTGGGAGAATCACTTGAACCCAGGAGGCAGAGGTTGCAGAGAGCCAAGTTTGAGCCACTGCACTCCAGCCTGGGCAACAGAGCAAGACTCCATCTAAAAAGAAAAAAAAAAAAAGTTATGCCCTTGGTAAAAAAAAAAAAAAATCAAGTCATACAAAAGATGGAAACTTTTTAAAATTTATTTATTTATTTATTTATTTATTTTAGAAACCGGGTCTCACTCTGTCACCCAGGCTGGCGTGCTGTGGCGCAATCATAGCTCACTGCAGCCTCGACCTCCTGGGCTCAAGCAATGTTCCCTCCTACCTCAGCCTCCCAAGTAGCTGGGATTGCAGGTGTGAGCCACCCTACCTGGCTCAGAAGATGGAAACTTTAAAATCCCTTTACTCATGCTGTTGACCCCTGCATCCCACTCCCCAAGGATAATGACTGCTAACAATTAGCTACATGATATATATTCATTTTGGAAAGCAATCCACCAATATATATTGAAAGTCATAAATATGTTTGTAACTTCTGGTCCTATTACCCACTCCGGGAATTCATTCCAAGAAAAGACCTCCCAGTCTTCCCTCCTTTTCTATAAAAATGGTCAAGTTCATTCCCACACAAGTCTTTCTCTTTGCTGTTTTCTGTCTGGAAACCTGTTCCCCTGGATTTGCTCATGATCTGATGTCCAGTGAGGTCCAGCTCAAATGCCACCACCTCTGAGAGGCCACCCACGGTCACCTGTCTATACTTGTTCCCTCCCCCCTACATCACTGCCTTTTACTTTACCCTGCACTAATTTTTCCTTGCATCTACCATTCTCTGAGGTCACCTTGTTTAATTGCCAGTTCACTAATTTGTTCTATCTCCTCTCCTACCCCATCATAAGTCCCTTGAGAGAGGGCCTTTGTTGCCTGCCTTGCTGTCTGCTGCGCCCCCAGTACCTGGCACACAGTAAGAATGCAGGTCGTAGTTGAAAGGATATGTCTGTTCATGAAGCTACTCAAGTAAGGGATGTTATTTGACTCACCTCGAAACCCAGGCAGCTACTTCTGCAGAGAAATAGTTCTTGCAGGCTTCCAAGACCCTAAGGAACCACTGTGTGGGATGTCAGACAGGCCTAATGGCCATGCCGTCATTTCTCCCAACAGAATGGGTGCCTTTCAGATGTAGACGCAGCAAAGCCAACAGTCTGTCCTCTCTCTAAACCCTCTTTATTCTTGGCTTCTAAAACAAAGAAGAGGTAAAGAAAATCCACGGGGCCAGGGCTCTGTCAAAGAACACCCAGGCTGCACTTAATTAAGATGAATAATTTAAAGACTCTCAAGTCAGACAATGGAAACATTAAGAGTTTCCACCAAAACATAAACTTGGCCAAGTGGGCCAGGTCTCCAGAAGCCTCCAAGGACATTCTCAGAAATGGAGGGATGGTGTCTTGCTTAGCCCGGGGGTGGGGAGTGGAGTTTTGGGTGGAGAGAAGGTATGAGAAAGGAAAACCTGAATTCTCATCTGGGCTCCACAAACACATGCTAGGTTGTTTAGGCTGTGTGACTCTCCCTAACTTGTTTCCTTATAATGAAATAAAACATGTTGGTGGGGCGTGGTGGCTCACGTCTGTAATCCCAGCACTTTGGGAGGCCGAGGCGGGTGGATCACACGGTCAGGAGTTCGAGACCATTTTGCCTAACATGGTGAAACCCCGTCCCTACTAAAAATACGAAAAAATTAGCCGGGCGTGGTGGCGGGTGCCTGTAGTCCCAGCTACTCGGGAGGCTGAAGCAGGAGAATTGCCTGAACTCGGGAGGCAGAGCTTGCAGTGAGCCGAGATCGCACCGCTGCACTCCAGCCTGGGTGACAGAGCGGGACTCTGTCTCAAAACAAAACAAAACAAAACAAAACAAAACAAAAACATGCTATGTAGATTAATCAAAAGAAAAAGCAAAACCTTACATAATCCTACCATCCAGAAAGGCAGTATTTTTGTCGTGTCGCCTTGTAGTGGTTTTTTTCCTAGCATAAATATACTTTATCACAATAAAAATGTGATTTACTATATATTGCCTTACATATTGCTTTTTTCATCTAATAATATGTTGTGAACATTTTCTTATGCCATTAAATACTATTCGACATGTTTTTCTTTTTTTGAGACGAGGTCTCGCTCTGTGGCCTAGGCTGGAGTGCAGCAGTGCGATTTCAGCTCCCTGCAACCTCCGCCTCCCAGGTTCAAGCAATTCTCATGCCTCAGCCTCCCAAGTAGCTGAGACTATGGGCACGTGCCACTATGCCCTAATTTTGTATTTTCAGTAGAGACGGGGTTTCACCATGTTGACCAGGCTGGTCTTGAACTCCTGACCTCAAGTGATCCACCCACCTTGGCCTCCCAAAGTGCTGGGATTACAGGCATGAGCCACTGCGCCCAGCTTCAACATTGTTGTTTTTATGGTTGTGTAGTATTCCATTGTATGTATGTGGCTGGATCATCCAACCAATCCCCTGTCATGGGACATTTAGGTAGTTTCCAATTTTTATAAGTAGCACGGCAATGACCATTTGTTGTTGTTGTTGTTGTTGTTGTTGTTGTTGTTGTTGTTTTTAGACAGGGTCTCACTCTGTCACCCAGGCTAGACTGCAGTGGCACAGTCTTGGCTCACTACAATCTCCACTTCCCCGGCCCCAGCAATCCTCTCACTCAGCCTCCTGCGTAGCTTGGACTACAGGCATGTGCCACCACGCCCAGCTATTTTTTTGTGTGTTTTTTGTGTAGACACAGGGTGTCACCATGTTGCCCAGGGTGGTCTAGAACTCCTGAACTCAAAGCGATCTGCCCACCTCAGCCTCCCAGAAAGCTGGGATTACAGGTGTGAGCCACCAATGCCTGGCCAGCAATGACTATTTCTGAAATGGATACATGATTATTTCCTTTGAACTAATTCCCAGAAGTTGAATTTCTGTGTTAAACAGATACAAAATCCTAAGGGTTTCTATATGCAGCTTTTTTAGACAGCACATTTATTAGTTTGTAGAGCATGAATGAATATGGTCTGCTATCTTATTTTTTTGGTCTCTTCACCTCTATTTTTACTGAGCGTTGTGACGTTGAGTTAGGAACAATATACAACCTTTACATTCAAATGGGAACGCCTGCCTTCAAAGGAGCTTGTTTTTGTTTTGTTTTGTTTTGTTTTTAAAGGGAGTCTCACTGTCACCCAGGCTGGAGTGCAGTGGTGCCATCTTGGTTCACTGCAAACTCTGCCTCCCAGGTTCAAGCGATTCTCCTGCCTTAGCCTCCCAAGTAGCTGGACTACAGGTGCCCCCAGCATGCCCAGCTAATTTTTGTATTTTTAGTAGAGACGGGGTTTCCCCATGTTGGCCACGCTGGTCTCCAACCCCTGACCTCTGGCGATCCGCCCACCTTGGCCTCCCAAAGTGCTGGGATCACAGGCATGAGCCACCACACCTGGCCCTTGTATTTTAAAGAAAACTTTTTGACTTTTTGATCTGAACAAACATAAAACAAATCAATTAAACAGAAAAAAGATCAATTGATCAAATCAGCTAACAAGAGAAAATTAATAGAAGACCCCATCTTTCCTGTTTCTTCCATTGAAAACCTAGCCAGCTAATTACTTAATAATTTAATTTATCGAGTTTGCCACATAAGCATTTATATCTCATGTGCATTTTATGGCACATACTGATGACTGGCTATCTAACAGTCATTTCTAACCCCGTTCTCTATTTTCTGCTTCCTACTATAGAAAGTGAAAAAGCCAAAAATGCACTTTCTCAGGCTCCCTTGCAGCTAAGGGTGACCTGTCTTTGCTCAATGAAAACAAAGGGGATATCTGTTGCAGGAATTCTGGGAAAGTTTTTTCTTTTTCTATTGATTGGTTGATTGACAGGGTCTCACTCTGTTGCCCAGGCTGGAGTGCAGGCTGGTGCAAACTCATCTCACTGCAACATTGACCCCACTGGACTCAGGTGATCCTCCCACCACAGCATCTCAAGTAGCTGGGAATGCAGGCCCAGCTAGCTTCTGTATTTGTTGTAGAGATGGGTTTTTGCCATTTTGCCCAGGCTGGTCTGGAACTCCTGGGATCAAGCAATCCTCCCACCTCAGCCTCCCAATGTGCTAGGATTACAGATGTGAGCCATCACACCTGGCCTTGTTTGTTTGTCTTGTAGAGACAGGAGTCTTGCTGTGTTGCCCAGGCTGGTCTTAAACTCCTTGCCTCAAGTGATCCTTTCGCCTTGGCCTTCCAAAGTGCTGGGATTTGGGGAAAGTTTTTTCCCTGCCTGACAAAATGAGAGAAGTCACAAAACAAGCTCTCCTACCACCTCCCACCTGAGCTGTCTTCCCAACCTTTGAATCTCCTGTAAGTGCAGTATTCTAGGAGGCATGGCAACCATCTTTAATCATGAGGCAACAAGCCTAAGGAAACAAAACAAATCCTGACAGTGGTGAGTCCTCCACTATATCCTGGGGCTGCTGAGTCCACCTAGAGCTACCCTGGAATCTAGCTCCCAGATAAACATCTTTATGGCCTCAGGTAGTCGTTCTCAAAGTTAGTGGTTAAGTCAGCACATTATGATCCCGTGAAAAGCCTTTAAATTCCTGGTACCCAGGCCATACCCCATAGTAGTAAAATCAGTATTTCTGGGAGTGTTGGGGAGCTGCAGGGTGGTACCCAGGCATCAGCATCTTTTAAAATTCCCTAGGTAATTCCAAAGTGCAGCAAGTCTGAGGACCAGTGGCTTAAGCCAGTGCTTCTCAAACTTTAATGTGCATAGAAGTCACCTAGGAATTTTGGTAAAATACACACTGCTTCAGTAGGTCTAGGGTGGGGCCTGAGTTTCTGTATTTTTAGCAAGATCCCAGTTGATGGCAATGCTGCCAGTCCAAGGACCACACTTTGAGTAGCCAGGGTCACTGTTACCCTAAATGGACACAACCCAGCTGGTACATCCTTTTTCTGGATGCAAAAGTCACCCTCATATTTCCCAGGTGGGGCAGGAGTATCCTTCTGAGAATGCTGGGACAGCAGGAAGGGCTCCTCCCTGCCAGAGGTCCATGAGCCCTTCAGCATCACCAGTCCTCCACTGTAGCCAGTAGGTTCCTAAGTCAATGCACCACCCAGTGGTAAGGAAAGTCCCAGGTCATGAGCCTGTGGACTGCTGACATCCTGTCCGTCCTGTCCTGTGCTTGCTGCGTCAGCCAGGCCAGCTTTTCTGACCAGACCTACCCAGCCAGATTCAGCCTTCGGCTTTACCTAGAGCTCATTCTTTCTTTTGGGTCCTTCTACCACCAGCCTCTATCTCAGCTACACTCTTAGCTAGTAATCAGGAAGTAGCATTTCAGCTAGCATCTTTTTCTTTAGTTGCTATTTTCCATGATTCTAAAAAACAGCTTCCCGGCCAGGCACAGTGGCTCATGCCTGTAATCCCAGCACTTTGGGAGGCTGAGGTGGGTGGATCGCCTGAGGTCAGGAGTTCGAGACCAGACTGGCCAACATAGTGAAACCCCCGTCTCTACTAAAAATACAAAAATTAGCAGGGTATGGTGGCACACACCTGTAATCCCAGATACTTGGGAGGCTGGGACAGGAGAATCATTTGAACCCAGGAGGCGGAGGTTGCAGTGAGCCGAGACTGAGTTATTGCATTCCAGCCTGGGCAACAAGAGCGAGACTTTGTCTCAAAAAAATAAATAAATAAAATTAAAAACAGCTTCCAAAACACAAAGATGGCGATGTCTCAGGCTAGGGGGAAAAAACACAGGCAGAGCTCTCTATCTCCTAGAACACCTTCCCCTGATCAACCTCTTTCCTTCCACCCTCAGGGAGGTCAAGCCCACCTAGTGACTGACACAGTCCCTGACCACCTGATCTGCAGCTCTAAAACCTCCTCCTGAGGCCATCGGGGCCACACCCTGTCTTCTCCTCCCTCCTCCTTCATGGCCAACCAGCTTGACGGTTCCGTTTCTTTGATACTTTCTAGCAAAATCCTCCAACTAATTTGCCTGTCTTGCATCTCCATCTCCTTCCATCCCATTCTCTCCTGCACTCTCATCAGGCCTAAGTCCCCATCCCCGCTTTGCAGCTGCTGCGGTCAAAGCTGCCATGAACTTCAACTTGCCCATCTGGATGGTCTGGGGTGGTCCTCGTCTTTTGGGCAAGTCTGCAGCTTTTGGCAGAGGTCAGCGTCCCCTCTTTTTTGCCTCTGCACGAACTGTCATCAGGACACCGTTTGCCTGGTCCCACTCGCTGGCTCCTTTTCAGTCTCCTGAGCTGGTTCAACCTCCTCTTCCTGACCTCCACAAGTCGGAGGCCAAGGCTCATTCCTCACTCCTCCTGCTCTCCCATCTGTTTCTCCAGGGGACCCCGCCTCTCCCCAGTGGTCAGTTCCATCTGGAAGTGAATGAAAGGTAGGTTTCTAACCCCTAGGTGTCACCTCCTCTCCCTGACCTGCAGTGGCTTCCTGTTGGGTCTCTCAGCTCCCCCACCTGACCTCCCATCATCTGTTCTCCACATAGCATCCAGCCACCCTCCTAAACCTAAGTCATGCCACTCCTTTGCCCAAAACCTCCATGGCCTCCCATCAGACGGAGAGAAACAGGTGGACCCCACTCGTCCCAGTGACTCGGCCCTGCCTGCCCCTCACTCTGTTCACCACGGCACTCTGTTGTCCCTCCACTCAACCCCTTTGGCCTCCTTGCCACACCTCGTGTGTGTCAAGGTCCTTCTGGCCTCAGAACCTCTGTACTTGCTGTTCTTTCTGCCTGAAACACCCTTCCCCGCAGATCCGCAGGTTTCCCCATCTTACACCATTCAGGCTTCTCTCTACTCATTGCTGTCTTCTCAGGGGACTGCGCGGAACCTTCCACACTAGTCACTCCCTCTCCGAAACTTGCTGCATGCTTCTTCCTCACACTCATGGCCCAACTTGATTACATCAGATATTGGATTGTTTCTTGTCCTGCCTGCTGCCTGTTTCATATGTAAGCTCCATGAGAGCAGGGCCTTGTCTGCTTCATGCACAGCTGAGCTGCAGAGCCCAGCACAGTGCCTGCTACATAGCAAGTGTTGAATGAATAAATGAATGAACGAGTAAACAGATACATGTTGCTTGTGACACTCCGGACACATGCTGTGAGGAAGGCACCTGGGCTCAGGCTGATCTGCCTAAGGGGCTGCAGTGCCCCTCGGAGCTGCTTCCAGGGAAGCTCCTATTCCCCTGGGCCATGGCTGCTGTCCTTGTGTCTGGCTCTCAGAGATCCCCAGGCCAGCCCTGTGTGCTATTTGGATCCCGATCTCCTTCATTCCTATACCTGGGTCTCCAGAGGCCTAGGCACAGGCAAGGCTTCTTCCACCCCCAGCCCCCAGGTCAGTCTATGAACTGCGAGCACGAGGGGGACTCAACAGTCACCCACACCCTTTCCCACTTTGGTCCAGTCTCCCTGGAGGATGCTGTGAGTTCCAGCATGGTCCTTTGAGCAAGCTGAGACATCAGAGAAGCCACTGCCACAGACTGAATTATGTCTTCCATAGTTCCTACCTCGAAGCCTTAACGCTCCATGTGGCTGTATTTGGAGACAGGTCCTTCAAGGAGGCAATTACGGCTAAATGAAGTTATAAGGATGGGGCTCTGAGCCAATAGGATTAGTAAGAGGCACAAGAGAGAGTGAGCATGCTCTGTCTCTGTCTCCCTCCCTCCCCTTCCTTTCCCTCCTCCCTCTTCCCCCAGCTCTCCCTGCCCTCTCCCCATCTTCTCCTCCCTCACCACCCTCTCCCTCACAGAAGAGCTCATGTGAGCATACAGCAAGACGACAGCCACTACGAGCCAAGAGGAGAGGTCTCAGAGTGAAAGCTGCCTTGCTGGCATCCTAAACTTCCAGCCTCCAGAACTATGAGAAATCGATTTCTGGTGTTCAAGTCATCCAGTCTCTGGTATCTTGTTGTGGAAACCCGAGCAGTCTAACACACCAACCTCCAACACACCCAGCTCTAGAGGCTCCTGCTGCCACAGGGTGAGCTGGTTAACACTGGGAGGGGATTGGGGGAAGATGATAGACCGATAGATAATAGATTGATAGATATAGATAGATACTGCTCCTGTCCTTTCCATTCGCCCCCTTGAAATTCTACCCTCAGAAATTCACCTTTAAGGAATGAGAGGAATGTAGCTGCCTCTTCCAAGAGACCTCCCAGCCTCACCTTCCCTAGCCCAGATTGGTCTCTCCCTCAGCTGAGATTCATCTTCATCCTCCCGGCCCTCAGCCCTTGCCTCCTCCAGCTCCTGGCCATCCTCTCATCCCAAGGGTACGTCCTTCGGCAGCTGGGCTCATTTATTCCTCACACTGGTTTCTTCTAAGTAGGGAAGTTTCTAAACCTTTCTGTGAAAAAAGAAAGAAATCCTGCAGGGAAAGGGGTTCAAACAGGTTGTACAACCCATCCCCAGAGTCTGATTCACTTGGTGTGGGCGTGTGCCTGAACTCTGTATATTAAGCAAACACCCTGGTCTTACACCGAAGACCCTCTGCT